>NC_000007.14:109381779-110006779 GCF_000001405.40 Homo sapiens
ACTAGAATAACCAATGCAGAGAAGTCCTTAAAGGACCTGATGGAGCCGAAAACCACGGCACGAGAACTACGTGACAAATGCACAAGCCTCAGTAGCCGATTCGATCAACTGGAAGAAAGGGTATCAGTGATGGAAGATCAAATGAATGAAATGAAGCAAGAAGAGAAGTTTAGAGAAAAAAGAATAAAAAGAAATGAACAAAGCCTCCAAGAAATATGGGACTATGTGAAAAGACCAAATCTATGTCTGATTGGTGTACCTGAAAGTGACAGGGAGAATAGAACCAAGTTGGAAAACACTCTGCAGAATATTATCCAGGAGAACTTCCCCAATGTAGCAAGGCAGGCCAACATTCAAATTCAGGAAATACAGAGAATGCCACAAAGATACTCCTTGAGAAGAGCAGCTCCAAGACACATAATTGTCAGATTCACCAAAGTTGAAATGAAGGAAAAAATGTTAAGGGCAGCCAGAGAGAAAGGTCAGGTTACCCACAAAGGGAAGCCCATCAGAATAACATCTGATCTCTCGGCAGAAATTCTACAAGCCAGAAGAGAGTGGGGGCCAATATTCAACATTCTTAAAGAAAAGAATTTTCAACCCAGAATTTCATATCCAGCCAAACTGAACTTCATAAGTGAAGGAGAAATAAAATCCTTTACAGACAAGCAAATGCTGAGAGACTTTGTCACCACCAGGCCTGCCCTAAAAGAGCTCCTGAGGGAAGCACTAAACATGGAAAGGAACAACCGGCACCAGCCAGTGCAAAAGCATGCCAAATTGTAAAGACCATCGAGGCTAGGAAGAAACTGCATCAACTAACAAGCAAAATAACCAGCTAACATCATAATGACAGGATCAAATTTACACATAACAATATTAACCTTAAATGTAAATGTGCTAAATGCTCCAATTAAAAGACAGACTGGCAAACTGGATAAAGAGTCAAGAGCCATCAGTGTGCTGTATTCAGGAAACCCATCTGACGTGCAGAGACACACATAGGCACAAAATAGAGGGATGGAGGAAGATCTACCAAGCAAATGAAAAACAAAAAAAGGCAGGGGTTGCAATCCTAGTCTCTGATAAAACAGACTTTAAACCAACAAAGATCAAAAGAGACAAAGAAGGCCATTACATAATGGTAAAGGGATCAATTCAACAAGAAGAACTAACTATCCTAAATATATATGCACCCAATACAGGAGCACCCAGATTCATAAAGCAAGTCCTTAGAGACCTACAAAGAGACTTAGACTCCTACACAATAATAATGGGAGACTTTAACACCCCACTGTCAATATTAGACAGATCAATGAGACAGAAAGTTAACAAGGATACCCAGGAATTGAACTCAGCTCTGCACCAAGCGGACCTAATAGACATCTACAGAACTCTCCACCCCAAATCAACAGAATATACATTCTTTTCAGCACCACACCACACTTATTCCAAAATTGACCACATAGTTGGAAGTAAAGCACTCCTCAGCAAATGGAAAAGAACAGAAATTATAACAAACTGTATCTCAGACCACAGTGCAATCAAACTAGAACTCAGGATTAAGAAACTCATTCAAAACCACTCAACTGCATGGAAACTGAACAACCTGCTCCTGAATGACTACTGGGTACATAATGAAATGAAGGCAGAAATAAAGATGTTCTTTGAAACCAACGAGAACAAAGACACAACATACCAGAATCTCTGGGATGCATTCAAAGCAGTGTGTAGAGGGAAATTTATAGCACTAAATGCCCACAAGAGAAAGCAGGAAAGATCTAAAATTGACACCCTAACATCACAATTAAAAGAACTAGAGAAGCAAGAGCAAACACATTCAAAAGCTAGCAGAAGGCAAGAAATAACTAAGATCAGAGCAGAACTGAAGGAAATAGAGATGCAAAAAATCCTTCAAAAAATCAATGAATCCAGGAGCTGGTTTTTTGAAAAGATCAACAAAATTGATAGACTGCTAGCAAGACTAATGAAGAAGAAAAGAGAGAAGAATCAAATAGACCCAATAAAAAATGATAAAGGGGATCTCACCACTGATCCCACAGAAATAAAAACTACCATCAGAGAATACTATGAACACCTCTATGCAAATAAACTAGAAAATCTAGAAGGAATGGATAAATTCCTGGACACATACACCCTCCCAAGACTAAGCCAGGAAGAAGTTGAATCTCTGAATAGACCAATAACAGGCTCTGAAATTGAGGCAATAATTAATAGCTTACCAACCAAAAAAAGTCCAGGACCACATGGATTCACAGCTGAATCCTACCAGAGGTACAAGAAGGAGCTGGTACCATTCCTTTTGAAACTATTCCAATCAATAGAAAAAGAAGGAATCCTCCCTAACTCATTTTATGAGGCCAGCATCATCCTGATACCAGAGGCTGGCAGAGACACAACCAAAAAAGAGAATTTCAGAACAGTATCCTTGATGAACATCGATGCAAAAATCCTCAGTAAAATACTGGCAAACCAAATCCAGCAGCACATCAAAAAGCTTATCCACCATGATCAAGTGGGCTTCATCCCTGGGATGCAAGGCTGGTTCAATGTATAGAAATCAATAAACGTAATCCAGCATATAAACAGAATCAATGACAAATACCACATGATTATCTCAATAGATGCAGAAAAGGCCTTTGACAAAATTCAACAACACTTCATGCTATAAAAACTCTCAATGAATTAGGTATTGATGGGATGTATCTCAAAATAATAAGAGCTATCTATGACAAACCCACAGCCAATATCATACTGAACGGAAAAAACTGGAAGCATTCCTTGTGAAAACAGGCACAAGACAGGGATGCCCTCTCTCACCACTCCTATTCAACAGAGTGTTGGAAGTTCTGGCCAGGGCAATCAGGCAGGAGAAGGAAATAAAAGGTATTCATTAGGAAAAAAGGAAGTCAAATTGTCCCTGTTTGCAGATGACATGATTGTATATCTAGACAACCCCATCATCTCAGCCCAAAATCTCCTTAAGCTTATAAGCAACTTCAGCAAAGTCTCAGGATACAAAATCAATGTGCAAACACCACAAGCATTCTTATACACCAATAACAGACAAGCGAGAGCTAAATCATGAGTGAACTCCCATTCACAATTGCTTCAAAGAGAATAAAATACCTAGGAATCCAACTTACAGGGGATGTGAAGGACCTCTTCAAGGAGAACTACAAACCACTGCTCAATGAAATAAAAGAGGATACAAACAAATGGAAGAACATTCCATGCTCATGGGTAGGAAGAATCAATATCGTGAAAATGGCCATACTGCCTGAGGTAATTTATAGATTCAATGCCATCCCCATCAAGCTACCAATGACTTTCTTCACAGAATTGGAAAAAAACTACTTTAAAATTCATATGGAACCAAAAAAGAGCCCGCATTGCCAAGTCAATCCTAAGCCAAAAGAACAAAGCTGGAGGCATCACGCTACCTGACTTCAAACTATACTACAAGTCAACAGTAACCAAAACAGCATGGTACTACTACCAAAACAGAGATATAGATCAATGGAACAGAACAGAGCCCTCAGAAATAATGCCGCATATCTACAACCATCTGATCTTTGACAAAACCTGACAAGAACAATAAATGGGGAAAGGATTCCCTATTTAGCAAATGTTGCTGGGAAAACTGGCTAGCCATATGTAGAAAGCTGAAACTGGATCCCTTCCTTAGACCTTATACAAAAATCAATTCAAGATGGATTAAAGACTTACATGTTAGACCTAAAACCATAAAAACCCTAGAAGAAAACCTAGGCAACACCATTCAGGACATAGGCATGGGCAAGGACTTCATGTCTAAAACACCAAAAGGAATGGCAACAAAAGCCAAAGTTGACAAATGGGATCTAATTAAAGTAAAGAGCTTCTGCACAGCAAAAGAAACTACCATCAGAGTGAACAGGCAACCTACAGAATGGGAGAAAATTTTTGCAATCTACTCATCTGACAAAGGGCTAATATCCAGAATCTACAATGAACTCAAACAAATTTACAAGAAAAAAACAAACAACCCCATCAAAAAGTGGGCGAAAGATACGAACAGACACTTCTCAAAAGAAGACATTTATGCAGCCAAAAAACACATGAAAAAATGCTCATCATCACTGGCCATCAGAGAAATCAAAACCACAATGAGATACCATCTCACACCAGTTAGAATGGCGATCATTAAAAAGTCAGGAAACAACAGGTGCTGGAGAGGATGTGGAGAAATAGGAACACTTTTACACTGTTGGTGGGACTGTATACTAGTTCAACCACTGTGGAAGTCAGTGTGGCGATTCCTCAGGGATCTAGAACTAGAAATGCCATTTGACCCAGCCATTCCATTACTGGGTATATACCCAAAGGATTATAAAACATGCTGCTATAAAGACAGATGCACACATATGTTTATTGCGGCACTATTCACAATAGCAAATACTTGGAACCACCCCAGATGTCCAACAATGATAGAGTGGATTAAGAAAATGTGGCACATATACACCATGGAATACTATGCATCCATAAAAAATGATGAGTTCATGCCCTTTGTGGGGACATGGATGAAGCTGGAAACCATCATTCTCAGCAAACTATCGCAAGGACAAAAAACCAAACACTGCATGTTCTCACTCATAGGTGGGAATTGAACAATGAGAACACATGGACACAGGAAGGGGAACATCACACACAGGGGCCTGTTGTGGGATGAGGGGAGGGGGAAAGGATAGCATTAGGAGATATACCGAATGTTAAATGACGAGTTAATGGGTGCAGCACACCAATATGGCACATGTATACATATGTAACAAACCTGCACATTGTGCACATATACCCTAAAACTTAAAGTATAATAAAAGAAAGAAAAAAATGAAAATCAGATCAAATAAAGATAATAGCTTTATTGAAAAAAAAGAAATAAAAACAAAAACTCTATTTGATGCAACATGTTTCGAAATATGTATTATATTATAGAATAGCTCAATTGAGCTAATTAAATATGCATATTTGATAGCTCTTAATTATCTCCCAAGTTCAGGTATAATAGTTGTGCAATTTAAATTAAAAAATGTATATAATGTTTATTTAGAGGTAGAAATGCCTTTTCCTTCTGGTGATGACAGAATAATTAGTACTGGACTGGCCACTGCAATATAAAGAAATGTAAAAGTGGATGAAATCTATGAGACCATAATTTTCAGGTTTTGAACGATAGCCTATTAATGTAATGTATGAGAGAGTGGAAGTGAATATAATGCACCCTATGGTGCCCACAGCTCTTTGCTTGAGGATATTGAGCTTACCTTGAAACAGCAAGCTGGAGCCCTGGTAGACAACAGCCACCCCACTGAGCCGGGGAGTCAGGCATGGCAGTTTAGGCATCTGAAGCAGGTTGCAGTCCACAGGATGAGGGAGAGTAGAAGAGGAATATATGCATGTGGAGGGGAGCAAAAGTCTCTGTGGTGGTCTTCTGTAAGAGCTTAGCTAAGGATGTGCTGCATAGTATGCCTAAAGACAGGACTCTCTGAAGCTTACCACAGAGTGATTGCTTATGGCAGTGAAAGTTGAACTGAGCTTTATGCAGTGCTGGGAGACATGGAATTCTGGCCCAGTGGGGTAAAGGAAATTCATAATTTACAAACTCATCCAGCCAAATGTGTATATCTAGTCTTAGTATTACATTATTTCCTTAGCAGAGCCCTGACTTTGACAGAATAGACCTCTTGAAGGTCCTGCACATTTAGTTCAGAGCAGGGCTGCAAAAACCATAGTGCAGGCCTGGTGCCTGTGTCTGCACATGTTGGCCTGGTGCCAGAGGCCAAGGGTGCTGCTGACTTGGTGCCTGGTGGGCCTGAAACCTGGGGATGTGTTGTCCAGCCTGGCTCTTGATTGGTCTGGAACCTGGGGTAGGACTGGAGGCTGGGTCTGTGGATTTTGGCCTAATAAGTAAAGCCGTGGGGGCAAGACTAGTACCCAGTGCAGTCCAGAGCCTGAGACTGTTGGGGCTGGCCTGGTGCTAGGGCAGGCCTACAGCTCAGGGCCACTGGGCTGACCCAGTTCTGGGGCTTTCCTACTGTCTTGTCCACTGGGGTTGAGCTGGCAGTGGGACAAGCCTGAAAGCTGAATTCTTCAGGCAGGCCTCGTCTTTGAGGTTGTGGGATAGTGCCTGGAACCAGGGCCAGCCAGGTGGCTCAGTCTGTGGGTGCTGGCCTGGAGTCAGTGTCAATGGGGGGTATGCTCAGTCACAGATTTTGCTATGGGAAGCTCAATGTGGGTGTTCAACACAAAGTCCTAATCTTGTGTTCCTCTCTTTCCTCCAAGCAAAAGTTGTCTTTCTCCACACTATGCTTTTGGGATGCTGGGGAGATGACATGGATAATGTGAAACTCCTTCCTCTCCTCTTCAATGTGTCTTTTCTTATTTCTGTGCTACATCCAGGTGTTATCATCTCTCATCTGGATACTCAGCTCTTGTCAAAGTATTTCCATGAATCAATGGTTGTTCAAATTGATGTTTCTACAGGGAAACAAGCACTGGAAAGTCTTATTTCACCATCTTGCTGATGAGATTCTCCTTTATATGGATTTTTAAAACTTAACCTTTCTTGGTTGATTATGTGTCAAAAATAAGGTTATTTGGATATTTTCTTAATTCTAAGGTTTTTCATGCACTGTATATATAAACAATAAGTTAAACAACCTTATTTTTCAGCTATATTTGTTCATATCTGCTCTGTATTTTTGTAATTTGTAATTTCTTTACATATATATTTTGTTCATTCATTCTCTCTTTAAATGTGCACAATTTCTTTAGTGTTCAGTCTGAACAACTATAGCTCTCTCCACAGTCTAGTTTTGATTCATATTTTATGTTGTACTGTAAGCACTGTTTTTATTTTATTTTATTTTTTTGAGACAGGGTCTTTCTGTGTCACCCAGGCTGGAATGTTGTGGCATAACAAGTTACTATAGCCTTGAACTCCTAGGCTCAAGTGCTCCTCCCACTTAAGCCTCCCAAGTAGCTGGGACCACAGGCATGTACCCCCACACCTGGCTATTTTATATATATATATATAAAATATAAAATATATATAATATAAAAATATAGTATATATTTATATGTGTGTATATATATATGTGTGTATATATATATATATATATTTTTTTTTTTTTTAGGCACTGAGTCTCCCTATGTGGTCTAGACTGGTCTTGACCTCCTGGGCTCAAGCAACTCTCCCACCTCAGCCTCCGAAAGTGCTGGGATTACAGGCATGAGCCAGCATATTCAGTCATTATTTTTGGCAGTATTTCCTCTGGAAATTCTTCTAGATTAGGTATTTCCTTTCTGGATGCTCATAGCCTTGGTGTATATCTCTATATAACAGTTTAGTCATTAACTAATCAAATAAGACAGAAATGCCTTTCTCTCCTATTATCTGTAATTCTTATAATCTTTAGGTAAAACTTTAATCACTTAGTATTTTGTACCTTACTTCTTTATAAAGAGATGAGAAGGCTTATTATTACTCTTATATAAATTGTGACTGATTTTGTTAATCATAATTTAATGAAATGTTTTCGTCTATCGTTATGTAGTGATACAATCCTAAATCTGGTAATGTAAAAGTAACAATTTATAATTATATCTCAGAATTCTGTCAGTATCCCACTCTTAGCTGGTGAGTTCTCACTTAGTGCTTTTCATGCTTTTGTAGATAGTGGTTGAGGCTAGAGTCATTGAAGCCTTTGATTAATCTGGGCAGCCACAATGGCTCACTTACACGGCTGGCAGTTGATGCTAGCTGCTAGACGGTATCAGTATGGCTGCTGACCAGATCACCTACATGTGGCTTGGGTTTCTCATAGCATAGTAGTTCGGCTCCGACAGGAATCATTCCAAAAATGAGCATTCAGAAAGACCCATGCAGATATTGTAAAGCTTTTTACAGGTTCATTTCTACTGCATTCTGTTGGTCAAAATCCATCATAGCACCTAAGACCAGGAGAGACTCAAGGGGAATGGGTTACACAAAGGTACAAATACCATAAAGTTGTGGTTTATTGAAGGCCATCTCTGGAGACCAGATACAACTGTTTTCTCCTCAGTCCCTCATCATATGCATCACAGAGGCAATATACTCTTACTCTTTCTTAAGAAACCCAAAGATTTATTCCTTTATAGCATTAGTTTCAAGACTGAAGTCCAGGATGTAACATTCAAGTGATAGCAAAGTGGTGATAAAATTCCTTAGGGGTAGAGTATTGATTTCTTGTTGCTGCTAGAACACATCACTACAAATTTAGTGGTTTAAAACAATACAAATTAATTCTATTATAGATCTGGAAGTCAGAAGTCTATAATCTAGGTTAGAAATCTATAATCAGAAGCTTCAAATTGAGAATGGCTGCAGTTATTCTCAAGTCTTTAGGGAAAAATGAATTTCCTTGCCTTTCTAGGCTTCCAGAGATCATGTGTATTCCTTGGTTTCTGGTTCCTTACTCTATCTTCAAAGCCAGATGCTTAGCAACTTTTCTCTTGTCTGGCTTGTGGTCTCCATTCTATAAAAACACTTGTGATTACCCTGGACCTACTCAGGTAATTCAGGATAATTTCTCCATGTCAATATGATGTACACCTATAAAGTCTCTTTTCCCGTGTAAGGTAACATATTCATAGGTTCTGGCGGGTATGACAGAAACATCTTTGGAGACATTATTCAGCCTAACACAAAGAGTTTCTGGTGCATCATTTCTAGAATATTATTTTTCTCCATCTGAATTTATCTCAATGAAAAGGCATACTTCCAACGTACAATGGTGATACAAGGATAAAATAAATGCAATAGTCATTCTTGTATAAGAATAGTAGAAATCACACATACCAATAAGCTATTCATAGCAATTCTCAAATCTAACCAGACACAGAACACTGTGTCCTTGGTTAGACCTCAGTACTATTACCTGGAATTTGTTCTCCATGGCTCTTAGCAAGTTGTTTTCACTGTATAGATTCTTAGTTCCACCATCTGGACTCTTGGCTCTACTTTCCCATTCAAAATTCCTCTTTTTTTACAAGAAATGGACAACATTTGCATTTTAGTAACTTCCTCAACCTGATTTCTACCCATACATGGGGTTGGGGCACAAAGGACCCACTTAATTTTGAATTTTCTTTCCATTTTACTACAACCTAAGAGTGCTTTCTTAAATACTACACTATTAAAAATTCTTGTGGTTTTCCTATGAATATCATAGAATTCATTCATTAGATAAACGTCTTGGCCACAAATTTATTTAAGATAAGGCCTACCTTTTCCAGGATGCAATGATTTTAAAATTCTGGAAACATTTTTGTTTATTTGAGTGTATAAAATGCTCCTTGAATCTTTCCCAAGTCTTAACAAATGGCTCTACAGCCACATTGTTGAGATGGCCTTTACTCTAAGGACATTTCTTACTTTGATAGCCTTGTGACATTTAGGGAAGCTGAGAATACGACACAGTTTTTTTTTTTTTTTTTTTTTAAAACACGTGAACTTCTGATTTCTTTTTCTCTCTTGAATATTTTGCTTGAAAATAGAACAGTTTGTTTTTAGCTTACTTCATTCTATCCATATCTTATCATGTACTGCTATGGAAAACCAGCTGGCATTTGCAACTTTTGTGTGGAAGTCTCCGTGGTCAAATGTACCAGTTCAAAATGTCTGTTTTCCATGTTATCACAGGCAATGGTTTTACTAAAATTTCTGCCCTTATATAACAAGATAATCTTTCTTCCAGCCTCCAAGAAAATTTATTTTACTGTCCTTCTAGCTTCCACTACCAATCTTCTTGATGCTTTTGAGACCTCTAGTAGTCACCCAGTCTTAAAGGTAATGCCATATAGTTTAAGAATTTTTTTTCAATTGTAGCACCCCATTCTGGGTACCAATTTCTCTTCCAGTTATTTCTGCTTTATAATAAATCATCTGAAACTTTACTGCTAAAAATATTAACAAGAAAAATTTTCTCATGATTTTGTGGCTTAATTGGCTTAATTGTGGCAGTTGAGGAGTTCTCACTTGGATTCTCTTCTGAAGTTGCTATCAGATAGCATTTGGGGACACTAAAGACTAAATTAAGTTGAATGTCCAAGATGTATAATTCACATGGCTGACAGCTAATATTTATTGTTGGCTCTGGTCTCAGTAAATATACATAAGCTATAGACCATGGGACCTCCCTATTGTCTGGGCTTTGCAGAGAATTGTGACTGGGTCCTGAGAAGCTGCATTACAAGTGATCCAGTTAGAAGTTGCAAGTCTTCTTATGATTCTTATGACATAGCTTCACTGTGTTTACTGTGTTGTTGTTGTTGTTGTTCTTCTTCTTTTTTTGAGACAGAGTCTTGCTCTGTCACATAGATTGGAATACAGTGGTACAATCTCGGCTCACTGCAATGTCCACTTCCCAGGTTCAAGCCATTCTTGTGCCACAGCCTCCAAAGTATGTGAGATTGCAGGCATGTGCCACCATGCCCAGCTAATTTTTGTATTTTTATTAGCGACAGTGTTTTGCCATGTTGGCCAGGCTGGTCTCAAACTCCTGGTCTCAAGTGATCTGCCAGCCTATGCTTCACAAAGTGCTGGGATTACAGGCATGAGCCACCACACCTGGCCAGCCTCACTGAGTTTCAGTGGTCAAAAGCAAGTCTCAAGACCAGCCCATGTTGTAGTGGACAATGCTACACAAGAACTTAATAATTAGGTGTGGCCAACTGAAGAACCATTTGGAAAATTACCATATGAAAATTACTAGTATCTTAATGTTCTTTATTACAAATATTCTTTATCAAGTGACTTAAAATTGTTCAGAGATAGATGTATAAATTTCGATGTAATTTTATTGAGTGGTTTTAAGTTTTCCAAAAATAAGAGCATACATTTTGTCATACCCTTTGTGTAAATATTGTTAATATTTTCATTGATCAGATATTCATGTCAACTTTTCCTTTATATTTTCAACCATAGTTTTAAACATCATAATTGGTATCATTGGTTTCAGAGTCTCCTTAAGATAATATAATCAATTTACTTAAGATTATCTCAGTACATATGGATATATTTTGTTAAATAAAAGCATAAAAATAAAATAACATATGAAAGCAAGTATCATGGTTAAGTAAGAATACTTCTTAGATTAAGTAAATGAACTTTTTCCTATTTTCTAAATGTTTTAAAATTTTTCTTCTTTTTATCTGACACAGTCACTATTACTTCATTAAAATGCTGCAAAGATTAATAACTTAATTAACAAGCAGATGGAGGGCATTTTTAAATTCTCAAAGAAAATGTGATTTAAATGATAATGGTATAATAATTATTTTCAAAGGGAATTAACCTTTTTTGAGGTAATTGATTAATTGTGCCTAAAATTAGTCAATTATATTTTCTTCTGAAAAGGTAATTTCATTCTCAATAGTATAAAGGTTCATCAGATCCATACCTTGGAAACTTTTACTTTACATGATGTCTTAGTCCATTTGTGCTGCTAATAACAAAATACCTGAGACAGGGTAATCTATAACAAGCAGAAATTCTTTTCTCATAGTTCTGGAGGGTAGAAGTCCAAAGTCAGTGTTTGGTGAGGCTGGTTCTATCTGTTTCCAATGTGGTGCCTTGTTGCCATATCCTCTGGAAGGCACACATACTGTGTCCTCACAGGGTGGAAGGGACAGAGGGGAAAAAAGTCCTCGGCTAGTTTCCTCCAGCTCTTTTATAACACACTAATTTATTCATGAGCGTTCTGCCTTCATTATGTAATTATTTCCTGAAAAGTCCCATCTCTTAACCCCACCATAATGGGGATTCATTTTCAACCGATGAATTTGGGGAGGATTCAGGTCAAAGCACTGGGCTTTTGATGAAATGTTGATGGTTTTCAAACCTTTTCTTTCTTCATTTTTTTTTTTTTTCTGAAGCTCAAACTAACTGAGAAATAGGTTCAGGAATAATGCAAATGGAAAACAACGTATCTACTTTTAGACCACATGATATTTTCACTCTTCACATATAAATTGAAATTACCCACCCACTTCTGCATGCTTTTCACCTTGCTAATGAAGGATATCTCATGGTAAAGTTACACAATAAAGCAACAGAGAATGAAGTGTCCTGAGTACAGATTCTCTAAAATAAAGTCTAGGCCACCATTTACTCTGGATTTTTCCCTAAAATCAACAGCTAAGTCGTAAGTTTTTCCAAGATCGTGAGTGAGTGAGTAAGTGGAAAGGAGCTAGAAGACACTATTTCCAGTACTTTCAAAGGAGCTAATGTCCATATAGGATAGGCAACATAGAAACAGTAGAAGAGGAAGAAAATTGTTTCTTCTGCTAGAATTATGCAGATAATTTCATATGATCTGCTTAATCTTTCTAGATATTTAATTTTGATTAATGTTTTAGAAGATAATAAAAAACCTAAAGAAAAGACAACACATGTAAAGCTAAAATATACTTTATATATGCAAATTTTTAGGTTAAATACTATCTCATGAAGAACAAAATTGATATGTGTAGTAGATCAATTAAAGTGTTTAATGCTAAACACTCTAAGCCTGTTATAGGAAATTTGATAGTTTTATCAGAAGCATGTTGTTTTCATATTTCTGTATAAAGAGTTGACAAAATATTTTTGAACACAGTCAATTAATAATTTGAAAAAACAAAATTAAGTAAAATGATCCCACAATTGTACTTGAAGAAGTGACATTTGGACTTTCTAAAACCATTTTCCTGTGTAAGTTGTCATGTTACTTATAAGTTTAACTTGTATGTTAAATCCTGAAATGAATATACACAGAAGAATTTTACAACCATTATAACTAAAATTATTTTATAACAAAGAAAAACTTTCTTTTTTGCATGATTTGTGTAATGATTTGACCTAATAAATATAATGAAAGAGTAAATCACAATATGTTTAACATTGAAAGCATCTTAGAGATCATTAGGACACTTTATTCACTTTACAAAACAAGTGATTTTTCCAGTATCATGTGGGTATTTACTAGGAGAATAAGGGTTCAAAACCAGACCTTTCAGTCTAGGTTTATTTCCCACCTCTGTTCCGTGATTCTTTGGCCAAGGCCCTGGGAATTAAGAACTTACCAAGTACTTTAAATATGCATTGCAGGAGAGGAGTTGTGGAGATCAAGGCTGAAAGGCAAAATGCAATAATGGGAAAGATGAATTATTCATCTGTGATTTAGGGAATATATGATCATCCAGTTTCTCATGGATCAGGGACGTTAATAGTTTCCAAAAGATGAATGTTAGGTTTTCACTAAGATTCTTCGCATATTTTTGGTTATTTGGAGTTTGAAATTTGATAACACAATTGAGAAATAAAATCAGCTAAATTTCAGCTTAAATATCCTTTTCTCTAATTTGACCTTCATCACAAATGTAAAGAACTTGTGATGCTCTGAGGATCTACAAACCTGTACCTATGAGGGCAGATTTCAGTTTAAAAGGATTATGCTCCCAAATGCCAGAGCTGCCAGCAGCTATCTATGGGAAGCTGTTTTGGGACATTGTTCCTAAAATTATTGCTTTTAGCAGATGGCTTATTCACAAGTGAGGATGATTCAATACTTAAAATGATGAAAAAGATAGGACTTTTGGGGGTGAAAGACACAACACTCATCTTGTTGGAAACCATACACTGATGTAAAACCTCAAGTTAAGACACTAATGGGAAAATATTTCTTCACCTCTTCTCACAAGATGCTTTTTTTCCCCCAAGAATGGTATGTATTACAAATCATTGAGGGCACTGTGAACCGTGATTGAAATAATTTTATAATTTTTTCAAATGCTACACTTTATGTTCCCTTATGGACACTAATTTATTAATTTCATATTATAATATATTTCATGACAAGTGGTTTTGAGATAATGGTTTGTTCTCTCACGAATGCTGGGTAGCTTATTGAGACAGTATCACCCTAATTAAAATGCACCTAGGAAAGTTTCACTGTAGTCAGGACTTTCAAAGATGGTTAAGATAAATTAATATTGTTGAACCCAAGTGATATATTATAAATTCCTCTTTATGCTTCCTTTATTTCTTTCAAGGACAATTTACCCCCTACAGACATAACTAATCTTTTGTTTCTTATTGTCTCCTCCTGAAAAGTACTTGAATTCACTGCTTAAAAGCTTCAGATTTTTTTTCTGCTGCATTATAATTTTTTGAACCCAGACAACAATGACATAGCATCAATTTCCAAAATTATGTTGGGAATTAGAAATTGGAAATTTAAAAGGAGTTGTCTTTTAAAAAAATGTTGTAAGCAAATCAAAATCATGACTTTTGATCACTATGTTTGCCAAATGAATTTAAAATATATTACTCATGAATAGAATTACTTACTTTAGAAACACTGGAATAAATGGCTAGCTATTAAAAGAGGGCAATTCAAGGATTTCTTGTTTTTCATAGTATTTTTGAACTATTCTATGTATAATATAAGTAAGAGGAGTTTATACATTTGTAAATGAATGATTAGGAATTTTTGGAGAAAATATAGCAGATGATAAATACGTGCTTCTTACTCTCATAACTTGTCATACAGAGCAGTCCATATTACCTGACTTGAAGAAAGTATATAAATGAGGAGGAAAAGATAATAAGTTAAGAATTGGGCTATGAAAGAATATGCTTCAGTAATTCAAACAAGTGAGGCAGTGTTGTTTAACAGTTATGTAGTCAGCATCTGGAATCAGATTCCCTTGCTTTCTTTACCCATTACAGATGGGCAACCACAGGCTTATGAGTTAATTTCTTTAAGACTCAGTTTCCTACTTGTAAAATAGTAAATATGAAAACAACTGACTTATGGGATTGTTTGGCAATTAAAGTAAAATCAGTTATATAAAGGGCTTAAATTCCTGGGACCAAGTAAAGGATTAATAAACATTTGTTTTATTACAAATAATTGAGTGGTTTTTTGATTACTGATATTTTTCCATTTGGCCATGATAAATTTTCCTGAAGGATATATCTGGTTTAGTTACTCTCTTCAGAAAATTAATTTTGAAGGCTTTTTATTGATTAAATTGAAGTGGAAAATCATGTATTAATAACCTAAAGACTAAATATTATCTTTTTCATATATAGCGAATTATAAATATGTAAGAGTGAAACACTACAAAAAGTCATTTTTGTCACAACTGGCACCTTGGTGGGTGTACAGAAGAGAGGTACCATTGAAGGCCTGATTGTTAGAAGAGCCTGCTTACAACATTGCCTGGCTGGCTTTTGAGAAGTTCCTTGAGTGATAAGGTTGTTCTGTGTGCCTGTGAATTCTGTTGTACAACCTGTCTAGACAGTACACACACATTGTGATTAACAGTGAACACTTGCTTTCCTTCTGAGAGTCTCGGATTTCTATGATGGTTTATTACCCAGGCAGAATGTGTCTGAGTGATCAACCCACAATAAAAATCTTGGATTCTGATTTTCAAATGGGCTTACCAGGGCAGAAACCATGCCCAAGTACTGCAACATTTTGTTCCTGGAGGAATTAACACATAGGCATGGGTTCCTCTAGACTGTACCTATATAGTGAATTACAAATATGTAAGAGTGGACCTAGTAAATCTTTTACCCTTGTTGGTTGCTGTAATAAACCATAGCTATGAGTACAGCTGCCTTTGAATCTTGGGACTCTTTCTAGCAAATCACCAAACCTGTGTTGGTCACGGAGACCCCGAAATAGATGTCCTCAATTACTTTGTATAAAATGTCATGCTGTTGGGGATTGTGTTAGGAGAGATTATAACAAATTTTATAAAACAGGATCATAATTATTGGTTTGGAGTGTAAGAAGGTAGTAGTTTATCTGCGCTTAGGTCTAAAGAAGGGGCTCAGAGATAAAGTAGATGTTGGATATAGAGTTGCACATAAGAAAGGCACATTTCCTTTTCTCCTGGGTCATCCACCATGGTTGCCCATATCCACAAGCAGCTATAGGCTACTATATTGAGTAATTAAGATCTATAAGTTATTATTTTTTTCTGGTTGACATATTAGGAGATAATTTATTTTTTAGCATTCGCTGCCAACTGAAAATGAGTTTTCCTGTTATTCTGCTGGGTGACATCATGCCTACATTTTTTTTGTAAGTTAAAAACATCTTTGCTGGCCGGGCGCGGTGGCTCACGCCTGTAATCCCAGCACTTTGGGAGGCCGAGGCGGGCGGATCACGAGGTCAGGAGATAGAGACCATCCTGGCTAACACGGTGAAACCCCGTCTCTACTAAAAATACAAAAAATTAGCCGGGCGTGGTAGCGGGCGCCTGTAGTCCCAGCTACTCGGGAGGCTGAGGCAGGAGAATGGCGTGAACCCGGGAGGCGGAGCTTGCAGTGAGCCGAGATCGCGCCACTGCACTCTAGCCTGGGCGACAGAGCGAGACTCCGTCTCAAAAACAAAAACAAAAACAAAAAAAAACATCTTTGCTATGTTAAAAAACTGTTCTACAACTTTTTCTTTTTTTGGTTAAGAACTTAGATCAGTAACTCTTTTAACATGATCTCCAATATATGTTTTGTTTTTCCATTATATGCATGCATCATTTTACTAATAATGTATTGTGTACATTAGAAATCATATGCTAAAATAAAGTCTTCAAGAATCAGTTAAAATAATACATCCTAATTGCATTGCCCACATTCCAGTGGTTGCTTTGAGCATGACTGAGGTGTGTATACTTCCCCTTAGAGAACTTCACCCCTTGGAGATCTCGGTTTTTAAATCCTATTCTCCTCTGAGAGGAACCAGATAGTATACTGAAGAAACATCTGACTCTGTTGATGGTGCAGGGAAAATACAAGGTGATCTTCACCCCTTGGATAACTTTTCCCTTTGGAGATCAAGAATAAGTTAAGATAAATAGGTTCTAATTTTAATTCCTCACTTTCCAGTGGTTGCTTTGAGCACCACTGAGATGTGTAAACTTTCCCTTGCAGAACTTTTCTCTTTGCAGATCTTGGTTTTTAAATCTCCTCTGAAAGGAACCAAATAGTATATTAGAGGAATATCTGACTCTATTGATGGTGCAGGGAAAATGCAAGGTGATCTTGGAACATGTTTTGGAACCAGAAAGTAAGGAAGTGCTCACAGAATAATGGGGACATATCTCATAATATAACTAATTTGAATAGGTTGCCAACTCTGAGGAAAACTGAACATTAAAATAAAATGTTAGCTCTCGATTTTAAATTCTGTAAGCATAATTGGAAACCATGAGCCCATACTGCTACAGATGAATAATGAACACCTAAATAACTTCAGTAGAGTGAAAGCTCTCACTCACAGTACCTTCACATAAAACAACTATAAGTCATTGATTAATGAATATAAAATACATATTTAATTTCCAGTACAAAAACTTGACTGATATCATCTTATCCAAGTAATAAAATGTAATGTCACCAGTAATGAAACATAGCAACATCATTTGCCCTCTGATATGATGTGGAGTAAATAATGTTATATCTTTAGTTTTCCTGCCAAAACAATAATCTACTCATAAGGAAAATAGACAAACCCCAAATGAGAGACTTTCTACGAAATTACAAACTTGTATTCAATAAAAATATGGAACTTAGGAAAGAGACTGAATGACTGAGGAGCTGTTCCAATTTTAAGGAGACTAGAGGAACATGACAACTAAATTCAATGTGTGATCTTGGATATTTAGAGAACCTTTCTTGAATAATTGACAAAATTTGAGGGAGATCTATGAATTAGATGGTAATCTAATGCATCAGTGTTAATTTCCTGACATTGTGGTTATGTAGAAAAGAGTACATTTTTAGAAAGTGTTAAGATATAATTGGGTTATTGTGTTTTCCACTTTTTCTCAGGTGGTAGAGAAAAGCACATTATATATATGCATATACATAAATATATATGTATGTAGATGTGTATGTTTTATGTACATAGAGAGAGACACAGACACAGAGAGAGACATAATAAAGCAAATGGGAAGATTTCAATGAAGAGTATAGTGGAGTTCTTTTTACTATTTTTGTACCATCTCTGAAAATTTGAAGTCATTTCAGAATATAAAGTTCAAAAAAAGCCAAAATATTCATCTTGAAATTTAGGATATATGGCATTTGCCTCACTAAGAGGTTTTATTTCCTGGCTAGAAATTATAAACTGGCACCTCCAGTATTGAAAAAAATATATAGATACATTTTATCAGCGTGTTTTTTAAAAATAAGATATGAGCTTAAATATTTTTAAGTTGCACGTACATTCTTCAGTTCCAACAGGATCCATCTTTATTGTCTTAAAGTCAGCCTCAGCCATAGATAATAAAATCTAATGCATAGTGCTTACTACATTCAAGCACTGTTCTAAGTACACGTGTTATCTCATTGAATTTGTTAGCTCAACACATTCTGTAAGGCAGTTTGCAAGGCAGCCTTTAACATGTCTCCTAGTTATCCCCAGCTCCTACATTTACTCTCTTGTGTAATCCCCATTCTTTGAGTGTAGGCTGAATCTAGTGACTCAGTTATAACACATGCAATAGAAAAAAAGTGATGGGATATTTGTTCCAAGATTAAGTTATATAAGACTGTGACTTCCTCCTTGTTCTCCTGCTCTCTTTCACCTGCTCATTTGAGAGAAGGCAGCTGCCATGTTGGAAGCTGTCCTGAGGAGAGACCCATGTTTCAAGAAATTGAGGGCCGCCTGTTGCCAGTCAGCAAGGAGAAACTGAAGCCTGCAATCCAATAATCCCCGAGGAGCTGAATTCTACCAACAACCACATAAGTGAGCTCAGAAGCTTCCTCAGGCAAGCCCCAGCCCACACCTTGATTGCAGGTTTGGGTAAGAAATTGAGGCAGAGGTCAGAGGATTCATCTAAGTGATACCCAGGTTCCAAATCCCCAGAAACTGTGAGATAATAAATTTTGTCATAAGCCACCAAGTCTTGGGGGTAATTTGTTACTCCACAGTAGATAACTATTAGAAGTAGATACTATTATAATTTCCATTTGAAAGATGAGGAAACTGAAATTAAGTTTCTAGCCCACGTTTTGGAAGATTCTTTGCCAACACTCACATTGAGTATACTGCCTCTCGCCAGTTAGTTACCTGCCTGAGTCATGCAGGAATTTGTGTTTGTAATCTCCATAGTGTCCATTCTTTAGCAAGTTTGCTTCTCCTTAAGAAGATTGCAAACAATTCAGGATGCAACATATATTTTTGTAGCCAGGAGTGTTTTTCAACATAACTGAAATTGGAAGATCAAGCTGTATTAAAACACATTTCCGAGAAGCAAAACTTTCACTATTAAAAATCTAACTTAAATAATGACAATGGAAAGCATAGACACAATAGGTAGCTGGATAGGTAAGTAGGTAGATAGATTAGATAGATAGATAAATAGATAGATAGATAGATAGATAGATAGATAGATAGATAGGTAGGTAGATAGACAGATATAGATAGACAGGTAGGGGAAGGGCAGACAAAACAAGATTAAAGGAAAGAAGATATCTATATTCAAATATGGCCTTTACATTTGTGTGTCCTGAGTTATTCACTTTGTTAACAATCTGCATATGTCCTATGTGTTCAAATCAGTGTGATTCTGAGTCTCCCCTTATTCATATGACAAATAAGTCCTCACTGCTTGGTTGTGAGACTCTTACCAACTTAAATAAAGGAAAATCACTGGTGTCTCCTTTCTCTCCTTAGTGCGCAGTTTAATTTGCATGTTATATATTTCTACTTCATGGAAAAATTTATGTTCTAGGTCAGAAAATTTGCAATAGTACTGGCTTTAAAGAAAAGACTTTACTTTCTGAACATTTAGATATTTGCTTTTTTTGTAACAACCTTATTGATACATAGTTTACATGCCATAAAATTCACTCTCTTAAAGCAACTCGCTGGTTTTTAGTATATTCACAGTATTTTGCAGTTATCAGCACTATCTAATTTTGGAATATTTTTGTCACCCCCAAAATAAACTCCATACCTATTAGCAGTTATTTCTATGTCTCCGCAACCAAAGTCCTGGCAAACAGTCATCTGCTTCCTGCCTCTGTAGATTTCCATATCCTGGCCATTTTATACAAACAGCAGCATATAAGACGTGCTGTTTTGTGACAGGCTTCTTTCACTTAGCATTATGTTTTCAAGGTTCATCCCTACTGTAGCATGTATTAGTGCTTCATTTCTTTTTATTGTTGAATAATATTCCATTATGCAGATATGCCACATATTGTTTATTCATCCATGAGTTGATAGACATTTAGATTGTCTCCACTTTTTGACTATTATGAATAATGTTATTAACATTTGTGTTTAAGTTTCTGTATTTTCAATTGTCTGGGGTACATATGCTAGGCCATATGGTAACTCTATGTTTAACATTTTGAGGAACTGCCAAACTGTTTTCCAAAGTGACTACACTATTTTACATTCCCACCTTGAAGGTTCCAATTTCTCGACATTCTCACCAACATGTGTTAATGTCTGTCTTTTTTATTTAGCAACCTTAGTGGGTGTGAAGAGATAACTCATTGTAATTTTGATTTGCATTTCCCCTAATGACTAATGATTTTGGACTTCTTTTCTTGTGCTGATGGCCATGAGTATATCTTCTTTGGAGAAATATCTATTCAAATCCTTTGTTCATTTTCAACTCGTGCAGTATTTTTATTATTGAATTATAAGAATTCTTTATATATTTTGGATACAAGTCCCTTATCAAATGTAAAGTTTTTAAAACTTTTCTCCAATTCTTTGGGTTGCCTTTTCACTTTCTTGATGCCTATTGAAGCATAAAAGTTTTTAATTTTGTTTAAGTCATATTCAGATTTTTCTCGTATGCGTATAGTTTTGGTCCTGTATCTAAGAAACCATTGCCTAATCTAAGATCATAAAGATTTAGTCTTATGCTTTTTAATAAAGAACCATATAGTTTAACCTCTTATTTTTTATCCATGATCCATTATGAATCCATTTTTGTGTACAGTATGAGGTCAGTATCCAGCTGAATATCCATGTGGATATGCATATGAGAATTCAGTTCCCCAGCACCATTGAATAGATACTTGATTTTAATACAATTGTTAAAATCATATGTAAATAATAAACACTGTGATTACTGACCTTTTAATAAGCACTATTTTTTTCCTTTTTTTCCCCTCTAATCTGATCTTAACAACTCTATTGTCATCCCCCAAAATGTCTTTTGCCTGTGTCAAGAAAACCCAAGAACAAAGTTTTTTAGGGATTTTGAGGTTACACTAATCAAACATTTTAGGCAAATCTTCTCTGCATGACCTATTTGCATGTTAGTTGAGAATGTTACACTTTTGATAGTAATGTTTCAGACTCAGACTTTCTAGTTTGGATCTTGGACAATTTCCAAGACTTCATAGAAATAATTCCTTGGTGAAACTATATGAGTTTATATTATTTTAACTGGATTTAGATTCCTCTGAATTCTTTGTATTGCACTCTTTAGAGGTTCTTATTGGAGTAGCCTTAAGTAATTAAAGGTCACAAGGGAGTGCTCAATACTAATATCTTTATTTACATAGATACCAATAAAATGGCCTCCCTGAAGTGTGTGTGTGTCTCTGTGTGTGTGTGTGTGCGCGCGCACGCGCGCGTATGTTGCTGTCTAAACCAGATGATCTTTACAGTTTTCTTTCCATTGCTTGTGACGTCTATTTAAATTTATATAAGTAAATTTATTTGCAGAATTCATTATTTATCACAAGTAAAAATACAAGATAGGAAAAACAGAATAAAATTGCAATAATGTGTGCTCAGTAAAATGTTATTTATGTAAGATTTATAGGCCCCCTCTACAACCACCTGAATTGTCACTACCAGATATGATTAGTCTTGCCCAAAATCCCAGTCAGCAAAGTTTACCATTGCATGGAGTCTTCCCCCAACCAAAGGCAAGTGGCAGTTTAGTAATCTCTTTAATAACATACCTTTGTTCTCATCACACTCCCTCCCATCTTGCTTTTTCTGTCTTTATTTTATTCAGTCACAAATATGTTAAGCACGGATCTAAATTTGAAGAATAAATTAACTGAGGCTAATACTAGAAGAAAAGTAGTTTAGAAAATTATAAAACAAATTTAGCAAATAGACACAGAAATCTCTGGGAGATCTGGAAAGCCAAGATTTAAGGCTAATCAAAAAGACACAACTTTCAATTTTATTATGCACTAGAACTGACTGATCTCACAGCTGGATACAGACACCATAGTCTACATCAGCAACACCACTGATATCACTAATGCCATATATCCCTATGTTCTTAATTCTGTGTCAAGGACTGCTCAACTCTTGCATAGAGAAGGAAGATGCACCTGCCATTGTGACCATCTCCCCTAGCATGGATGCTATATGATTCTCACTTCTTCATATCACTAGCTTCCAATTAAGGCTTAGGAGCAGGTGCTTGGATCCAAGCTAAAGGAGAGACTAGGCACTTAAGTGTCTCCAATATTCCGTGTGGGAGGAGTTTTTGCTTCTGAGATAGGAAAACCTACACATATAGGAGTCCTGTTTACATGCAGAGCAACCTGAAACAATGACAAATGTTGTGGCAATCAACAATTTCCATGAATCTATTCAATAAAACAGCAAAAAATGAGTCATTTCAGAATGAGTTTAAATTACAGAAAACTAACAAAAATGTATTTAAAGGTTTTTTCTGAAGATGATCACGAAGTGCTCAAACATTTAAGTAAAATGTATTCTGTTTTAAAGCCAACCTCCTGAACTAAGTTCCATTAGTTCTAAATTTGAAATGACACAAGTAGGATTTTTAATTATGGGAGTTATTTGCTATTATAGGGTTACTATTGGTGATGTTTCAGAGTTACTCTCATGATAGGAAGAAAATCAAAGTGAATTAAATAAGCCAAATTAAATAAGATGTTTCCTCTCTTCACTTTATTTATATTTTCAGTCATACATTTGTCTACAAATCATGGTTTTGTTTACAGTAGGTTAACAAAGGAGTTCGATTTTAGCCATTTAATTTACAGGTCTTCTAAAAGAATGTGATGAAGAACTTGACTTTGGTATCTGAATAATTCAATGCTTATGCCCTAGAAAAGGTTACCATTCCCACACCTTCAGAGCAATGTATAGTAATATTTATTCTGATACAGAAATATTGGCTCTTGCCCCCTTAAAATTCATTCAAGGCATTGTTATTTTATTTGTGCCAATACTCCTCCTGCCCTTAAGGCATGTATAATCTGAAACAGTGCTGGCAGTTTTGCACTTGGGGATATAAAGATAACAGAATAAAAATGTAATTAATACAAAAGTACCCAGTATGCTGTACCTGCTAAGGGGAAAAAAAAAATATATATATATATATATTTCTCTCCCCTAATTAGAATCTTTTTCCTATGGGCTGGATATTACTGTAAAGAAACAGAATATTTTGTAACAGTAGTTATACCTTTTTCAATTTTAAGAGAAGAAAGCTAAATTATTAAATAAGTTATCAAAAAAGTTGTCTTCCTTTGTCTTTCTACACACTAAAAACGTATTTGGTAATCATTTAAAACTCTTCTGAATTATCCTGATGAGACAAAGTGTGACACTCTGTAATGAGCATTTATGACATAGGATTGGTGGCTATTAACACAGTGACAGGAAGGTTAGGGTGATTAATGAGTAGTGGGGGTAGGAGGCACTTGCAGAATGTAACATTTTCATAAATTGTGTGTTCTCCAAGGAGCTGCTTATTATGATTCCTTCAGTACCAATCCTATCATTTCTTGTGGAACATGCCACATTCTAAATTAGCGCCCTATTCCCAAGGCAACTCTCTTCATTGTAGCTGTTTTCTGTGCCATGGATTCTTCAGACAAACTATTTCACAAAGTGACTGTTGTCCTCTAATTCCTCCTTCATCTCATCATAGTTTTGCTCATAAATTTCAAGTTCTTGTTCTCTTACTTTAGGGGAGAAATTCGGAAGTGTTAGATCACTGCTTACTGGACAAGTGCTTAATTTCAACTCTGCCATCCAACAAGTCTTTCTGGGTTTTACTAGTTTTGTTTTCCTACTTCCACCTTTCAAACCAATGTTACTTCCAAGATTTTACTTAAGCACTACTGAAATAGTCATAACATAAATAACTCTGTTCTTGAAACTTTTGTGAAAAGCAGTTGCATATAAATTAATATTGTCAGACCTCCACTTCTGGAGATGTGGTTTTCCAGAGAGGAGCCTGGGCTGGAGAGGCCGCAACAGGGAGAGAGTGTACATGTGGACTATTGTTAATGTTGATAAGGTAAGGATGACAGAATTAACATTTTGTTGAGAAACTGAAATTGAATTCCAAGCAGAACAAATAACAGGAAAAACACAAATATCATCAAGGAAATAAATGGATAATTCTCATAAGAGTCATTGTCCAAAGAAAAGACGGTCTGGAGGAATTCTGTGTATCAGAGGAATTTGGTCAGAGGCTCTTTACAGATGTCTATAACTCTCTGACTCTGGCAAAAAGTGAGCTCTTAAGGGCAATGGGCAAATTTGAAATGCTACCCTTCCTTTAGAAATCCCTAATCCCAAGTAGAATGAAAATGGGTTTCTTTAAGCTTTCCCAGTAGGTGGTTTAAATATTTATTTGCATACCTCACAGTGGAGAAATGAGTTCTGACTAGTGCTCCTTTAGGGATAGACTTTCCAGTTATATAGGATTGAGGTTGCCAAGGTACTAATGAAAGCCTGTCTCTCCATTCATTTTCTTTTCAAAATTAAAATAATAATAATAATAATAATAAATGAGTGCTCATCAAATGTCAAGGGCTATACTAGATGTTGGGGCTAAAATTAGAGTAAATATAGTCCTTGTTATTATGGAGCTCATAGGCTGAACAACTTACAAGCTCAGCCCACTCAATCCTGGCTCATCGATTTAGAATTTGATGTACTGGTTGGAGGCTACTATCCATTTCCTGCACATACAGAGGGCAGAGTAAAACAAGTAGAATATGCATAGGCTAGATCTTCATGAAGCAATAGTTTTCTGGAAATCCTCAGAAGAACCTATGGGAACTGTGGTTTTCCTCAAAAGACTGCAACAAGCAGGGAAGAAGTCTGTGAAATCTATGAAAGCAGATATTCTTGATGGGGGGGGAGTGGGTCGGATGCACAAATCAGTATAAGGGGATGTTGCTGTGAAATATGGGAAGTCTTATGGGAAATATGGAATTCTCTGAAAGATGCAAATGTGGTTCTTCTTATCATGAAGCTCATATAGTAACTGGAGATACTTTAAGAACCTAATTACACAATCGCACAGTTTATTATATTATTATCATTGTCAAGATTACTGTGAAAAGCAGCTTTGGGATGTAAGAATAGTATGACAAGGGATATCTAACTTATTTTAGGGCATTTGGAAATGCATCTTTAAGGAATTTATACAAATTTGTTTCTAGAAAATGAGTAGAGTGGTAGACAAATACAGGAGTCAGAAGGAGCAGTCTTTGTGGGGCTTTGTGGGGCTCACCAATAGAGCATGGTGAGTGTGAGTTACTGAATTGAGGAATGGCACCTGCATGAATGGGATGCAGACAGTGATAGGCAGTAAGCATTTTCTGCAAGTTCCAGTCAGCCACATTAAAGACTTCACTAGAATGGGCATCTATTGAAGGTTTGGGGTCGGTGGGATGTCATGAATAGATTAGTCTTCATAGAATCACTTGCACTGTGCAGGAGTGTTGGGGTGAAGACAATATTGAATTTAAGAAACTAGTTAGGAGAGTATTTTTATACCCAGGAAAATGGGAGTGTAGATTTAGAGTAGGGTGGTGGCAGAATTTTATGTTTGGATGGATATAGGAAGTGACCGAGAGGGACAAATCAAATTTCTGTCTTATATAACTGGCTAACAATCATGCTAATCACCAAAATAAGAGGCGTGAAATTATTTCCCTTTTCAGGGTGAAATTGTTATTTAAATTTTATATACAGAGAGATAGAAGTGGTTCTACAAATAGAGATGCCAAATAGGGAGCTGGCTATGAAGTTTTGTAACTCATAGATGAGGTCAAGGCTAAAGGCTTCAATGTATGAGTCAGCATTTTTTGAAGGGTAATTGAGATTATGGAAGTGGATGAGCTCGCCTAGGAGAAAGCGGGAAATGAACAAAGAGTAGCACATAGCATCAAGTTTGGAAGAACTACAACATGTAAAGACCAGATGAAGAAGAGTCTATAAAGGAGACTGAGGTCTTACCAGAGATATAGAAGAAAAAGGAGACTATCTTGGCAGATCTGACTGTAAGAATCTCACAAGGCTTCAGAAATCAGGCTTCTTATCAGGGCACTGCCACTGTGAACCCTCTAGGAACTCACTTTATGAACTCTCTGTGTTTCAACTTCCTCTTGTATAAAATGGGGGATGAGTATACTTAACCTGTGTCTCTCAGGGGGTTTTGAGGACCCAATAAAATGATGTCTGAAGGTCCTTGGATACCAAAACCCCCTATATTAACAGAAATTATAATGAAGCTTCATTGTTTTCCTTCTTAAGCATGCCACTGGCTTTCTCTGTGTTTCTGACAGTCAGTGTACAGGAAAAGATGCCTCTGGCACGGGGAATTTGCTCAGCTTTCCCAGCCCCTCACCTCTTTAGATAAAGTTCTACTCATTTTTGTATCTCAGATCAAGACTCACTTCAGAAATGCTTGGTCTCAACTTTCAATGTGTGCTAGACTCCACTCGAGTTTCCTTTCTTAAGAGGAGTTATTTTGGATATTAATTAAACATAATTTTATGATTATTTGTATAGTATTTGACTTACGCAATAAAACATATGCTTCATGAGAACATGAACCATGTCTTTATTGATAACTGCTTTATTTTCTTTGCTTAAAATACTGTCTGCGAAAGGCAGGCACTTAACAATATTAGTAGAACAAACCAAATACATGAATGAATAAATGTTCTTATCCTGTTCAAGACAAGAAAGAGGGATTGATGATAGAAAAATAATATTTGATTTAGCAGCATGCAACTCGTGTGAAATTAGGAAGAGCTAACTCAGTAAAACATTCATGATGAAAGATTAAAGACATTGAAGAGTAAATAGTTTATGATATGCAAAAACAGAGAACAGACAACTTGTTCAAGAAGTTTGTCTGTCAAAGAGATGGGAGAGAAGAGTGGAAGTATTCCTCCAAAACTTAATATATAGGCATACAGGGGACAATTTTTTATTTGAAAAGGGCACTAGCACAGAGGATGATGAAATACATCAACTTTTGTAAGATATCTGTCTTTGCCTTATTGGTATAGCATTGAAGTGGGCCTGCTTGAACATGATTTTTTACTGCAGAGTGAAATGTCCTTCAGTGAGCTTGCTGCAGTGGAGTCTGTGAAGAAAGGTCAGTTGGTGTCCAAATATGCAAAGTTCAGATGAAGATACATGTAGCTCAAGCTGCTTAGTGCAAGCATAAAGAAAGTAATCATGTATCACATATTCAAAGTCCTTGAAGATCCTGTGTGTTGCTTTGAACAGGCTGTGTTAGCACATAAAGGTAGTACAGCACCTCACCAGCCTGGATAAAACACTTCCAACTTTCATCACATACCAGGTCTTCTCAAAAACCTCAGCTACTCACTTTCATCATCTGAGTTAGTTTTTGGTTAGATTGGAGCACTGTAAATTTCCCCACAATAAAATAATTTCCAAGGATGGTGTTCCGTTGTACTTCAGACCACAGGTTAAAACATATTTCCCCAAATTTTCCTGTTTGAACCATAATGAGTGGAACTGTAAACATCCCCAAAAAGGGCTGCCCCTCTACCTGTAGCTTGGCTGACAGGGAAATTTCATGTTTTTCTCTAGGCTGCTGTCATTTGTTCCCAGGCAACTGACTTTTCAGATAGTCTCTAAAGCTTGGAGGACAATTTGACGGCTAGAAATTTCCTTTCCTAAAGAGAAAAGTTGGTTTCCTGCCTTCCAGAGAAGACCCAGGGGAGGTAGCTTGTAGAATTAGATAATTTTAGGTTCAGTGTCCTAACTAATTGCTGGAGGCATTGATTGTAATATAAAGGGAGGGAAATGCATTTTAAAATGTAAAGTTCCCTCTCAATGTTAGACAAATGTCTACTGTAATTAAAATGAACTCGAGTATCATCATAACCCACTATCTACCCAGCATTACATTCTATGACATTTCGTGCCTGTGTCTAAAAGTAAAAATATTTAGATCTTAAGTGTCTCTTGATGTTTACTCTCTTGAGCAAATAATAAAACGAAAGTTATTGACAATCCTATTTCTCTAACTCTTAGGATCTTATAGAAACTTCTCTGAAACTTCTCTCTGGTCTAACTCTTGGAAAATTTCTCATCTACTCAATCTGAGCCAAATTTTCTCTTCTCTCTTCTCCAGTCCCCTCACAGGCACTAGCCCTACCAGTGGATTTCTATCCTTCCAAAATAAAAAAGATAAAGTCAATTTTGTGCCTCTTAATTTTCCCAGTCAATCATCACCCCAATTCTACACAATGAAAAGACAAGAAATTGAGCAGGGAATCAGAATACTCCTTATTGGAGAAAGAGGAGACGTGTGAACTCTTTACATTCTTGTCACACAAGCTAATCCCCAGATTTCTCATTTCTTGAGCAAATGAATATATTGTATACCTATTGACACTAAAGTTGTACCAGTCTCATTTGAATTCAAAGCTGCTGATACTAGATGTTTGACTTCGGGCAAGTCAGGCAATTTTCTCCTCTCTCAGTGCAGTTAGTAATAGCTACCATAGGAGGATTTTGAGAGGATCACATGGATAATATTAAAATGTTTCTGAATGGATCATGGTAAGCTTGCAACAAGAAGTAGTTCCCTTTGAATAGGACTCTACTTGTGACCATAAAATAACTGGCACAGTAATAATTATGATGATGATGATGATTAATTTTAATACTTGTACTTTTTTTCTGGCAAATAAGTCAAGTTCAAAAGTTTGTTAGTCACTCTTAACATTTGACCTTGAATTGTTGATCCTCATGCTGTAAATACTTTTAAAAGTTTCAATACTCAAATAGCAGGGGAAAAATTCAGAGAGAATAGATTTTAACATTGGTGTTGGCAAATTGCTTACCTATCATAGTAAAGCTGAATATTTTAAAGAGGTGTTTTCTTTTGTTTCATCACAATTACTTGCACTGACAAAAGCCCTATGAACACAATCAATGCTAAAATCTCATATTAGATACTATTTAATACTCTTACCCTCTAAAATTAAAAATTACCTTTAGTTCTACTAACTGTCACTTGACTTTGCCTATTTTGTAGTTAATTGTGAAAGTGATTTTCATAAATGTGACATTACCATTAAGATTATTTCAAAACATTTTGATTGGTGTTTACCTTTGCTTCAAAGGAGACAGCCAAATAATTTTAGTGTCAGCCTAATCCTCAAGAAGAGCAATTCCAGTGTACTTTTCATTCATGTGTTTATATCAAAAAATGAAACAACAATAGCATGCTGAGTCAGTAAGAGGAGAAGAAATAGTAAAAGCCTTTGGGAGATTTTTACTGAGTTGAAAGAGTTTCTTTTAATTGAATAGGTGTTTTACTTGAATAATAATTCAATGTATAACCTAGAAATTCTTTTAATACAAGACTTTTGTATTTTTTAAAAGGATTGTAGTTTATGTTAGGGTATCTCTAAATTACATTGGATAAACTATTGGGTTCTTATGGATTAACTGAATCAGTTTTAATACATGCTTTATTCACCAAGACTGATGGCATTGTTTTACTCAGGGATAAGAGAATACAAAGTTATTTGCTTATCAAAACACTTCAATACAAAAATAGCAAACATATCTCAGAATAAATACAACCTAAACTGAAAAGTGGCCTTTATAATTGAAAATGAGAAGTAACTAATCACTTCTTTTGAAATAATGTGAGGGACTAGCAGGAGTGAATGCTATCCATAAGGATTTGAGGCTGGAGAAGTGGAGAGAGAATACACGCAGGTAGCTTCTCATGTCTTTGAAAATTGTTCTCAGTGGTAGCTTCAAGAAGGGAAGACATGGAGAAGAAAGGTTGTAGTAGAATGTGTTTGAGTATGCTTGTAAGCTAATTGGAAGAAAGAAAAATTAATATTGACTCATCCATATAGGTTAAACACTCAACTGATGTTTGACATTTACCTTAGGCAAATCAAGGACCTATTGACCTATGATGACGAGGTCTATGTGGTCATCCAGCCTTCCACAAACCCCTGTCCTGCCCACAGGTGAAAGAGTAAGGAGAGAGAAAAAAAGGAAACTAGAGACAAGGCTGGTGATTGGATAAGGTGCCACTGTTAGTCCTAAAGTGATATACTTTCCTTAGTGACAGGGAAAAAAAAGAGAAGCATGGATAAAGTTATAAATGAGATTAAAGAGGACAATTTTTTGCCAGGTGCTAACAGAAGAACAATAATTATAAACCCTTATCACTCTTTATTTTATATATTATTTATTCATTGTTTGCTATTCTCATTTTCCTACTTCAAAAATGGATTTTGGCCAACTTACAATGGAAGGCACAGTCAGAAAGCACGCCCTTTTATTCGACTGCTTCAGACTCCTGAAATCACCTCAACTAAGTCATGTCTTTCCTTACCTGGAAAGTCATGACTTATGTAAGTCAAGACTTTTATGTAAGTCACCCAGGAGTTCGTTTTTGGAAAATTGTCTGCTATATAATGTTTATATAGTAGTCCTGGATAAAACTGTGATTTTTAAGCAAATGTTTTCCTTTTTTTTAAAGTGGTCTTTTTTATTTATTATAAATTCAGTATAATCTCTATATTATATTTTTAACATTTACATGTCCTATTTGATTACTAACAACGTTATATTTTTATATAAATTAGTGAATTCTACTTCTAGCCATGATGGAAATCAGATTTGTTACCTCCGTCTGAAACAACTAAAAAACTGGACAAACGTTTGAAAACAAAACAAAACAAATCAAAAACCTTTTCAGAAATGTTAAAACAAGCAGCACAGACTCTAAGCTCTATGAAAAGGAGAGTAAACAGGGTGATCCCTGAAGGCACATTCTGGACCATGGAGTAGAGAAGAGTATATTAAGAAGAGCTAAAGATATTTCTCAGTTCAAGAAACAGAAATAAAACCTTTGTTCTTTTCCCAGAAAATCTGAAGCAGAAGTAATTCATTGCCAGGAAATTTCATGGGGGGAGTTGTTAAAGGAAGTTTTTTAAGATGAAAAATGGTAACGAACAGAAATTAGGTCTACATAAATGAGAACAAGAAAAGTTAAAAATATGTGTAAATACAAACTATTTTTCTCACTTAAAATACTCCTTTATAGGATCATTGATTGTCTAACAGAAAATGAATAATGCATTGTGGAGGCTGTAACACAAATAGAAGTAAAATCTATGATAATAGCACAAAGGACATGATGAGGAAAATGGAAGCAAATTATTGTACTGTTCTTATTGTATGTGAAGAGGTATAATATCATTTGAAGGTGGGCTGATAAGTTAAAGATGCATATTTTAAATGCTCAAAAAATGCCTTAAAGAAAACAGGGGTACAGCTAATGCACCAAGAGTGGAGATTAAATTTAATTATAAAATCCACAAAGAGAATGAAAAAAAACAGGACAGAAAACTTAAAGAGAAAATAATTAGTAAGATGGCAGGAAGAAAACCAATTATATCATTAATTATATTAAATGTACAGTAAATGTACTAAATGCTCCAAATAAAACACAGAATTTGTCAGACTGGGGAAAAAAAGGGCAAGGCCTCACTACATATTAGGTACAAGAAACCCATTGTAAATGTATAGTAAGGCCTCATTTATTACTTATATTTTTATATAAATTAGTGAATTCTACTTCCAGCCATGATGGAAATCAGATTTGCTACCTCCATCTGAAACAACTAAAAACTGGACAAACATTTGAAAACAAAACAGAACAAAACAAAAACCTTTTCAGAAATGTTACAACAAGCAGCACAGACTCTAAGCGCTATGAAAAGGAGAGTGGATATGTTCTTGCAAACTACAACTTTAAGTGAAATGATAAAAAACAGATCCTCATAATGATGTTTTCATTCAACATTGTTTCATTATACCATTGATAAGAAAAAATATTAGTCTCATATGTCTCATTCCTTAAAGTTACAGTTTCCAAGAACCTATATATGACATTAAGTGAGGACTTACCGTATAAGGAAAAAGATAGTTTAAAAGTTGAAGGATGAAAAAATATGTACCATATAAACTCTAAACATAAGAAAACTAGGGTGGTTGTATTAATATCAGACAAAATAGAATTCAGAATAAAGAGAATTACCATAGATAAAGATGAAAACATTTCAGGCTGGGTGTGGTGGCTCACGCCTGTAATCTCAACACTTTGGAGGCGAAGGCTGGTGGATCAGTTGAGCCCACAAGGCTGGTGGATCACTTGAGCCCATGAGTTTGAGATCAGCCTGGGCAACATGGTACAGCTCTATCTCTAAAAACAAAACAAAACAAAGAAACATAGCCGTGCATGGTGGCACATGCCTGTAGTCCCAGGTACTCGGGAGGCTGAGGTAGGAGAATCAGTTGAGCCCCAGAGGTGGAGGTTGCAGTGAGCTGAGTTCCTGGCAAACTGCACTCCAGGCTGGTTGACAGAGTGAGACCCTGTCTCTGAAAACAAATAAGCAAATAATAACAAGAAAATCTTTGAAAGTATTGATATAATATGGAGTATGTTCTCTGATTATAACAGAAGCAAATTAGACACGAATAACAGAAATATATAGAGAAATGATCCAAATAATAGTTAATTCATTTACTTCTTAATAACCGATGGGTCAAAAAGGAAATCACAAAGGAAATTAGAAAACATTTAGAAATGAAAGGAAAATAAAAACAAATCATATTAAAATTTTTGAGTTGCAATTCAAGAAGTGTTTAGAGGGATAGCCATAACTTTAAATATTGGTATTAGAAAAGAATAAATATCTCAAACCAATGATATGAGGCTGCACCTGAAGAAATGAGTAGAGAAAACAAATTAAATTCAAAATAATTAGAAGGGAAAATCTTATACGATAAATGTGGAAACCAATGAAGATGAGTACAGATGGATAAGAGAGATAATGAAACCAAAATTTGTTCCTGTCTTTGAAATCTTGGGAAAAATATCTAGCCAGATTAATCAAGATAAAAGGAAGACACAAATGATTAATATTTAGAATCATAAAGAGGCATCACTATAGTATCTTTAGACGTGTAAAGAAGAGTATATATATTATAATATAAAACATAAGCATAAATATAAATAGAATAAAAAATTAGAATGTTAAGAATTTTCTAGCTAATCCAGAACACTTAGAACACTTTAGCTCCAATTATCCTCCTCAATCCTTTTTCCTTATTATTTATATGCATTTTATTTACACACATATTTTAAACTCAGTGATACATTTTTATAACCTTTGATACAATCTGGTATGTGTGAAGCGTTACTCTTTTCATTTCCTTTATTTTTCCAGCATACTCGTTTTTCCTTGTGGGTTCATTTTCCTTCTGTCTGAAAAATTCCCTTTTGTATTTCTTTCAGTGCTGTTCTATGAGTGATTATCTTAGCTCATGACTAATAGCCTGCATTTATTGGCTGTTCACTCCAAGATCTGTACCACTGATCTGGCATCATGAAGACATCTTGGTTAAAATATACAGCACAAAAATTTTAAACTGAGATGATTCAGTGTGATGCCCCTGCACCAAAAATTTTGATCTGACCCAGTCCAGGAGAAAATAAGATAGGTGATAACCTCTTTCTCCAGAAGTTTGTGCTCAACCTCATTTATCAGTAAATAGTAAAATAATGTATTCAAAATGTCTTTTTTAAAAATTATATTTTAAGTTTTAGGGTACATGTGCACAACGTGCAGGTTTGTTACATATGTATACATGTGCCATGTTGGTGTGCTGCACCCATTAACTCATCATTTAACAATAGGTGTATCTCCTAATGCTATCCCTCCCCCTCCCCCCACCCCACAACAGGCCCCGGTGTGTGATGTTCCCCTTCCTGTGTCCATGTGTTCTCATTGTTCGATTCCCACCTATGAGTGAGAACATGCGGTGTTTGGTTTTTTGTCCTTGTGATAGTTTGCTGAGAATGATGGTTTCCAGCTTCATCCTTGTCCCTACAAAGGACATGAACTCATCATTTTTTATGGCTGCATAGTATTCCATGCTGTATATGTGCCACATTTCCTTGATCCAGTCTATCATTGTTGGCCATTTGGGTTGGTTCCAAGTCTTTGCTATTGTGAATAGAGCTGCAATAAACATACGTGTGCATGTGTCTCTATAGCAGCATGTTTTATAATCCTTTGGGTATATACCCAGTAATGGGATGGCTGGGTCAAATGGTATTTCTAGTTCTAGATCCCTGAGGAATCGCCACACTGACTTCCACAATGGTTGAACTAGTTTACAGTCCCACCAACAGTGTAAAATTGTTCCTATTTCTCCACATCCTCTCCAGCACCTGTTGTTTCCTGACTTTTTAATGATCGCCATTCTAACTGGTGTGAGATGGTATCTCATTGTGGTTTTGATTTGCATTTCTCTGATGTCCAGTGATGATGAGCATTTTTTCATGTGTCTTTTGGCTGCATAAATGTCTTCTTTTGAGAAGTATCTGTTCATATACTTCGCCCACTTTTTGATAGGGTTATTTGTTTTTTTCTTGTAAATTTGTTTGAGTTCATTGTAGATTCTGGATATTAACCTTTTGTCAGGTGAGTAGATTGCAAAAAATTTCTCCCATTCTGTAGGTTGCCTGTTCACTCTGATGATAGTTTCTTTTGCTGTGCAGAAGCTCTTTACTTTAATTAGATCCCATTTGTCAATTTTGGCTTTTGTTGCCATTGCTTTTGGTGTTGTAGACATGAAGTCCTTGCCCATGCCTATGTCCTGAATGGTATTGCCTAGGTTTTCTTCTAGGGTTTTTATGGTTTTAGGTCTAACATTTAAGTCTTTAATCCATCTTGAATTAATTTTTGTATAAGGTGTAAGGAAGGGATCCAGTTTCAGATTTCTATATATGGCTAGCCAGTTTTCCCAGCACCATTTATTAAATAGGGAATTGTTTCCCCATTTCTTGTTTTTGTCAGGTTTGTCAAAGATAAGATTGTTGTAGATATGCGGCGTTATTTCTGAGGGCTCTGTTCTGTTTCATTTGTCTATATGTCTGTTTTGGTAGCAGTACCATGCTGTTTTGGTTACTGTAGCCTTATAGTATAGTTTCAAGTCAGGTAGCATGATGCCTCCAGCTTTGTTCTTTTGGCTTAGGATTGACTTGGCAATGCGGGCTCTTTTTTGGTTCCATATGAACTTTAAAGTAGTTTTTTCCAATTCTGTGAAGAAACTCATTGGTAGCTTGATGCGGACTGCATTGAATCTGTAAATTACCTTGGGCAGTATGGCCATTTTTCACCATATTGATTCTTCCTACCCATGAGCATGGAATGTTCTTCCATTTGTTTGTATCCTCTTTTATTTCATTGAGCAGTGGTTTGTAGTTCTCCTTGAAGAGGTCCTTCACGTCCCCTGTAAGTTAGATTCCTAGGTATTTTATTCTCTTTGAAGCAATTGTGAATGGGAGTTCACTCATGATTTGGCTCTCTGTTTGTCCGTTATTGGTGTATAAGAATGCTTGTGATTTTTGCACATTGTTTTTGTATCCTGAGCCTTTGCTGAAGTTGCTTATCAGCTTAAGGAGATTTTGGGCTGAGATGATGGGGTTTTCTAGATATACAATCATGTCATCTGCAAACAGGGACAATTTGTCTGCCTCTTTTCCTAATTGAATACCTTTTATTTCCTTCTCTTGCCTGATTGCCCTGGCCAGAACTTCCAACACTATGTTGAATAGGAGTGGTGAGAGAGGACATCCCTGTCTTGTGCCAGTTTTCAAAGGGAATGCTTCCAGTTTTTGTCCATTCAGTATGATATTGGCTGTGGGTTTGTCATAGATAGCACTTATTATTTTAAGGTGTATCCCATCAATACCTAATTTATTGAGAGTTTTTAGCATGAAGGGTTGTTGAATTTTGTCAAAGGTCTTTTCTGCATCTATTGAGATAATCATGTGGTTTTTGTCTTGGGTTCTGTTTATATGCTGGATTACATTTATTGATTTGTGCATGTTGAACCAGCTTTGCATCCCAGGGATGAAGCCCACTTGATCATGGTGGATAAGCTTTTTGATGTGCTGCTGGATTCGGTTTGCCAGTATTTTACTGAGGAGTTTTGCATCGATGTTCATCAGGGATATTGGTCTAAAATTCTCTTTTTTTGTTGTGTCTCTGCCAGGCTTTGGTATCAGGATGATGCTGGCCTCATAAAATGAGTTAGGGAGGATTCCGTCTTTTTCTATTGATTGGAATAGTTTCAGAAGGAATGGTACCAGCTCCTCCTTGTATCTCTGGTAGAATTCGGCTGTGAATCCATCTGGTCCTGGACTTTTTTTGGTTGGTAAGCTATTAATTATTGCCTCAATTTCAGAGCCTGTTATTGGTCTATTCAGAGATTCAACTTCTTCCTGGTTTAGTCTTGGGAGGGTGTATGTGTTGAGGAATTTATCCATTTCTTCTAGATTTTCTAGTTTATTTGCGTAGAGGTGTTTATAGTATTCTCTGATGGTAGTTTGTATTTCTGTGGGATCATGGGTGGTGATATCCCCTTTATCATATTTTATCACATCTATTTGATTCTTCTCTCTTTTCTTCTTTATTAGTCTTGCTAGCGGTCTATCAATTTACCAGCTCCTGGATTCATTGATTTTTTGAAGGGTTTTTTGTGTCTCTATTTCCTTCAGTTCTGCTCTGATCTTAGTTATTTCTTGCCTTCTGGTAGCTTTTGAATGTGTTTGCTCTTGCTTCTCTAGTTCTTTTAATTGTGATGTTAGGGTGTCAATTTTAGATCTTTCCTGCTTTCTCTTGTGGGCATTTAGTGCTATAAATTTCCCTCTACACACTGCTTTGAATGTGTCCCAGAGATTCTGGTATGTTGTGTCTTTGTTCTCACTGGTTTCAAAGAACATCTTTATTTCTGCCTTCATTTCGTTATGTACCCAGTAGTCATTCAGGAGCAGGTTTTTCAGTTTCCATGTAGTTGAGCAGTTTTGAGTGAGTTTCTTAATCCTGAGTTCTAGTTTGATTGCACTGTGGTCTGAGAGATAGTTTGTCATAATTTCTGTTCTTTTACATTTGCTGAGGAGTGCTGTACTTCCAACAGTGTGGTCAATTTTGGAATAGGTGTGGTGTGGTGCTGAAAAGAATGTATATTCTGTTGATTTGGGGTGGAGAGTTCTGTAGATGTCTATTAGGTCCACTTGGTTCAGAGCTGAGTTCAATTCCTGGATATCCTTGCTAACTTTCTGTCTCGATCTGTCTAATATTGACAGTGGGGTGTTAAAGTCTCCCATTATTATTGTGTGGGAGTCTAAGTCTCTTTGTAGGTCTCTAAGGACTTGTTTTATGAATCTGGGTGCTCCTGTATTGGGTGCATATATATTTAGGATAGTTAGCTCTTCTTGTTGAATTGATCCCTTTACCATTATGTAATGGCCTTCTTTGTCTCTTTTGATCTTTGTTGGTTTAAAGTCTGTTTTATCAGAGACTGGGATTGCAACCCCTGCCTTTTTTTGTTTTCCATTTGCTTGGTGGATTTTCCTCCCTCCCTTTATTTTGAACCTACGTGTGTCTCTGCATGTGAGATGGTTTTCCTGAATACAGCACCCTGATGGGTCTTGACTCTTTATCTAATTTGCCAGTCTGTGCCTTTTAATTGGAGCATTTAGCCCATTTACATTTAAGGTTAATATTGTTATGTGTGAATTTGATCCTGTCATTATGATGTTAGCTGGTTATTTTGCTCGTTAGTTGATGCAGTTTCTTCCTAGCCTTGATGGTATTTACAATTTGGCATGTTTTTGCAGTGGCTGGTACCGGTTGTTCCTTTCCATGTTTAGTGCTTCCATCAGGAGCTCTTTTAGGGCAGGCCTGGTGGTGACAAAATCTCTCAGCATTTGCTTGTCTGTAAAGTATTTTATTTCTCTTTCACTTGTGAAGCTTAGTTTGGCTGGATATGAAATTCTGGGTTGAAAATTCTTATTTTAAAACTTTTTGTTTTATGCAATTATCAGAAGTATATTACAGAGTTCCTTTATATGCCAAACTGTTTCCTATATTATTAACATAATAATATGGTAAATTTGTACCACATTACAATGTATCATATAATATGGTACAATTACTTCAACAATATTGACACATTATTATTATTTTTAAAATTCATATTTTATTCATATTTCCTCAGTTTTTTTCTCTAATATCTTTTTCTCTTCTAGGATCCCATACAAAATACTGAACTATAGTTAGTAACCATGTTTTCTAAGCCTTCTCTTAGTTGTGAAAGTTTTCCAAGTTTTCCTTGCTTCTTGGTTTGGTATTTTGTGTAATGCCCCTCAATGGCAATTTATTTAATATTTTTTTTCATCATTAGAGTAGGGTAATGCGTTTCTTGGGAGGAAGACCAAGGAGTAAAGCATTATTCTCAGTACATCATATCAAGGGTGCATGTAATCTCCACAAGTTATAACAATTGATGTTGTCCCTGACGACTTGGTTTAAAGTAGTGTTTATCTGGTGTCTTCACTGTAAAATTAGCTTCATTTTTTCCGCATTTTCATAATATACTCTTTGGAAAAAGTCACCAAACACAGCCCAGATTTAAGGAATGAGGATGTACGCTCCACCTCCTAATGGCGGAGGAACTATATAAATTATTTAGAATTTTCTGCATGGAAGATTTGTGTCTTCTCACAGATTTATTTATTTGATCAGTCACTTATTTATATCAGTATGATATATCAGTATATCAGAATAGACTCATGGATATTTATTTTAAACTTTGGGTTATAATCAATGCTATATTTTGTTGCTCTAATATTTTCAGTGTTGGTTAGCAGTTCTTTCAGTTGACTATTGTGTCTCTTTGACGTAGCCTCATCATTGTGGATTTTTTAGCATCTCCTTACTTTTTGCTGATACAAAGTACTTCAGGATTATCTTCTATATTTCCTTCACAGTTTTAGAATCACTTGCAGAATCACGGCTCCTATTTCTTCAAGGAGTCATAGTTTCTTTTGGGGAGAGTGATATTAGAAACCAAGATCTAGGTGCTAAGTATACTGCTTGTTTCTGGGTTGCCATTCTTTCTAGGTCACTTCAATTGACAGAGCAAGGAGATATATGTATATATTAACATCTAACACATTAACACACAGATCTATTACTATTTCTATATGGAACCATCTATTTCAATTTTAATTTCAATATTAAGGTAAACATGAGCTCATTCTGTGGTATTATAATCGAATCCATTGCTACATGAATCACTTGTACTTCTTTCTCTTGCCTATTTTTAAACTCCCACTCCAAAAATGAGAAATCTGGTTCCCATGGGCTATTATTCTATGTGTCCCTTCTTTCACCAATGACATGCTATCTTGATTACTGTAGCCTGGTGGTAACTATTAAAATTGGGTATTGTGAGTCTTCCAGCTTTGTTCATCTTCCACAGGATTATTTTGGCTATTCTAGGTACTGTACCTTTCTATACAAACTTTAGAAGTCATTTGTCAATATCTATAAAATAGCTTCTTTACACTTTATAATTAAGATTACACTGAATTTATAGATAAATTTCAGAATTGGCATGTCAAAAATATTAAATCTTCAGTCCGTGACCATGGAATACCTCTTCATTTATTTAGATAGGTTTTTTTTGTTAATCAGTGTTTTGAGATTTTCTGTATATAGATCCTGCATTTATTTTGTCAGATTTATACCAAAAAAATCATTTTTAATTTGCTATTAAAATGGTATTTTTTTAAATTTCAAATTCCAATTGTTCACGGTTGGTACATAAGAAAACAATAGACTTTTATGTATTATCTCTGTATCCTTCAGTCTTGATATATTGATTTTTAACTCTTAGGGGTTTTTTTTTTGTCGATTCTGTGCAGTTCTGTATATAAACAATCATATTATCTGTAAATACAGACAGTTTTACTTCTTTCTTTCCAATCCATAGATCTCTTCTTTCCTTTTCTTGTTGTCTTATTTATTTTTTAATCTTATTGTTTTATTGACTTTACATTTAATAGGAGTGGAGAGAGAGGGCATCATTTTCTTATTCCGGATCTTAGAGAAAAACTATCCAGTTTCTCATGATTTGGTATGATATTAGCTTTAGGTTTTACATAGATTTTTTAAAAATAAAATTGGAAAAGTCACCTTGATTCCTAGTTTGACAAACTCGTATGATAAGTTTTTTTTTTTATCATGAATAGATGTTGGATTTTGTTAAGTGCTTTCCTGAATGAATTAATATGATCATATGATTTTTCTGTTTGACTATATTGATTGATTCCCAAATGTTGGACGAGGCTTGTATACCTGAAGTGGATCTTACTTGTTTATGGTGTATTCTTTGTTATACATTGTTGAATTTAATTTGATGAGTTTTTAAAATGATTTTTTTACTAGGTTTATGGAAGACATTGATTTGTAGTTTTCCTTTCTTGTAATGTATTTATCTGGTTGGATGTTGGTGTAATGCTGTGTAATGAGAATGAGTTAGAAATTATTCCCTCTGCATCTTTTTCTGGAAGAGATTTTAGAGGATTGTTATCTTTGTTTCCCAGTAATTGCTTGCCAGAATTCACCAGTGAAATCATCTGTGTCTGGTGATTTATTGTTTTTTTCAAAGACTACTTATTAGTATTCATGTTTTAAAATAAATAGAATGTTATTTGGATAATTTATTTCATCTGTGTGATTTGGTAGTCTGTGTTCTTCAGGGAATTAGTCCATTTTATCTAAGTCATCAAATTTGTTGACACAGATTATTCATATTATTTTTATTAACATTTTAATATCAATGGAATCAGTTGTAATGATTCCTCCTTCATTTCTGATATTAATAATTTGTACCTTCTTCGCTTTAAAAAATTAGTTAGCCTAACTATAAATTTAATAGTTCTTTTCAAAGATGGAATTATCTTTGTTTTTGTTGATTTTTCTGTTGTTTTCTTGCTTTCAGTTTCATTGATTAGTGCCCTAATTTTAATTATTTATTTTTCTCTGTTTATGTTAAACTGATCATTATTGATTATTACTTTCTGCTTTTTTTAACATAGAAACTTAGGTTATTGATTTTAGATCTTTTTTTCTATTATATGCACTAAATGTTATACATTTTCCTCTAGGCATTACACTGTTTTTAGAGCATGATAATAAATTTTATAAGTTGTATTTTAATTTTAATTTAGTTCAAAATATGTTTTGTTTCCTCTTGAGACATCTAATTGAACCCATGCTTTATTTAGAAGTATGTTATTTAATTCCAAATATTTGGTGATTTCCCATCTTAGTTTCTGTTACTGGTTTGTAGTTTAATTTCATTGCTGCCTGAGAACATACTTTGTATAATTCATTTTTTTTTATATTTGTTGTATGTTTTATGGCCTAGTTAGTGGTTTGTCTTGGTGACTGTTTCATGTGAACTTGAGAAGAATGAGTACTAATCTGTTATTGAGGAGAGTATTCTATAATTGTCAATTAGACCAAGATGACTGATAGTGCTGTTCAGGCTCAGTCTTATTATTACTGATTTTCTGCCTACTTGATCCATCAATTACTAATAGGGAAGGTATTTTAATCTGTGACTATAATAGTGAATTTGTCAAATTCTCCTTTCGGTTCTATGTGTTTTTGCATCACATAATTTGTTGCTCTGTTTTTAGGATTGTAACCCCTTTAGGATTATTATGATATCTTTGAGATTTGTCCCCTTTATCATTATGCGTGCTTTCTTCATTGCTATTTTTTTTATTCAGAAGTCTGTTTTGTCTGAAATTCATGTTGCTCTTACAGCTTTCTTTTGATTAGTATTAGGTCTGTATATCCTTCTCTCTTCCTTTACATTTATCCTATCAGAATCTTTGTATTTAAAATTAGTTTATTTTAAAAGGTGAATAGTGGAGTCTTGTTTTATTATTCATTCTAAAATCCCTATCTCTTAATTGGGTATATTTAGAACATGTCCATTTAAGGTGATCATTGATATTTTTGGATTCTTATAAATCATGTTTGTAATTGTTTTTATTTTGTCTTGTCAGAGGCTCCTTTTTCTAGCTTCTCTCATTTTAATTGAGCATTTTCTATATTTCCATTTTATTTGTGTAGCATGCCAAATATACATCTTTTACAAATATTTTATTGTTGCCCTAGAGTTTACAATATACATTTTTTAGAAAAATAAGTCTACCTTCAAATAACGGTATTTAATTCCCTAATTCCTTGCTGTTGATCCTATGACATTGCTGTCACTCACTTTGCCTATCTGTATGCTACCATTACCCAATGCTTTGTTACTGTTATCACTAAAGAAAGTTAACTTTTGGATAAATTAAGAATAAGAAAAGTAAAATATTTTCCTTTGCTTTCATTTATTCCTTCCTTAATGTTCTTCCTTTCTTTATCTAGAGCCAAGTTTCTAACGTATACTTTCCTTATTCCTGAAAAAATTATTTGAACGTTTTATATAAGGTAGGTCTGGCTGGTAATAATTTGTCTTTTTTTTTTTGTTTCTCGGAGACAGTATTTCTCCTTTATCTTTTTATGATAACTTTGTTGGTGTAGAACTGTAGGATTTTTTTTTCTTTTAACAGTTTAAATTACTCCACTCTCTTCAACCTTGTATGTTTTCAGAGGAGTTTTTACACTTTTTAAGCTTTTTTCCTCCATAGATAATGCTCCCCAACATCCCCATTGTCTTCTTCCAAGATGATTTCTTGGTATTTGGTGTTCTGCCGTTTGAATATAATATGTCTACATGTAGTTTTAATTATTTACCTTCTTAGTCTCCTCTGAGCTTCCTGTATTTGTGGTGAGATGTTCATTAATTTTGTGGTTATTTCAAATATATATATATATATAATTCTGCTTGTTCTTTTTCTTCCTTCTGGTTTTTCAAATACTTACATATTGCGTCTTTTGAAATTTCACCCAAAATTCTTAGGTGTCGTTTTCTTTATTCCATTTTGTTTTTCTGTTTCAGTTTTGGAAATTTCTAATGCTATATCTTCAAGCTCACTGATTCTTTCCTCAGCCATTTCAAGTCTACTGTTGAACCCATCAAAGACATCCTTTATTTCTGTATCAGGGTTTTGATTTTGTTTTGTGTGCAGTATTTCTTTTTGATTCTAACTCCACATTTCCAAACCCCTGCTGATATTATTTATCTGTTCTTGCATATTATTTTCTTTTTTTTCCAGTAGTAACCATGACATACTTTTACCTTTATTTTATATTCCCTGCAGGATAATTTCAACATTTGCGTTATGTCTGATCCTCATTCCAATACTCAATTTGTTCCTAAAGCCTACACATTTTTATTGCTTTTTGGTGGGTCTTGTAATTTTTTGTTGAATGATGGACATATTGTTTTTGGTAACAGGAATAGAGGTAAATAGGTCTCTGGTATGAGAATTTATGTTAATCTGGTTAGGAATTTAATGTATCCTGTTTGTGTAAGCTCATATCTGGCTTTGAGCCACTGTTGTCTATGAGAAAAAGAACTGCTTTTCTGACTCTGTAGCAGAGAGAGAGAGAGAGAGAGAGAGAGAGAGAGAGAGTAAAGCCATGTCTCAACTGCCTACAATCCCTGGAGTGTTCTTTCAGCTACCTGCCACCCATCCACCAGCTCCCCTCGGACCCCCAGCTTGGCTGGAACCTGACGATATTACACAAGGAAATAAATGCTAATAATAAGTAGCACTTACATAACTCTTACTATGTGTCAGGCACTGATCTTGTTACAGTAGGTAGTCAGACATGAGCAGGGCAGGAGAGGCTTCCCCCAATCAGCCAGGAACATTAGGCAACATCAGGTGATGATCAGGTGATTGTTAGATTGTCTCTCTAAAATAATAATCGATTGCAGTCAGCACCATGGAAAGACAGTCTCCCAATAGATAGAAAACACTTGAAACTGATGATCAGCAGCTTCCTAATAAGATGTCAGGAACTGGGCAAGTGGTCTTAAGCATGCACGAGTAGAGGCAAAATTGCTGAGTTTAACTGGTATATGACCTTTCTCTAGGAACATTCAACCAGTAAGTGGAAAATGCCCCAAGTAAGCATGTGTACTATTTAGGAAACACACTGAGCATGTAGCCCCTACCAAGTGCTGGCAGCCCATTGCACATGCAGACAGCCCACCCAAAGGGAAGAATTAGGGGAGAAAGGATACAACATCCCAGAAACATGCCAATGTATAAAACCCCAAGTGAAAAGTCAAACCTTGCGCATGAATTTCTCAAGTTGCCCACTTGTTCCTCTTCAAAATGTACTTTACTTTCTTTCATTCCTGCTCTAAAATGTTTTAATAAACTTTCACTCCAGCTCTAAAAGTTGCCTTGATCTTTATCTCTGCCTTATGACCTTCGGTTGAATTCTTTCTTCTGAGGAGGCAAGAACTGAGGTTGCTGCAGAATCCTGTGGATTTGCTGGCTATCTCTTAGTACTATACATTTATATATGCACATATCTTTGTAAATACATAAGTATTTACAAGAGTAAATATACACATGTATTTACAAAAGTAGAGATACATATTTACAAAGATGTATATATAAAAATATATGCTATATAAAATATATAAATATATGATGTATATATAAAAATATGTTATATAAATATATATACATAAATACATATATTTATATACCTTATGGACCTTTATATGTATACACATATATATTTTAATATATCTTATATTTATATATAAGGTATATATAATGTATGTAATATATAAACATATATAAATATATATACACAAAGGTGTATATATAAAATATATGGTATATAAATATGTAGTATATAAATATATAAGTATACATATTTATATACTTTATGTACCTTTATATATGTGTACACATATATATATCTTCTATTTATATAGGTATGTACAATTATATGGTATATAAATATATATTTTATATATACAAAGGTGTATATATAAAATATATGGTATATAAATATATATGCTTATATATACAAACATACAAACATATATATATTTATACCTTATATACCTTAAATATTTATATACCTTATATAACTTTATATAGGTATAAACACATATATACCTTATATATGCAAATATTTACATATAATTATATACATCTATTTATGTACTTCATATGATATATAAATATATAAGCATATATATCTTATATTTATATGTATATAAATATATAAGGTGTGTGTATATTTACACCATATATATATATGCACACACCTTATATACATTTTTTACCATATATATCTTACATGTATATAAGATACACATATCTTATATAACGGGTATTAAATATAAGGTATATATTTATATGCATATAGTTTGTAAATACATGTATGTATATTTACCCTTACAAATACATGTATATATATTAACACTTGTAAATATATATATATTTACCTTTGTAAACATGTATATATTTAGCTTTGTAAACATGTATATATATTTATCTTAGTAAACATATGTGTGTGTATGTGTGCATATATATATATATATATATATATAACCTTTGTAAACATGCATATATGTATTTACCTTTGTAAATATATATATGTTTGGGTGTGTGTGAGTGTGTGTGTGTGTGTATACATATTTGTGTGTGGAGATAGAATGCAAATCAGCCAGAGGTTACCAGAGGCTAGGGCTGGAGGAAGAGGTTGATTTAAAAGGGTCATGAGGAAATGATTGAACTGCTCTACACTTTGATTATGGAATTTGTTTACACTGAAAAGAGTGAATTTTGGAGTCTCTAAATTATACCTTTTAAAAAAAGTGCTAAAAAAAGGAAAAAGGAAAAAAAACACTTTGACCTCATATAGTTAATATGTAAGTAATGATGTGGTATTTGCAAAGCATGTAACATAATAGTATTCAGAATATATAAATAACTACAAATCAATAAGAATAACAGGAAAGAACCATCCAGTTAGAAATTTTGTGAATAATGTCAGTAAAAAATTAACAAAAATGAGAACTTTAATGGCCAAGAAATGAAAATATGCTCAACTTCATTTCTGAGTATTACAAAATACAGAAATAATAGACTTATTTTCCTAGAATGGCAAAAAATTAAAGAAGTATAATCATACATGTTAGAATCTGGAGGAAAAGATACTAGAGGAAAATACGCTTACACAGTGGAGCATTTCAAAATTGATACAGTCCTTTTGGGCAGATATCTATCAGTGTCCTGTAAAGCAGAAAATAAGCACACCCAATTACTCAGAAATTCTACTAAGTATTTATTCTAGATATATTTTTGCACTTGTATAAAAGGATATGTGTATACAAAATATTCATCAAAGAATTACTTATAACAAAGAAATAGAAGCTGTATCAGGAAAAATTAGAAGCATCAAATGTGGCACTATTAAAAATATGGCTGATTCTGGTAACCTTAGCATTGAGTGAGTTTCTTATCTGTAATAAGAGAATTGTACTTTGTCTATCTCATGGTGTTATCTGGAATAAAATATTTAATCAGTACCTGGTATAATATAGGATTATTGATTACAATCATTGACACTTATCTTTATAAGCCAGATAAAATAGGAATTATTTTACATGACCAAGAGTGAGAATAACTCTTATTTTCTCATTTGACTTTATGGGACTATTTTTGTCACCTCCCTTAAAACGTTTATTGGTGTCTTTCATAGAGTAGCTGGCCTTTTTCTTCCTCTCCCAACTATGGCTTCCTTATAGTGGGTGTCAGTAGGGAACATCTCTGCTTTGATCCCCACCACTAGCTTGCTAATGGAACCTCAGTACTTGTTTTGAACTGAATTTAAACATTTTACAATTTAATTGTTATTTTAAAAGTGTAAAGTGACAGAATTTTATTTATTTCTAACTTATATTTTGAATTACTACTATATAATTCTTCTTGTTATATGTTGTCATCTGGGAGAAGATTGATCACTGTAATATGCCATATAATTTTTCTCACATACTGTAATTGTTATTTACTTTTCTGTCAGTTTGATTTTATCTGGAGTGTAAAAATCAGATTTTGTCTATACTCACCAATATAATCTTCAAATTTCAAATAACCTTAGTGCTCTAGAGCTCATGGTTGACAATTAGATCGAAGTCATTATGTGACTCATGAAGAGGTTAATAGAATGATTGAAATGTCAACCCTTTATTTACATGTTAACATAGAGTAATTCTCACTTCTCATGCAAACAGCACTCTTTGTAACATGCTACTCATCTTACCAGATATTAGAGTATGTAATCTATCTTCTATAAAAAATATTTACTCTTCCCTGTATCTTTTTAGTGTATATGTTTTCTAATGACTATATATAATTTAGGAGATACAGAAAAAATAAAAATCAATTTCTACAACACTTAAACCTCAATGAAAATATCTTCCTCAGATTTTCAGATTATTAGAACAAGAGAATATATTTTCATACCTATTCAAATAAATATTCCAATTTTCACTTCATTTTGTGTATATTTATCTTTTCTTTTTTTAAATTTCTAGAGGCAGTTTCTTACTCTTTCATCCAGGCTAGAGTGCAGTGATGCAATCACAGCTCACTGCAGCTTTGACCTCTTGGGTTTAAGTTATCCTCCCACCCAGCCTCCTGAGAAGCTGAGACCACAGGCATGCATCACCAAGCCTGGTCAATTTTGTTTTTGTTTTTGTTTGTTTGTTTTTGATTTTTTGTAGAGACAAAATCTTGCCAAGTTTCTCAGGCTGGTCTCAAACTCCTTGACTCAGCTATCTTCCCACCTCAGCCTCCCAAATGTGTATACTCATCTTGAGAATTTTAAACTTTTCCATATACCTTTTAGATTGAATTTGACCAATTTTACTCCTTCCTAGTTATTTTCAACTTTCACATTATTATAAAAGATATAAGAAAGTATAGAAAGAAAAAAATTAATGAGTAAACTGGAGAGTATAGCTATAAACACACTGAATATATAAATTACTGTCAAAGCAGATATATTTTTTGAAAATGAAGAGTGCTGCTTACCAGGCCAGGAACAAGGACAACTGATGTAAAAACCTGGGAAAACTGAGATAAGTTTCATACAAATGATAAATAATTACTGTAACCACACACAGATCCAGTAAATGCATTGCAACATACACTAGCTAAAATGTCCCTCATTGTAATGTATTTATTTTTACTTTTTCTTTAAAGCATTTTTCCATTCTTTCATTGTTACATCTACTAAGTGTCAGGACAGGATCTAGGTGCTCTAACGCACCACTAAAGGAAATAGATGACATGTTCATTCTTGGGATATCTAGTCTCAAGTTTTCCTATTTTATAAAGGTGTCAACACTTTTCAGTATTTTAAATGATTTACCATGAATCATGCATAACCCATAACTAAGTCATCCTATTTAGGTAGAAATGTGAAGTGAAACCAGTAAGAGAAGAACATTATTTAAAGGAAAATCTATGCTCCCAAATTCCTGATGATTTCCAAACTAATTCCTTTTAGCTATCATCTTCAGGGAAGAAGTAGTGAAGTGTAGGAAAATCTCTATCCATCCATCATATATCTATCTATCTATCTATCTATCTATCTATCTATCTATCTATCTGTCTATCTATCTATCTATGAATAAAGTTGTCACTCTGTGGGAATATCTTTCAAAGGCAAATCATTTATCATAACAAGTAATTGGAGTAAAGAAAAAAATATATCCAAATAGTGATAGGAACTTAAGGGACAGAAAATAAAAAGCAAAAACAATAACATTTTAAGGTTCCTCAAAGTCAGTTTTAAATGATTTTTAGACTACCTCCTTTTCCTCTCCAAAATAACTTTTTATGATACGCTACATAGCTTCTGATATTCTAAGTCACCAGGAATAATAGTTTTCCAGATTTATGTTGACCAGTGGTAATAAGTACATCATTTTAAATAGTCCTTCCATATTTTATAGGAAATATTGGTGTCCCCTCAATAATAAAAGTTTAAAATTTCTTTTTTATTTCAATAGCTTTAGGGGTACAAATGGTATTTGTTTACATGGATGAATTGTATAGTGATGAAGTCTGGGATTTTAGTGCACTCATCACCTGAGTAGCGTACATTGTGCCCGTAGGTAGTTTTTCATCCCTCACCTTCCTCCCACCTTCCTCACTTCCGAGTCTCCAATGTTCATTTCTACTCTGTGTATGCCTTTGCATGTCATAGTTTAGTTCCCACTTTAAGTGAGAACATACAGTATTTGCTTTTCCATTTCTGAGTTACTTCACTTAGAATAATGTCCTCCAGGCCAGGCGTGGTGGCTGACGCCTGTAATCCCAGCACTTTGGGAGGCAAAGGTGGGTGGCTCACGAGGTCAGGAGATCGAGACCATCCTGGCTAACATGGTGAAAACCCATCTCTACTAAAAATACAAGAAATTAGCCGGGTGTGGTGGCGGGCGCCTGTAGTCGCAGCTACTTGGGAGGCTGAGGCAGGAGAACGGTGTCAACCCAGGAGGCCGAGCTTGCAGTGAGTCAAGATCGCAGCACTGCACTCCAGCCTGGGCAACAGAGTGAGACTCCGTCTCAAAAAAACAACAACAAAAAAGGAATAATGTCCTCCAGTTCCATTCAAGTTGTGGCAAGACATTATTTCGTTATTTTTTATGGCTGAGTAGTACTCCTGTGTGTGTGTGTGTGTGTGTGTGTGTGTGTGTATACCACATTTTTCTTTATCCACTTACGGGTTGATGGGCACTTAGGTTGATTCCATATATTTGCTATTGTAAATTATGCCACAATAAACATACATGTGCCAGTGTCTTTTTAATATATTGACTTCTTTTTCTTAGGGTAGATACCCAGTAGGAGGATTACTGGACTGAATGATAGATCTACTTTAGGTTGTTTGTGAAATCTCCATACTGTGTCCCATAGAGGTTGTACTAACATTCCATATCCACACCAACATCTATGTTTTTTTTTTCTTTTTTTTAATGGTCATCTGGCTGGTGTAAGGTGTTATGGTGATATCTTATTGTGGTTTTATTTGCATTTCCCTGATAATTAGTGATATTAAACATTTTTCTAATGTTTCTTGGCCACTTGTATATCTTTTTTGAGAGATGTCTATTCATGTCATTTGCCCACTTTTTAATAGGATTATTTGATGATTTTCTTGCTAATTTGAGTTCCTGGTAGATTATGAATATTAGCCCTTTGTTGCATGAATAATTTGCAAATATTTTCTCTCATTCTGTAGGTTGTCTATTCTGATAATCATTTATTTTGCTGTGTAGAAACTTTTTAGTTTTATTAGGTCCTATTTATTTAGTTTTGTTTTTGTTCCATTTGGTTTTAGGGCCTTGGTCATAAATTGTTTGCCTAGACCAATGTCCAGAAGAGTTTTTCTTCAGTTTTCTTCTAGAATTTTTATGGTTTCAGATTTTAAATTCTTTAATTCAGCTTGAGTTAATTTTTGTATATTGTGAGAGATAAGGATCTAGTTTCATTCATCTACATGTGGCGATTCAATTTCCTCAGCACCATTTATTGAATAAAGTGTCCTTTCTCCAATTTATGTTTTTGTATGTTTTGTCAAAGATCAGTTGGTTTTAAGTATTTGGCTTTATTTCTTGGTTCTGTATTCTATTCCACTGGCCTATGTATCTACCTTTATACCAATACCATGTCGTTTTGCTTACTATAGCCTTGTGGTATAGTTTGAAGTTAGATAATGTGATGCTCTAGATTTGTTTCTTTTTGTTTAGGATTGTTTTGGTTATTTGGGCTCTTTTTTGGTTCCATATGAATTTTAGGATTTTTTTTCTAATTCTATGAAAGATCTTGGTGTTTTGATAGGAATTGTATTAAATCAGTAGATTGCTTGAAGGAGACATAGAGTCATTCTCAGACAAGCAAATGATGGGGGAATTTGACACTACTAGACTAGCCCTACAAGACATGCTAAAAGGAATTCTAAACCTTGAAACAATAGATCTATACATATCAGAATAGAAACTCCTGAAAGCATAAAATTTACTGGGCTTATGAAACAATAACATAAGGAAGGAAACAAAACCACTAGGAAACAATAAACACTATGACAGAAACAGTACCTCACATCTCAGTATTAACATTGAATATAAATAGTCTCAGTGCTCCACTTAAGAAATATACAATGGCAAAATTGATAAAAAATAAAAAACAAAATATCTACTTTCTTCAATAATAGAAGTTTCTTGGCAAAGAAACTTTGCCAAGTGTGCACCTAAGCAGAAAAGAAATAACATTTTTAAAATTTTTTTTATCTTTTTATTTATTTAAACTTTTATTTTATGTTCAGGGGTACATGTGCTGGTTTATTCTATAGGTAAACTTCTGTCATGGGGGTTCGTTGTACAGATTATTTTGTCACCCAGGTATTAAGCCTAGTACATGTGAGTTATTTTTCCTGATCCTCTTCCTCCTCCCAAGCTTCTCCCTCAAGTAGGCCCAAGTGTCTGTTGTTCTCCTGTATGTGTCCATGTGTTCTAATCATTTATCTTCCACTTATAAGGAGAACATGTGGTATTTGGTTTTCTGTTCCTGCATTAGTTTGTGAAGGATAATGACTTCTAGCTCCATCCATGTTCCTGCAAAGAATATGATCTCATTCTTTTTGATGGCTGCGTAGCATTCCATGGGTATATGCACCACATTTTCTTTATCCAGCCTAGCATTGATGGGCATTTAGGTTGATTCCATGTCTTTGCTATTGTGCATAGTGCTGCATTGAACACACATGTGCACATGTCCTTGTAAGAGAATTATTTCTATTCTTTTGGTATATACCCAGTAATGGGATTGCTGCATCAAGTAGTTCTTCTTTTATCACTTTGAGAATTTACCACACTGCTTTCTGCATTGGATGAACTAGTTTACACTCCCATCAACAGTATATAAGGATTCATTTTTCTCCACAATCTTGCCAACACCTGTCATTTTTTGACTTTTTAATAATACTCATTCTGACTGGTATGAGATGGTATTTCATTGTTGGTTTGATTTGCATTTCTCTAATGATCAGTGATGTTGAGCTTTTTTTCACATGCTTGTCGGCAGCATGTATGTCTTTTGAAAAGTGTCCATTTTTGTCCTTTGCCCACTTTTTAATGGGGTTGTTTTTTTCTTATAAATTTGTTTAAGTTTCTTATTGATACTGGATATTAGACCTTTGTCAGATATATAGTTTGCAAAATTTTTCTCCTATTCTGTCAGTTGTCTGTTTACTCTGTTTATAGTTTCCTTTGTTGTGCATAAGCTATTTAGTTTAATTAGACCCCATTTGTCAATTTTTGCTTCTGTTGCAATTGCTTTTGGAGCCTTCATTGTGAAATCTTTGTCTGTGCCTATGTCCTGAGTGGTATTACCTAGGTTGTCTTCCAGGGATTTTTATAGTTTTGGGTTTTATGTTTAAGTCTTTAATCCATCTTGAGTTGATTTTTAATATGCTGTAAGTAAGGGGTCCAGTTTCAATCTTCTGCATATGGCTAGCTAGTTATCAAAGCATCATTTATTGATTAAGGAGTCCTTTCCCCATTGCTTGCTTTTGTCAGCTTTGTCAAAGATTGGATAGTTTAGGTGTGTGGCCTTATTTCTGGGCCCTCTATTCTGTTCCATTTGTCTGGTGCCTGTTTTTGTACCACTACCATGCTGTTTTGGTAACTGCAGCCCTGCAGTATAGCTTGAAGTCTGGTAGTGTGATGCCTTAAGCTTTGCAGAAAAGGGTTTCAATAAAATTCAACATCCCTTCACATTAACAACTCTCAATAAATTAGGTATTAAAGGAACATACCTCAAAATAAGGATAGTCATCTGTGACAAAACCATAGACAGCATCATACTCAATGGACAAAAGCTGGAAGCATTCCCCTTGCAAACTAACACATGAAAAGGTTGTCCTCTCTCAGCACTCCTATTCAACATACTATTGGAAATCCTGGACAGGGCAATTGTGCAAGAAAAAGAAATGAAATGTATCCAAATAGGAAAAGAGGAATTCAAACTATCCCTATTTGAAGACAACATGATCTAGAAAAACCCATAGTCTCAGCCTGAGAGCTCTTTCAGCTGATACCCAACTTTAGCAAAGTCTCAGAATATAAACTCAATGTACAAAAATCACTAGCATTCCTATACACTAACGACAGTGAAACAGACAGCCACACCAGGAACTCAATTCCATTCACAATTGCCACAAAAAGAATAACATTCCTAGGAATACAGCTAGTCAGGGAGATGAAAGATCTCTACAAGGAGAACTACAAACCACTGCTCAAAGAAATTAGAGATGACACAAACAAATGAAAAAACAGTCCATGCTCATGGATAGGAAGAATCAATACCATTAAATGACCTTACTACCCAAAGCAATGTATAGATTCAACGTTATTTCTTTCCAAATAGCAATGAAGTTCCTAACAATTAGAAAAAACTTAAAAGTCATATGGAACTGAAATAAAGGAGCCCAAATAGCCAAGGCAATCCTAAGCGTATTTTTTTGTTATTTTTTATTTTTAATTGTTGCAGGTTTTGTTTTGAGGACATCTGTTCTGGTCCTGAATTGGTCAGTAATTGACAGTTATTATATATCTAAATACATTTGTCTCTTTAGACTTTAATTATGTGAGCGAACAGGTTGGAGTGAGCCTTTAACATTTCTTCTAATTCAAATATTTGGTTAATATTTTATTTTAATAATAGAACCTCCCATATTCTCTCCCTTTTATGATTTTCATCTCTTAAATATTTCCCCTATGTAGTTTTCTAATTTTCTCCTTCTTTTTCTTCATGGAGAAACTTCTGAAAGAATAAATTTTATGTGTTTTTCTACATCTAAAACTCCTATTCACTGACACCTCAACTCTCTAATATGGCTTCTTCTCTTGTTCCTTAGCTGAAATTACTACTTTTTCGTTCACCAAGGACCTTTGTATTACTAAACCAAGATAAACTTATGAGTTCTTATCTCACTTAAACCCATTGCAGGACATGACCTTGTGGAACACTTTCTCTTTTATTATGTTCTCTCTATCATAGTCTTCCAGGACAGTACCGTCTTCTTTTTATTTTTTCCTACTTCTTTAGGTACTCCAGCTTTTTTCTTTCTCTACCCTTTTCTTTGGTACTGGTATTCTCCAGTTTCATCTTCAACTCTTACTTCACTCAATCCTGTAAAATTTTATGTGTATGTATGAATAAGTTAATATCTATAAATTCAATTACCACTTATCCTTATGTTTCTAAATCTCTATCGCTAAATCAAATTTTTCTTAGGTTCTGCTTTACCACATATAGAATATTTATCTGAATATCCAACAGAATGCTAAAATTTAACAAATACAAAAAATCATTTTAGTTCTCTACTCTCCAAATGTGTTTCTCCCACTGTGTTCTTTATCCTTGCATGTTGCGCTAGTTATTTAGTTGGTTGTCTTTAAATTATCCCCAATTTTCAGATTTTTTTTTCTTTGTGTGTGTGTGGTGCAGACATTTAAAATCTGCTCTCATCACATGTCTATGGGTGTTGATGGATGCGATAATTCAATTTTGTAATTATTACACAATGCATAAATGTGTCAAATTATCAAATTGCATATCTTGAATGTATACAATTTTTGTTTGTCAATTATACCTCATTAAAAATGGAAAAATTATCAAACTATTTTTATACCTATTATAATATCTTGGGGGGGGACTAGCCCCGTGATTTTTTGTAGGTATATATTAATAATCTAATAGCTTGCTGACTGGTCTCTTGTTTTCCACTCCAAGCTTTGTTTAAAATATTGGCATAGCTTGAGCTTTATGAAGCAATAAACTTATTCGAGTGCTTGTCCCATTGGAATCCTTCAAAGTCTTCTCTTTGCTATTAAGTTATAGTCAGAATTACTTAACATGGGGTAAAAACCCTTTCAGATTTGCTCCTGTCCATCTTTTCTGACTACCCCACCACAGAGCTCTCTCTGGTGCATGAGTCTTTGGAGTCCATGAAAAACCTCCTGAGCCCCAATTCCTAGAAAAGTATTTCATATCCAAAATATTTTCATCTAATCACCAAGAAATGTAGGCAATTTTTTTTTAAAAGAAGAAAAGAAATGGTGGGAAGACATTAATTATGTAAGTCTTTTTAAATTGAAGGATAGCTTATAAAGTTTAATCAAGGTAATATAGAATTATATTTTCTGAACTATACAGAGTAACGCCTTCATCTAAGAATCAAAAACCTAAATTCTCATCTTGAATCTCTTATCAATTAGTTGTGTGACTTTCAACAAATTACATAACTTTTTAGGGACTCAGTTTCTTACCTGTAAAATAATTTTGTAGTGTTGTTAGATTATTTCTCCAGCCTCTTCTAGTTCTGACTTTCTATGCAGCCTGGTACTGTTCCATGGTAGTGATATAATGAGAGACACATTAACTTTTCAGGCCTCTAAGGAACAATTTCCTTAGCACTCAAACATAGTGTTTCACCCTAGTGTCTGTCCTATATCTAAGTATGTTTTGCCCCAGGGAAAATAGGCTCAGAGTGCTGTGATGACAAAGAATATTTTCTCATTTCATTTGGTATTATATAAAAGGGAAAAAATAGTGTCATAACGCTGGTGGATTTATTTCTTGCTAACTAGAAAGCTAAGAAATGCTTGAAAATATATCCCCAATGTCACTGATTAGAACGTCCTGTGGAAACAAATTAATTTTCTCTAAATGACTTCTGAAAACTTGTGAAGGGCAAAGAACTGGTGAATGCAGGTGTCCAGTGAGTCATTTTACAATTTTAGGATGAAACTGATCACCTTATATGGTATTTGTGGAGCACACAGTACAACATAATTTTTCCCCAACTATGAGCAAAGTAACTCTTAATAATTTAGAAAAGGGAGGGATAACATTCTTAAAAATTATAGGTCCATTTAAATAACTAAATGTGCTATAAAGATATTATGCCAAGATTTTGGCAACAAGACTTGAATGACTTATGGATAAGTTAATACACATAGACCAAGTTGGATTTATGAGGCATGATGTAATTAAGACAACTTGAAAAAGAGTTTTATGTTAATGCAAATTGATAATGATACCAACTGCAGTGTCTGCAAATTCTGATAATGTCCAGAATGTATGTAATAGAATGAAGTAAAAACAGCCAAGCAAATATTAAATCATGTAACTTTATAAGAATCTTGTTTTCGAAGATGATAATATGATTATAGCAAAATAGTTTGGATGTTTGTGTCACGATACACTCAATTTAGAGAATGCAAAGAATCAATGAAATGTTGCCTCATTTTGGGGGCATGGATATTTGATTGAGACAATGGCTTTTTTGTTCTTGTAGATTGGCTACATGTTGATAATCACTATTAAGCAGTTTGTACTTATTTTGTTCTTTTTGAATCTTATATTTTGTGGTTAGAATGACTTGAATCAGTCGTATGATATGTTGTATATAGTACATTTTTAGTCATGGGGATTCGAACTAATTTAAGAGCTGCAAATTTAAAATACTGATAGTAATATATTCATACCAAGCCTAAATAAGTTTTGAGTAAGTTGCACATAATCTTTTTGACTGAAGAAACTAATATTTGAAATTTTATAACGTGAACATTTTTGAAACATTTCTACTCAGTAGAGTGGTGAATTAGACCCTCAGAAGAGGCTTCCTTTTATAAAACAACCAGATCTTGGATAGAAATACATTAGTGAGTCTCAAGAAATAAGGGAAATCTCCAAGGACCTAAACAAGCAAACAGTAAATCTGTGAGTTGAAATCTGAGCAGGAAGCAGTGAAGAATCAGCTAACCTGAAAGCTGTTTGTCTGAGAAACAAATTCCCATACCAATCCTTGGATCAAAGACTATTATGAGAGTGTATCACAGTGTGCAGGCCAAAGCAAGCTTCCCTTTAAATGAGGGCCTTTGAGTAGCTACCAGAATCTCTTGAGTCATATCAGAAGCAAACATAAATCCTCTGTAGCTTAAAGCTTTTCACATTTAGGCCCTTAGATTCCCACAGAGGAAGATCAAGAAAAGAAATGCTCATAATCAGAGATCACAAAACATAACAAGGCAAAAGGGCTGAGCATCAGCATAGAGACAAAGAACATTGGGTATTGCATTAATCATTTACAGAATTAAAATAAAAACTAGGTGTAGCATGTAAATAAATAAAAAATGAAATCACAAAAGTAATCTACCAACAATAATTAGATTTAAAATGAAACCTATAATTGAGAATTTAAAAATTAGCAGATAATTTAAACAAATGGCTAGACACAAATGAAGAATAAATCAGCGGTCAGAAAATCCTAATAAGAGAGACAGAGAGAGAGAGACTGATTCAGACTTCGAGAGAGAGAGTCAAAGAAAGAAATTGACTTAGAGTTTAGAATGAGAAGCTTGAACATGTATCTAATAAGACTTCCAGAATTTGGGACTAAAGGAAAAATGAGATGAGATATATGAAGAGATATTTCTATAAATTGTCCAAAACTGATGAAATGCATGAGTCTACAGATAAAAGAAAGTACAAAGTATACTAGGACAGACACCATCCCCACCGCCCCCCACACAAAGTTAGATACTTTAGTAAAACTCCAGAATATCAAGACAAAGAAGAGATCTCTTAAGCCACCAGAAAAAAAAACATAAAAATAAAGAAAATCATACTAATGCATTTTTCATACCAGCAACTGTGAAAGCCAAAACAGTGAAATAATATTTTCAATGCTGAAAGAAAACAACGGTCAAATGAGACTTGTATTAACCAGAAAATCATCTTTCAAATATGATGGGCTTATTAATCTTTACCAGTTAAATAAACTCTCAGTAAATTTACCAAAGAACCTTCATTATCTCATAGAAAGGAAAATGACCGTATAAAGAAACTCAGATGCAAATAGGGATGGTCACATCAGATATTGCTAAACATAAAAAAAGTGTCACATGCATGAATTAATAGTTATATTAATGAAATAATAATGTCAAAATTGTAGACTATAACTAAATGAAATAGGGAGTTAGATAACAATTCTATGCAAATGAAGTTATTGTGGTTCAAGTAAAATATCATAAAATCCTGATTTTTCTGGGAAAAAGTTGTGATATTGATTATTTCTAGATTTCATTAATTCGATCCCATGTTTAAAGATAACTATTAAAGGAAAATATTGGCTGAGTGTGATGGCTCATGCCTATAATCCCAACACTTCAAGAGGCTGAGTCAGGAGGATTACTTGAGACCAGGAGTCTGAGGCCAGCCTGGGCAATGTGCAAAATCCTGACTCTACAAAAAATACAAAACATAGCTGAACATGGTGCTGCCTGCATGTAGGCCCAGCTACACATTGAGGCTGAGTTTGGAGGATTGACTGAGCCCAAGAAGTTAGACTACACTGAGTCAGGATCAGACCCCTGCACTCCAGCCTGGGTGACAAATCAAGACCCTATTTAAAAAAATAAAGATAGAAAGAACAGAAAAAAATATATAATTAGCATATATAACATCCAAATAGTGAGGAAAATGGACTAGGAAAAACATGACAACTAAACAAAAACTAAATCATCTTTTAAAAAGTAGCTGCAAGGAAAGAGGAAAAGGAATCATAGAAAAAGTGAGAAAATAGAAAAAAAATTGAATGGTGAAAATAGGTCCAAATATTTCAATCATCCAATGGCTAAAAAATGTTAATGAACTAAATAAGTCAATTAAAATATGAAGCTTATCAGATAGTATAAGTACAAACTAATAACAAATAAACCACCACCAAAGCAAGCCTCAAGTAAGGGAAATTTACAAGTCAAGGTAAGGACACTGAGAAATAAAATAATAGAAAATGTTATCACAAAGTTATGAACTAAAATTATTTCATTGTCATTGCAGAAATCAGTCAAAATGGTTTTTAAAGTGAAAAAGTGTCTTTAAAAACAAAGGGAATCTCAACATAAAGAGAAAACAACTTGAGACTAATTTGTATATAATAAATTAGCCTCAAAATATGTTATATTAGTATAAAAACTGTATGAATCATAGCATATAACTAAGAAATCTCCAACCTACTAAAAGATATCAAAATGCCTTTTACTTTTGTTTGATAGAATAAGAGAAAAAAAAGAGGAGGAAAATGAAAAGATTTGAGCAATATTAGCATACAAACTGTAAACTGCACCAAGATTACTCTAAGATATGTAAATTGTTCATCAAATTATTTACATAATAAAATCTAAACAAATTTCAAAGAATAGATATCATACCAATTATTCTCAACCTTCTAAACATTTAGATTAGAAATAAATAACAATAAAACAAGTTTAAATTTATCATTATTTAACAAGACTTTTACTGCACTCATCATGTTTCTAGGCAATAAAGATAACACAGTGAACAAGACAAAGCAAAGCAAAATCTTTACTCTCATGGAGCTTACATTCTATTGGAAGGACATACAATTAAAAAGATAAATAAGAAAAATTTCTAATAAGACAGCAAAAAGTGCTAGAGAGAAATATTCAGTGGGGATGAAAAATAAGAAACAAATGTGGGTTGGGATGGTACAAACTGCAATATTAGACAACATGGCTCAGGAAGTCCCCACTAAGAAAGTGACTTTAGAGGTGAGATGAGATGGAAGGGAGAGTGAGCTGTGTGGCTCTTTGAAGAGCATTCCAGGCCTTGGGAACAAGTATAAGTGTCTTAAGGCGAGAGTCCCCTTGTATGTTTCAATAATAGTCAAGTCCTGGTGTGACTTAAGCAGAGTAAGTAAAAGGGAATCAAGTCGGGATGAAATAAAAAAAGACTGGGCAATGGTAGAATGTGTGTAGGCTTTGTAGGCCACTGCAAAGTCTTTGGGTTTATGTTGAGTAAGACAAGAATCATAATACTATTTATTTTAAAGATCATTCTTGCTACTGTTTTGAGTGTATTAATAGATTATCATGCAAAGACAGAAACACATATCTGCAAAGAAGAAACAGGATGCCAGTTAGAAGTTGCCTGCATGGTTCTTTCAAGAGGCCAATCTTTCCAAGTCATTCTGCAATGCCACCTCTACCATTTATCTACTCTTTAAATGTGTGGATTGTTGCTGCACTTTCTATTCAGTTTCACTGTTGAATTTATCTGGATTTGTGTTACACTGTACCATATTGTCTAAATTATCAGAGCCGTTATGGTAATTGTTTAATGAGGCAAATGCTTGCCAACTCCCTATCTATGCTCCCTCTTAGAAAGTGTCCTATGTATTCTGGAATCTTTCTTTACGCCTGATGCTGATTACTTATTCTAAGTCAATGATCTACTTTTCAACCACATTGTCCTTGCCATTTAATATTACGTTTGACAATTAATTCAACAAATACCTATTAGACATCTATCATACGTGTTGACATGAGCTATATTTGGGGCTGTAGCACTGAACCATGATGTTATGGCTCCTAACTTAGAAGAGCTTATAGTCTTATTCTGGATTTCTTTTACCATCCTCAAAGATACCAAGCAATATACATTTTTTAAATGTAGAGTTCAAAATTGAAGAAGAAATATAACCATCTTCCCTCAGATTTTGAGAGATGTAAACTGAGACTGATCCTAAAGAGTTTGCATCTGAGTGTAACTGATTTCCAGCCAATTACCAATGTGTGTTTAAAGCGTGGAAGGTCTGCACATCTGTATGTTTATGTCATATTGGTGAAAGTCTGGAAAGTTGGTAAAAATCTGTTAAAGCAAAATTAGAAAGCCTGACCCTCAGGGTAAGTAGAAGAGGTGTTACTATCATATAATACATGTGCTTCTAAGAAGTTCTTGGCCTTCTAAATAATCACCATCCTGAAATGATGGCTAAATTATAACCATTAGATAATTAAATCTTTAGGTAACAGAATTATCAACTGCTATAATGCAGCTAACTCTAACTCTTGCATTATTGATGACAGTAGGGTAGGGAGTATTTTAATTAGGTAAAGTAAGATGTTTAGAGGATTATGTAATTTATCAGTTACCTTCCAAAGTGACAACCTGCCAACCGAGAAAAAAATTCAAAATGAAATCGGATTAGGAAAATGCCTAGAAATTATTCCCTTTGAAGCCAGGTGACAAATAAAATGGGGGAGAGAGAGGACCAATAGAAATAAATGATGAATCAGGACCTCCACTTTCTTTTTTTAAAATTTTATGGGTACATTGTAGGTGTATACATTTATGTGGTACAAGAGATGTTTTGACACAGGCATACAATGAACACGCACACTTTCATCTAGCCTATGTCATTCCTGCTGTTTGAACTTATCCTGTGAAATTATGGAGGGTTTTGTTCTCAAAAACTTTGTCAAGCTGGGCAACACTGCACCTGAAGAAAGTAATGAAAACCAGAGAACACATAAACTAGAAGAGTGCAGGTGAGATAGCAAAGACTTGTCAAGAGATAATAAGGTTTTCTTAATGTTTTCTAGAGGGGAGGTACCTTCAAAAATAGCAACAAAAGACACTAAGTTCTAATTGAGGAAAATATTAGAAGACAAGAAGTGCTGTGTAGTTCTATATCCAACACTAGTGGGAATGACCCATCGGAATGAAGTGACAGAGAAGGTAATGGAGTTAAGTTCCAGTTAAAATGGAACAAGAGGATCATCAATTGGATGGCAGTTGCTGTTATCTGTTCCAGAGCAAATTTTTGAAGGTTTCTTTTGCATCCAGAAGCAGGTATAGGGCATCAGCAGACCCAGCTCCCAATGACCACTGCCAAAATGGTCCAAATTTCTCCATATGTAGCTGAAACATCATACTTTACAAAAATGCATAGAGGATAGAAAAAGTGAGCAGAAGGAAGCCAGGTTTCTTTTGCATCCAGAAGCAGGTATAGGGCATCAGCAGACCCAGCTCCCAATGACCACTGCCAAAGTGGTCCAAAATTCTCCATATGTAACTGAAACATTATACTTTACAAAAATGCATAGAGGATAGAAAAAGTGAGCAGAAGGAAGCCATTTTAATACTCTTCTGGTTGAGAACAACTTCTGTTTTAATGCTAAGGTTTGTGAGGCTTACATAAAATAAAAATATATTCAATTTTTTAATAAGATCCCTGTCTTAGCTACCTAAGTATGTATGAAGGGTCCTAGATGGCATAGACCTTGATGTTTGACCAGTAGTAAAATTTGCTTTTTCAGGAAAAAAATGGTAGAAATTTATTTTTCTTTTTCTTCCTTTTCTTTCTTTTTTCCCTGTTTTATTCATCAGACAGATTTAGAGCACAGATGAAGTACAGAAAGGACATAGCATAAGGAACTTAAATGGAACAAGTAATGTCTGGCATCAGAACACATGGTTGAGTCTGTGAGGTTTTCATTCTTTCTTTTAAATTTTAAATACAATCCCAATTTGAAAAAAGAAAAATGCTTCAGAAAGTTTACGTACCTGACTCTTCATTCTCCCTTGTTTTTATTATTTTCTAAATAAGACCATCTTTTAAGTGATTTTAAGGGGTACTTATGTTCCTTTATGAAAGAATAAATCAAGGATGTTTAACATCATAATTGTCCAGAGGGCTGATGTTGATCACATTTATTACACTGTTAAGGTAAAGCTGAATTTCTAAATCAGATGCTGATTATTATTTTCCAAATGACTTTATCAATCGAAAATAATTACTATTGCCTTTTAATTAGATTTGTTGCCAAATAAATGAAATACCTTCCTGAATTTTAAGCCATGTGTTCTTTCTTTGAACTGTTTATGAAACAGGATGGTAGTTAATATATATGGTGTTTCCTCAAAACAATTTTGTTTACCACAGAACAAATGAAATATCCACAAGACAGCTTCACTTTTACTACTTCATCTGGTTTCCCTGAATAAATTGTGTGTAGTAGTATTGTGCAAACTAATGGAAATATTATTCTGCTTATGCAAAAATAATTTTGTATTATATGTTCATTTGTATGTTTGATAGACAAAATTGAAATGCTTCTTATATTCATCATTTTTATTTTTTCCACATATTTCATATAACTCCAATATTTTAAAACAAAAATAGTTTACAAGGTTCACATAACTTTCAGTATAAAGTTAAGTTTATACAGCTGTCTTCATTCAGCCTGGAGAATATTATGATTTTTTAAATTAATCACTTATTCTCACAGCAATTTATGTTGGGTATATGACCTTGGTTAGCTAAGATAATATGAAGTAGCCACAAAATGGCAAATGAATTACAGTATGAAAGGTCATTTGTAAAATTTCTGACAGTTTAGAACATTTGAAGGTCAAAAATCAATGGCACGTTGTCCTGTGCTGGAAAACATCTTGATCTAATCAAGACATTGTGTAGGTTTTTATAATCCAAAATAATTGTACTGTCTGTAAAATCAGACATTCAGATGTACAGCTACCGTTTTAGTAAGAAATGAATCAAAGATTAAAAAGAGGTTGCATTTACCTCTTTGCTTTCTTTTCTTTTCTTTTTTTTTTCTTTTTCTTTTTTCTTTTTTTGAGACGGAGTCTGACTCTGTCGCCCAGGCTGGAGTGCAGTGGCGTGATCTCGGCTCACTGCAAGCTCCGCCTCCCAGGTTCATGCCATTCTTCTGCCTCAGCCTCCTGAGTAGCTGGGACTATAGGCGCCCGCCACCACGCCCGGCTAAGTTTTTGTATTTTTAGTAGAGACGGGGTTTCACCAGGATGGTCTCGATCTCTGAGCTTGTGATCAGCCCGCCTCGGCCTCCCAAAGTGCTGGGATTACAGGCGTGAGCCACCGCGCCTGGCCCTACCTCTTTGTTTTCTTACAAGCAAAGGTAACTTTCCAGTGCAGACATTTTCTCCTTGTATTTACACTTTAATGTTATATTTGTACAATTGATGTATATTTTAATTATTTAGTAAATGCCTGTCAAAATGAATAACAACATACACGTATAACAATTGTAATTTCAAGGATAATCTATACTTGAGATTCAGGTTTTTATTATCTTTCATTTAATGCAAATTTAATATGGTGTCTGTGAGGGATCATTTTGATTAGTGTAACCACTTATATTCCCCTAAATACCTTTATTTTAAGATTAGTAGTTGCTTTATTTCAAACATAAAAATTCCAGCAGTTTGGGAGGTCGAAGCGGGCGGATCACCTGAGGTCAGGAATTCAAGACCAGCCTGGCCAAAATGGTGAAACCCTGTCTCTACTAAAAATACAAAAAATTAGCTGGGCATGGTGGCAGGTGCTTGTAATCCTAGCTACTTGGGCAGCTGAGGTAGGAGAATCGCTTGAACCCGGGAGGCAGAGGTTGCAGTGAGCCGAGATCGCGCCATTGCACTCCAGCCTGGGCAACAAGAGTGAAACTCCGTCTCAATAATAATAATTAATAATTAATAATAATAATAATAATAATTTTTCTCTTCATCTTTTCATCCAGGAAGCAAAAGAATTTTAGGGTAAAAAGCCATCATTGGATAGCCAGTTTAATAATATTAACTATATTCTTGTATGTGAAAATCAGGAGCAAATTTTTTAAAGAGATTATATATTGAAAAGTATTAGAAATTGAAGCCAATAACCATGACTTTTAATTCTAATTCTGCCACATTCCAGCATTGTGGGAACAGCAAATCATTCTTTGAATTTATTTTTTTTAATCTGTAAGAATTAAAAAATAGCCTCACTAAAAACTCACATATTTTTGTAAGGAATAAATGAAGTATGTATTCAGACATAGTAATGAACCACAAAATGCCATGTACATCTATGTTAGTATATGGACCAAAAGATAAAGCACTCTTGATTATTTAGAAATTAGACAAATTAGATATCATTTTACTCTGAGAACTACATAATCAAATCAGCATATTGCAGCAGAGCTAACTGAAGTCACCAAACAGACACAAGGACTCCTTTTAGACAAGAGAAAACCAAGTAAAAAATAATAACATAAAATAATTAAAAATAACATGGTAAAAAATCTTATTCTAAAAGGGTGTTGATAGTAAAAGACATTTTAAAAATCCAATTATCAACTGTAAAACCCCCATTTGACTCCAGGTTGATACTTTACCATGAACTTTAAATTCAATTACTATTGAATTAAAACTTATTTCACTTTTATATACCATGGAAGCTCAGTTTCCTTCCCCACATCTCCAGGGTTTCTTGGGAGGAAGAGGGCTATTCCAAATATTTGTAAGTCTGAGTTCTCAATTCTTCTTGTGCTGCTTTTACCATCCTTCTTTATTGCTAAAATGTCCTTCTTTAGTTTCTCCACCTTCCTATGGAACTACCCAGATGAGAATGAGAGCCTAATAATTTATTATATATGTATATGATTATATATATAATTTTATATATAATTATATATAAATATACATAATTATATATTAAAATTAAATTAAAATTATATAAATAATTTTATATAAATATATATTTATATAAATATATATCATATATATCAAATATATATCATATATATTCTCATCTACCCAGATGAGAATGAGAGCCTAATAATTTATTATATATACGTATTTATACATATTATACGTATTATACATATTATATATACGTAATTATACATATAAGTATATAATTATATACGTATGTAATTATATACATATATAATTATACGTATAAATTAATTATACGTATAATTATATACGTATATAATTACATACGTATATAATTATATATAAATATATAATTACGTATATAATTATATATAATTACATATATAATTATATATATGTAATTACATATATAATTACATATATATGTATTTACATATATATATGTATACATATATAATTACATATATATATGTATACATACATAATATATATGTAATTATATATAATTATATATATGTAATTATATATAATTATATACTAAAATTAAAATTATATAAATAATTTTATATACATATATAGTATAAATTTATATATTATATATTTATATAAAATATATATAAATTTAAAACTATATAACTATATAATTTTATATATAAATATATAATTTTATATAATTTTATATATAATTATATACATATATAATTTCATATATAATTATATAGATTTATATAATTTTATATATAATTACATGTATTTATATAATTTTATATATAATTATATATGTATATGATTTTATATATAATTATATACATATATATATTGCAGTTTCTTCATCCACTGGTTGATTGATGGGCGTTTGGGCTGGTTCCATATTTTTACAATTGCGATTTGTGCTGCTTTAAACGTGTGTGCAAGTATCTTTTTTGTATAATAACTTCTTTTCCTCTGGGTACATACCCAGTAGTGGGATTGCTGGATTTAAAAAAGTAGAACTACAATTTGATCCAGCAATCCCACTTTTGCCCATTTTAAACAGATTGATTTTTTAATATAGAGTTGCTTGAGCTTCTTACAAATTCTGTTTAAGTCTTTATCAGATGAGCAGTTTGGAAGTATTTTCTCTCATTCTGAGGGTTGTCTCTTCGCTTTGTTAATTTTATCCTTTGCTGTGCAGAAGCATTTGAATTTGATGTGATCCTATTTGCCCATTTTTGCTGTGATTTTCTGTGCTTGTGGGATATTACTCAAGAAATTTTTGCCCAGACCAAGTAGCAGAGAGTTTCTCCAATGTTTTCTTGAAGTAGTTTCATAGTTTGAGGTCTTAGACTTAAGTCTTTAATGCATTTTGCTTTGATGTTTTATATATGGTAAGAGATGGGGTCTAGTTTCATTCTTCTGCCTATGGCTATCCAGTTTTCTCAGCATCATTTAGTGAAGAAACTGTTCTTTCCCTAATGTATGGTTTTGGCACCTTTATCAAAAATTAGTTCACTGTAGATTTACAGATTTATTTCTAGGTTTTATATTCTGTTCCACTGTTTTATGTGCCTCTTTTTATGCCAGTACCATGCCATTTTGGTTCTACAGCTCTGTAGTATAATTTGAAGTCAAGTAATGTGATTCTTCGGTTTTGTTATTTTTGCTTAGGACAGCTTTGTCTATTCTGGGTCTTTTGTGGTTCTATACAAATTTTAGATGGTTTTTCTATTGCTGTGAAGAATGTCATTGGTATTTTAATGGGGATTGCATTGAATCTGTAGATTGCTTTAGGTAGTACGGATATTTAAACAATATTGAGTCTTCGAATCCATGAACATGAATTTTTTTTGGTGTCCTCTTCAATTCTTTGCATTAATGTTTTATAGTTTTCATTGCAGATATCTTTCTTTGATTTAATTTACTCCTAAGAATTTTATTTTATCTGTATCTGTTGTAAAAGGTAATGCTTTCTTGATTTCCTTTTCAGATTTTTTACTGCTGGCATATAGAAATGCTACTGATTTTTGTACATTGATTTTGCATCTTATAAGTTGACTAAATTTCTTCATCTGTTCTAATGCTTTTCTGGTAGAGTTTTTAGGTTTTTCTAAATATAAGATCATATCATCTGCAAACAGAAATACAATGAATTATTTTTTTCCAATTTGGATACCCCTTATTTCTTTCTCTTGTCTGATTGCTCTAGCTGTTATTGGATGAGGGTGTCCAGGTTCTTGGCATTTTGAACAAAGAATTGGAAAAAATGCACAAATAAAGAAAGAATGAAGCAACAAAACAGTGATTTATTGAAAATAAAGCACACTTTGCTCCCTGAGCAAGCTGCTCAAGGGACCTGATTACAAAATTTTCTGGGGTTTCAATACCCTCTAGAGGTTTCCCATTAGTTACTTGGTGTATGCCCTATGTAAATGAAGTGGATAAAGTCAAGTTACAAAGTCATTTACTCCTTATCAGCTCTATGTGAATGGAGAGGATGAAGTGAAGTTACAAAGTGTAGAGAAGATGTTACTCAGTGAGTGTGGCTTATGTGAATGGAGAGGATGAAGTGAAGTTACAAAGCCATTCACATTCCTGTCATTGCTGAAGTGTTTACATTTGATTTAGTTCTAGAAAGTCAGCATGAATTGTCCTTCTGTTCCCTGCCTCTAGATCCTATTCTCCTGCCTCATAGCTAGAACTTCCAGAGCTATGTTGAATAACAGTGGCGAAAATGGGCATCCTGTTGTTTTCCAGGTGTAAGAGGAAAAGCATTCAAGTTTTCCCTCTTCAGTAATACGAGCTATGGGTCTGTCATATATAGCTTTAATTATGTTGAAGTATGTTCCTTCCATACTCAGTGTTTGGAGGGTTTTTATTATGAAAGGATGTTGAATTTTAACAAATGTTTTTTCAGCAGGAATTGAAATGAACATATGATTTTTGTTCTTCATCCTATTGATTTGCTCTTTTACATTGATTGATTTGCATATGTTGAACCATCCTTGGATCCCTAGGATAAATCCCACCTGGTCATGATGAGTGATCTTTTGTTATTGTGTTATTGAATTCATTTATCTAGCAATTTGTTGAGGATTTTTGAATCAATATTCATTGGTGATATAGGTCTTTAGTTTTGTTTTTTTGATGTGTCTCTGTTTGGTTTTGATATAAGGATAATTCTGACCTTATAGGATGAGTTTGGAAGTATTCCCTCCTCCTCTATTTTACAGAACAGTTTGAGTAGGATTGTTATTAGTTTTTCTTTAAATGTTTGGTAGAATTCAGTGGTGAAGTCATCAGATCCCAGGCATTTCCTTGCTATGAGACTTTATATTTTGGCTTTAATCTTGTTACTGGTTATTGGGCTTTTCAGGTGTTGGATTTCTTCATGGTGCAATTTTGGGAGGTTGTAATTGTTTAGGGATTTGTCTGTTTCTTCTAGATTTTTCAATTTATTGGCATTTGGTTGCACATGGTAGCCACTAACAATCCTTAGACTTTCTGTAGTATTGGTTGTAATATCTCCTTTTCATCTCTGATTTTATATTTTATTTGGGTCTTTTCTTTTTTTTTTTTCTTAATGAGTCTAAAGGTTTGTCAATTTGATTTATCTTTTAAAAAAAACAGATTTTTGTTATGTTGATCTTATGTTTTCTTCATTTCAAATTCGTTTATTTCTGCTCTGATCTTTATTATTTTTTTCCCCTACTAATTTTGGATTTGGTTGGTCTTGTTTTAGTTCTTTAAGATGCATTGTTAGATTGTTTATTTGAAGATTTTTTTGTTTTGTTTTGATGTACATGTTTATAGCTGTCAACTTCCCACTTAGTGCCGCTTTCACTGTAGCTCATAGGTTTTGGTATGTTGTGTTAATTATCATTTGTTTCAAGAAATTTTTCAATTTCCTTCTTAATTTGTTCTTTGACCCACTGGTCATTCAGAAGCATATTATTTAATTCCCATGTGTTTGTATAGTTTCCCAAATAACTCTTGCTGTTGATTCCTACTTTTATTCAATTGTGATGAAAGAAGATACTGGATATTATTTCAGTTTTTTGAAAGTTTAAAAATGTGTTTTGTGACTGAACATATCATCTAACTTGGGAATGTTCCATATGCTCAGGAAAGAAATTTGTGTTTTGCAGTAATTGAATGAAACGTTCTGTAAATACCTATTTAGGTCTACTTGGTCTACACCACACGTTAAATCCAATGTTTCTTTGTTGATTTTCTTTCTGGAAAATCTGTCCAATACTGAAATTGTAGTGTCGAAGTCACCAGCTATTATTGTATTGGGCTCTCTCTCTCTCTAGCTCTAATAACTGCTTTATATACCTGGGTGCCCTAGTGTTGGTACATATGTATTGTTATATCTTCTTGTTGAATTGACTCCTTTGTCACTGTATAATGAGTTTATCTCTTATAGTGAGAGACAGGACTAGCTGGATTTCCTAGGCCAACTAAGAATCCTAGGAAGCCTAGCTGGGAAGGTGACCGCATCCACCTTTAAACACGGGGCTTGCAACTTAGCTCACACCCGACCAGTCAGGTAGTAAAGAGAGCTCACTAAAATGCTAATTAGGCAAAAACAGAAGGTAAAGAAATAGCCAATCATCTATCACCTGAGAGGACAGGGGGAGGGACAACAATCGGGATATAAACCCAGGCATTTGAGCTGGCAATGGTTACCCTGTTTGGGTCCCCTCCCTTTGTATGGGAGCTCTGTTTTCACTCTGTTAAATCTTGCAACTGCACACTCTTCTGGTCCGTGTTTGTTATGGCTGGAGCTGAGCTTTTGCTTGCCGTCCACCACTGCAGTTTGCCGACGTCACAGACCCACCTCTGACTTCCACCCCTCCGAATCCCGCAGGGTGTCCACTGCGCTCCTGATCCAGCGAGGCGCCCATTGCCGCTCTGGATCAGGCTAAAGGATTGCCATTGTTTCTGTACAGCTAAGTGCCTGGGTTCGTCCTAATTGAGCTGAACACTAGTTGCTGGGTTCCACGGTTCTCTTCCATGACCCACGGCTTCTAATAGAGCTGTAACACTCACTGCATGGCCCAAGATTCCATTCCTTGGAATCTGTGAGGCCAAGAACCCCAGGTCAGAGAACAAGAGGCTTGCTGCCATCTTGGAAGTGGTCTGCCACCATCTTGGGAGCTCTGGGAGCGAGGGCCGCCCCCTAACAATAGTTTAATCTTGAGGTCTATTTTATCTGGTATAAACATAACCATTCCTACTTTTTTCTTGGTTTCCATTTGCATGGAATATCTTTTCCCATCCCTTCATTTTCAGTCTATGTGTGTCTTTATTGGTGAGGTGTGTTTCTTGTAGGCAGAAATCACTTAGTCTTGTATTTTTTAATCCATTCAGCCATTCTGTTTGTTTGTTTGTTTGTTTTGAGACGTAGTTTTGTTCTTGTCACCCAGGCTGGAGTGCAATGGCATGATCTTGGCTCACTGCAATCTGTGCCTCTCGGGTTAAATTGATTCTCTTGCCTCACCCTCCTGAGTATCTGGGATTACAGGTGCCTGCCATCACACACAGCTAATTTTTGTATTTTTAGTAGATACATGATTTCACCATGTTGGCCAGGCTGGTCTGAAACTCCTGACCTCAGGTGATCTGCCCATTCCAAAGTGCTGGGATTATGGGCATGAGCCACTGCACCTGGCCCATTCTGTGATTTTTGATTGGAGAGTTTAGTCCATTTACATTTATTTACAGCCATTTACATTTAATATTTTTATTGATAAATAAAGACTTACTCCTGCCTTTTTATTTTCTGCTTGTTTTGTTGTTTTCTCTTCCTTCTTTTCTCCCTTTCAGTCTTCCTTTTAGTGAAGGTAACTTTTCATTTGTCGTAGGATTTAATTTCTTGCTTTTTATTTTGTGTGCATCCATTGTATATTTTTGATTTGATATTACCATGAGGCTTACAAATACTATCTTATAACCCATTATTTTAAGTGGATAACAACTTAAAACTGCTTACGTAAAGAAACACACAAACTAACAAGTAAAAAGAAAATGAATACAAACTCTGTAATTTAACATCCTCCCCCTGCTTTTTAACTTTTCATTGTTTCTATTTATATCTTATTTTACTGTCTATGGATTGGAAAGTTGTTGTAGTTATTCTTTTTGATTAGTTCATCTTTGAGTCTTTCTATTTAACCTATAACTAGTTTACCCACCAAAGTTACAGTGTTATAATATTCTGCTTTTTCTGTGTACTTACAATTATCAGTGAGTTTTATACCTTCAGATGATTTCTAATTATTTATTGACATGCTTTTCTTTCTGATTGAAGTACTCACATTAGCATTTTTTATAGGATAGGTCTGGTGTTGATGAAATTCCTCACTTTTTGTTTATTTGGGGAACTATTTCTTCTTCATGTTTGAAGTATATTTTCACAGGATATACTATTCTAGGGTAAGAGGTTTTTCTCTTCAGCACTTTAAATATGTCATGCCACTCTGTCCTGGTCTGTAGAGTTTCCACTGAAAAGTCTGCTGCCAGACATAAAGGAGTTCCATTGTATGTAATGTGTTTCTTCTCTCTTGGTGTTTTTAAGGTCCTTTCTTTACTCTTAATCTTTGGGAGTTTGATTATTTAATGCATTGAGGTAGTCTTCTTTGGGTTAAATCTGTTTGGTGTTCTATAATCTTCTTGTACTTGGATATTAATACTTTTTTTAGGCTTAGGAAGTTCTCTGTTATTATTCCTTTGAATAAACTTTCTACCACTATATCTGTCTCTTTAATGCTAGTAACTTCCTCTTTAATGCTAGTAACTCTTAAATTTGACCTTTTGAGGCTATTTTCTAAATATCGTAAATGTGCTTTATTCTTTTTCTTCCTTGTTTTCCTTTGTCTCCCCTGCCTGTGTATTTTGAAATAGTCTATATTCGAGCTCAGTAGTTCTGTTTGATCCATTCTGCAATTATAAGACTACATTATAATAGCATAATCAGTTTGTTAATTATATTTTTCACCTCTAGAATTTCTGTTTGATTTGTTTTAATTATTTCAATCTCTTTGATAAATATATCTGGTAGAATGCTGAGGTCCTTCTCTATGTTATTTTGAATTTCTTTGAGTTTCCTCAAAACAGCTATTTTGAATTCGCTATCTGAAATGTCACATAACTCTATTTCTCTAAGATTGGTCCCTGGTGCCTTATTTAGTTGATCTGGTGAGCTCATATTTTTCTGAATGGTCTTGATGTTTGTTGAGTGTCATTGGTGTCTGGGCATTAAAGAGTGAGGTATTTACTATAGTCTTCACAGTCTGGGCTTGTTTATAGCAATCCTTGGGAAGGCTTTCCAAGTATTCGAAAGGACTGGAGTGTTTTGATCTAAGCCATATCTGCATTAGGGGGCATCCCAGCCCAGTTAAACTGTAGTTCTTATAGACTCATAGAAGTACCACCCTGATGGTCTTAGATATGATGTGGAAGAATTATTTAAATTACCAGGCATTGACTCTTGTTCTCTTTCCTAACTTTCTCCCAAACAAATGGAGTCTCTCTCTTTGTGATGAGCCACCTGGAGCTGGGGGTGGAGTGATACAAGTATCCCTGAGTCCACCACCACTGGGACTGCTCTGGGTCAGACCTGAAGCCAGCACAGCATCGGGTCTCACCCAAGGCTGCTATAACCATGACCTGGCCACTGTGTATGTTCATTCAAGTCTCTAGGGCTCTACAATAAGAAGGAGATTAAACCAGCCAGGCTTGTGTCCTTCTCTTCAAGGTGATGAGTTCCTCCAGGCCTTAGGTCAGTCCAGAGATGCCTTCTAGGAGCCAAGGACTGGAGGCAAAAACTTAGATATCTACCTGGTGTTCTATTCTACTGCAGCTTAGCTGACATTCAAACCATGAGACACAGCCTTTTTCACTCTTCCCTCCCATTTCCACAAGCAGAACAGCCTCACCCCATGGCCACCATCACCACAGGCCAATGGGGAGCACTGCCAGGGTACCAGTGATGTTCACTTAAGACCGAAAGGCTCTTCAATCAGCATTTGGTGAATGCTGACAGGCCTGGGACTCACCCTTCCAGGCAGTGGGATCTCCTCTGGCCCAGGGGAGGCCCAGAAATGCTGTCCAACAACAGAGGCCAGTAATCAGAGACCCCAAGGTCCTGCTTGGTGCTCTACCTCACTGTGACCAAGCTGGTACCTATGGTGCAAGACAAAACCCCGTTTTTTTCCCTTTGCTTTTCTTAAGCAGAAGGAGTCTTTCCCCATTGCCATTACAGCTGGGAATTTGCTGGGTCTCACCTTAAGCTGGCAAGTCTCAGAGTCTCACCCAAGGCCCATGATGTACTACCTGGGTATTGCTGCTGGTTATTCAGGGCCCAAGGGTTCTTCCATCAGCATGTGATGGAACCTGTCAGGACTGGGTCCTTCCCTTCAAGGAAGTGGATTCCCTTCTGACCCAGGGTGTCTCTAGAAATGTCATCTGGGAGCTAGGGCCTCGACCTCTTGACTCTGCCCAGTGCCCTATTCTACTGTGGCTGAGCTGGTAACCCAGATGCAAGACAAAGTCATCTTTCCTACTCCCTCTCCTTTCCTCAAGTGGAAGGAGAAGGTTTCTTTTGGAGCGGAAACCTGTGCTGCCTGGGGTTGGAGAACTGGGGGCACAAGCACTACCTTAGTCACCCTGACTGTTGTCTGAGTAAGTTACATGTCCCCCATGTCCACTGGCTGTGAGCAAAGTTCAGCACTAGGGCTTGCCTATGATTTGCAGTCTTTGTGCCTTAGATTGCCTTTTAAGTTCATTTAGAACCCCAGAGCACTTTAGCCCACAGTGCTCAGGGTCGCAGGAACTCAATTTTTGACCACTAGGATGGGTGATTCCCTCTGACTAGAGCTGGTCAGAATGCTCCTGCTGTGGGGAAGTGTCAGCTGAGTTCAATCCATTCTGGCTTTCTGCTGTGAGAGGGCAGCACTGAGTTAATATCGGGTCCGATAATCACTGTGCTGTTCTTCCCCCAAAATGCAGATTATGTGCACCACATGGCTGCTGTTGGGGAATGAGGGAGGGGTGGCATTGGAAATTCAAGCCTGTCTTTCCTGATCTCTTTAGTGCCAGTTTTAGCAATATGAAGATAAAACCAGGTACTGTTAGTTAGTGCTTACCTGATTTTTATTCTCATGAAGATGCTTGTTTTGTCAAATGTGGTATTCCTGCAGGAAGGACCATTGGTAGAGCCTTCTATTCAACTGTATTGCTGTGGCTCCTTATTACATTATTATTATTTTTTTGCTTTTACCTCTTCATGCCTTACCTTCTACTACCTATGAATTTACTCTTATTTTAATTATGTTATCTTTATAAATTGGATACTTAGCTAATACATTTTCATTCTCTTGTTTTCTAATAGAATTATTTAATCTGCTCATTTCCTGTAAGAAATATTTTAATGCAATCATTTTATTATTGTTGTATAATGCATATATTCCGGCTTCTTATGATTTATACTGGGACCCATAATTATTTGAAACATTATTTCAAAGTTTCTCTAACATATTTCTCTCTTATTCCTTGTTTAGAAAATCTAGATTTAGTAATTTTGGTTAGAGAATAAGAGCTACATAGTTATCCGTTCTTTGGTATTTTGGTAATTTATTTGTATCTTAGTACATAATTATATTTTACACGTTTCATGTATTTTTATGGTAGATATATACTCTTTCATTATAAGACTTCAATTAATATTTGGATAATATTAGTGAATGAATGGTTATATGGATAAATGAATGCATAAGCCACATGTCATAGAAATAAAAAAATTCAGTTAAAATGGTGAATAGGCAATGGTTATCCTGTCAATTTTTTAAAAAATTGTTTGTTTTTATGTTTTGTTTGGTTCTAATTGATTTTAACATGTAAACTTGATATTGTAAGCATGAGATGTCTCTCAGATATCAAAGTGTAGATAATATGTAGGCAAAGGGTCTATAAATATGGAATTCAAGAGTAAAACTGGATTAAAATATAAAGTTAAGTATCGTTAGCCTATTAATAGCAGGACTCAATGAAATAATGTATAGTTTATATAAGGTCTTAATCAATATTTTTAAATGATTTATTAATTGGTAATATGTGGGGTGTTCGGAAAAGAAAAATGAAGAAGACTTTCAACTAAGCTCTGAAACTGTCCAATATTAGGAGTCAGGTGGAAAAGGAGAAGGCTGTGCAGAAAATTAAGAATGAGTGTTGACATGTAAAGAGAAAAACCACGAAAAAGGGAGAATGTAAGCAAGGGAAGAGGGAGAGGTGTTTCTAGAAGGATTGAATCCTGAATTACAGAATTCTAAGATGTTAAATTTTTAAAAAGACTCAAATACGGCTGGGCGTGGTGGCTCACACCTGTAATCCCAGCACTTTGGGAGGCCGAGGCGGGCGGATCACAAGGTCAGGAGATCGAGACCATCTTGGCTAACACGGTGAAACCCTGTCTCTACTAAAAATACAAAACATTAGCCGGACGCGGTGGCGGGCGCCTGTAGTCCCAGCTACTCGGGAGGCTGAGGCAGGAGAATGGCGTGAACCTGGGAGGCGGAGCTTGCAGTGAGCCGAGATTGTGCCACTGCAATCCGGCCTGGGCTAAAGAGCGGGACTCCGTCTCAAAAAAAAAAAAAAAAAAAAGACTCAAATACTTCTTATTAAGGCGCACTTGATTCCTCAGTAGTGATTGCTTTATTTGCCTGCTGTACATCCTAAAACCCTGTTGACAATAAATCTTCTAAATGTGTGTCTATATACCTGGAGGAGATTTTTCTAACCTTGATGTGACCTCAAATTACTGCTGTAGAATAATAAGACAAACAAGCTATCAGAAAAATCTTCAGCTACAACTTCACTAATCAAATTTCAGAGCAGTAACTACAGAGCAGTGGGAGAATTTATTCTTCTGTGAAATATAACACTAAAGGAAGAAACCTGGTCATGACCATTTGCAAATAAAGACATACATCAAACGCATGTAGGATGAATGTCAGGAAGAAGAACACCTGTTTGGTACCTGTGCACTATCTAATTAGAAAAATCAACTGCTGTTGAAAATGTCATATTTGAAAAATGTTTTTAAAATTCTACAGACAAAGGCAAATTTAGGGGAAAAAGCAAAAAGTCATTTTAAGTATTTCTGAAATGTATTAAATGGTAAGCTCTTTGAGAAGTTAGGTCTGTGTGTTTGTATATTTATAGACATATTTTTATGTCTGAGTATTAAGATTTTCAAGTGTTAGAGAGTTGACAGAATGTGAATGTTTCTGAGAGCAATAGGAATTGAAAAAGCGATGGTAAAAAAGTACAAAAATACTTTTATTTGGACAGGTTGTCTATAATTTGAGAGTAATTAAAGACTCAACATTTTAGAAGTGTAAACATGGGTCCTCTTATTAAGTTATAAGTTTTACATATACATTTTACACATATATGTGTGTGTTTTATATGTGTATGTATGTATACCTACATTTATATATGTATATATAAATGTGTATTATATATGTGTATATAAAATGTGTATTATACATATACATTTATATGTATATATAATATACATTTATATATGTATATGTACATTTATATATCTATGTATATTATATGTATATATAATATACATATATAAATGTATGTATATATGTAAAAGTCACTTAGGTTTGGACCTAAACTTAAAAACTTGGATAAACTTTTGTTAATGAACATTTTAACTCTTTGCATAAATTTGCAAATATTTTTTAAAAATTAAATTATTGATGAAAAAGTACTTTCTATTTGAGATTTGAGTTATAATGACTAATTGCTAAAGTATAATGAAAACTTTGTTTTCACTCTAGAAGGGATATATACAAATATTTAATTTCACACTTAGTTATTAGCATGCTAGTTCAGTCTTTGAATAAGCGAGACCCAGTCTATAAATAATTAGACAAAACATGAGAATGTTGATAATATAGTTCATTTCTTATGGACGGTAAAACTCAAATGATAATAGTTGATCTTTTAGTCAAGTCATGAATGCAATTTTGTTTATTTGAATATCATTTTTATTAGTGACCTTTGCTCTTAGTTTATATGTAATATACTTCCAAGCTTGTAGAACTCAATAATGGTTATGAGAGTAAAATACTTAATCATGGCAAATTTGATGCATTTACCATTATTTTTATAAGTAGACAATTCTATGTGTGATGTGAGTAAACAAAAAATGTGAATTGTCCTTGCTCCACATGCGTACCAAAACAGGTATTGTTAGACTTAGAAAAATTTTTCCTGCTTATTTATTTGCCATCAGGTTTTCCCTTCTGGGAAACATTTCTTCATACATTTTATACTTTTATTTTCTATTGTCAACATCTTTCCTAATTTTTAAAAAATTCATTATATGTTTTGAATGCAAGCTTTTTAAAATAATTTTTGTTGCAAATATTTTCTCATATATTTGGACTTTTTGCTTTTAGTTTATGGTGGTTTTGATAAGTAGAAGTTTTTTATTTTAATGTAATCAAATTTGTCAACATTTTATTATATTATTTACTTATTCTTTATTGTTTTAAAAGAAATATTGATCTATTTCTAGATAAATATGTCTGATATTTATTTGTAAACCATTTATAGTCATACTCTTCACATCTAAAACTTTAATACATTTGGAATAGACTTTTGACTATTTTGATAGGGATCAGTTCTCCTCCAGTAATTGATTTCTAAGTTAATTGCATTGTCATCAGAGTTATATAATCTATAAAATATTGATTTTTCAAACTTTGTGAAATTTTAATAATTGTATGTGCATTTGCAATAGTCTTTGTTACTAGTACAATCCTGTATATGTTGATTAAACTATGCTTCTTAACTGTACCATTGAAATAATTTATATTGTTACCAATTTGTAAGTGGTATATTGAAATACTGTGATCACAGATTCATCAATTTCTGTTTCTTTATATTTGGTAAAATTTTTTAGATTATTTTAAATTTAGAATTTTAGTTTCTTCCAAGTCAATTGAAACTAATATATCATCACCATTTTAAATCTGTTAATAATCCTTCTTGCTTTAAAATCTATTTTGTTTTATATTGATAACGCTACATCAGCATTCTTATAATTGCCATTTTGTCTGCATGTTACCAAGAGTTTACTTTCATTTTATCTGTATTCTTGCATTTGGAAGACATATTTTATAATGAGCAAAGAGTTAGGTTGAATCTTTAAGTCGAGCTAACAATATTTGCCTTTTAACCTATTTATCTCACTAGCATGTAAGGTAACTTTGAATATATATTTTTAAATATATATATTTAAAATATATATGTATTAAAAATTCACAGGTGAATTTCAAGTATTACCAGTTGAAGAATATAAATGAAATTTTAAAATTCAAATCTAGTACAGGAAGAAAACTTAAATGGGAAAAAATTATTAATGACAAACTAAGAAAGGAACAAATTGAAAAAGGAAGATAATGTGTAAATTTATATATTTTATATATATAGACAAAATATATATTTTATATATAGTATATTTTTTCTAATAATATAAGGAACTTTATTTCTAATAAAGTAAGAAAGGAACAGGATGGAAAAAGAAAAAGTATAAAATTATGTATTTTATATATATTAGAAAAATATATTATATATATATTAAAAAAATATATCTTATGTTTTAAATTATATATAATATATATAATTTCATACTTTAGCTTCCTTTTTCCATCCTGTTCCTTTGTTACTTTGTCATTAATAAATTTTTCCCATTTAAGTTTTCTTCCTGTATTAGATTTGAATTTTAAAATTCCATTTATATTTTTCAATTGGTAATACTTGAAATTCACCTGTGAATATTAAACAGTACCATTTCTAGAGTGAATTTAATATGCTTTAATTTGGATCACATAAAAACACACCTTCTCAATAATGGAATTATTGTCCAGTAATTTTGTTCTTTTAAGTTTATGTCAAATAATATTTGTCTAATTTACAACCACTATGAAAAAGAGTGTGGAGATTCCTTAAAGAACTAAAAGTAGACCTACCATTGGACCCAGCAGTCCCACTCCTGAGTATCTACCCAGAGGAAAAGAAGTCATTATATGTAAAAGATACCTGCACATACATGCTTATAGCAGCATAATTTGCAATTGCAAAAATACGGAGCCAGCCCAAATGCCCATTAATGAATGAGTGGATAAAGGAAATGTGATATCTGTATATGTTGTATATGTATATATATATATCACTGTGGTATACTACTCAGCCATAAAAAGGAATGAAATAATGGCATCTGCAGAAACCTGGATGGAATTGGAGACCGTTATTCTAAGTGAAGTAACTCAGGAATGGAAAACGAAATATCATATGCTTTCACTCCTAAGCTATGAGGTTGAAAAGGTATAAGAATGATACAATGGACTTTGTGGACTTAGAGGAAAAGGTGGGAGTCAGGTGAGGGAAAAAAGAATACACATTGGGTACATTGTACACTGCTTGGGTGACGGGTTCACCAAAATCTCAGAAATCACCACTAAATAACTTATTCATGTAACCAAACAGCACCTGTTCCCCCAAAACCTATTGAAATAAAAATAAATTTTACAAACAATTCCATCTTATCATAAAACCATAATTAGCGTTTTGTTTATATTCCCTATTAAAGGTCTTTATACCATGATGGAATGGAATCTGAAATCTGGATACTAAATAGTGCTGTTTCAATATATTGTCCTAGTAATCTATTAAGGTGAGGGTGTCATTCAGGGCTTATCTAATTTACAGGATGAGTATTTAACAATCTGAAGTTATAAACATAATTTCATTTGTACCTGACAAGTGCTTTCTTTTTTCCCATTTTTAAAAATTTAGGTAAAATCAACATATTGAAAGATTTAGCATCTTAACCTTTTTAAAATGTAGAGTTTCATGGTATTAAATACATGCATAGCGTTGTGCAATCATTACCATCATCCATCTTTGTAACTCTTCATGTTGTAAAACCGAAACTCTATAACCACTTAAGAGTAACTCCCCGTTTTTCCCACCTCAAGCCCCAGCAACCAGTCCATTTTGCCTTTTTCCACCTTTTAGGCTCTGGTTACTTACTGGAAGGTACAGAATTTATAGATATTCTACCATGATACTTTTCTTACAATTCAGAACCTGACTGTCTCACAAGCATTCTGCATTTCTGTAGCTTAATTGCTGTGACAAATTTTCTGTGAGATCTAATTCATACTTCCTTTTCTTAAAGAGAAGGTAGAGATCTGAAAGTCAAGCTGTCCTTTTTGATTTGATTTGATTGACAAAACTTGTCAATGGCTGTGATTCCTTTTATTTTCTGTACATAAAAGAAAAGACGTAAGAACTCCTCATATTTGAAGGCAGAAACTGTCCTCCTTTGAAAGTAGACAGCATCCGGTTTTGTAGTGGGTTTCTCTTTTTTAAGGCAGCAAAATTACCCAATTTGTTTTCACCACAACCTATAAATGTCAAATATCCTCAGTGAAAATGATAAACACATAATTTAGCTGTCTTCTATATGCTCATAAAGCAAGGACATATGTTTGCTGAAACTTGGAGATGAAGTTTAACTTGGATTAGACTATTGCAAAGTCAGGAATATGTTTGGAATTTGTATGCATTAATCTTCAAAACAAAATTATTCATTATTTAATTGTTAATATATTTTATAAGGAAACATTTATGCTCGCTATTCCCTGATAAAAGGAATTTTTGTTATTTTGAAATATGTTACATATATCTGTATGTGATTATGATATTGGGTGTGAGGCCACAATCAAGCTTTACACAGGGTATGCTACGACATTGAATGTAATCAATGACTTAAAATTATAAGTAATCCTGAGGCCACAGTCAAGCTTTATGCAGTTATGCTAAGACATCGAATGTTACCAATGACTTAAAATTATATGTAATCCTTAACAGAGTGTAAAGTTGAGTTAGAATAAAATACTAATAGAAATTGAGTCCATAAACATACTGTCAGAGCCTTATGGATGAACACAGGTTTATTATTCTACAAGCATTTGTTTTTCAGAAATAAATGGTGAATTTCTTCCACTGCCATTCCAGTATATTCCTGTCTTTGTAAGAAGCACCAGGGATCATATGTCTATCTATATCTATATCCATATCTATATCTATATCTACATATGATGTTACATTTGATGTTAGTCAAAGAAAATATATCTGGCATGTATTAAGGATTCACTAATATCTGTAGAATTATTTCAATGTATTCCTCTTTCAAAATGTAACAAGAGAAGTTTTCTAATATCCTTTAAGTTGCTATCATTGTATGATTCTGATAAATGGATTGAACTATGTTTCTATAATAAAATAATTATATGGGTTCTGGAGAGGAAATGAAGTCAAATAAGCTTTGCACTTCTTTTTCTTTTTCTTTTTTTTGGAGACAGGGCCTCGCTCTGTCTCCCAGGCTGGAGTGCAGTAGCGTGATCTTGGCTCACTGCAACCTCTGCTTCTCGGGTTCAAGCGATTCTCCTGCCTCAGCCTCCCAAGTAGCTGGGATTACAGGCGCCTGCCACCACACTCAGCTGATTTTTGTATTTTTAGTAGAAGCGGGGTTTCTACCTTGTTGGTCAGGCTGGTCTCAAACTCCTGACCTCAACTGATCTACTCACTTTGGCCTCCCGAAGTGCTAGGATTACAGGCATGAGCCACCGCAGTCAGCAAAGCTTTGCACTTTTTCAAACAGAGGAATAATTATATTAAAAACCGTCGTCATCTTTTCATCAGAGTAGTACAATAAACCATGAATGCAAAGGCACTGCCTACATCCCTCTCTTGTTTAAAAAATCACCCACAAACCAATTCCTCAATATGACTACTACTAAAAATGTGTCTTATGCTTCCAAATTATTTGCCTCTCTATCTATTTGTCTATACAATTCCATGCTGTATATTATTTCAGTATGCAAACAGGAATGGAGCAGAAATATATTATAAATCTAATCTGTGAGTCCGTTTTATTTCTAGTTTTGCTGTTGCTGTAAGATAAATCACATAGACCTAACAAGAATTATCCATGCATTTCCTCAGCCATTCCTACTGTACTTTCTATACCTTTAATTTTTAGCATATTAAGCTGATATTAAAAGAATTTTGCAAACTATGGCATTAAATGAGTCACTAACAAAATTCACTTTATAAGAGTAACATGAAGAGAGTGTGAGAAGACAGGAGAGGAAAATAAAGGAGAAGGGAGAAGAGGGGAGGGTAGAGAGAATGGAATATGTTAAAAAATGGTATTAGCCAGAGGGCTCCTACAGAGAAATGAGAGCTTGAAAATGTAGACAGACTAATGCTCTTCAGCATCCTACAAGCAAAGTGTCGGGTATAAGGATAAGTAGTGGATGCAACTACATTACTCATAAGGCAAAACATATTTTGAACAGAAGTCCATAGGCCAAGAAGGCAAGGTTGCTTAAAAGGAACTAGATTTGTTACTGCCTCTGGGAAAAACAGAAATCCTATTGACTATGTAAAAACAAGCATTTCCTGCAGTCTTATGATTTTACAGCTATTCTCTCAGGTTTCAGAGAAAGTAAATATACATGTATTTTGAACAATAGAAGTTTAAAAATAACTTATTTAGAAGAGCTTTTCTTTCCTGAAATAGAATAAATATGCCAAGCAAGCATCTTTGGGGGGCTAGGGGGTTGGTTTGAAAGCATTAATGCTCATAAATACACATGATAGTCATTATTTTTTTGTCACAATAGCTTAATTTACCTGTTCAAAGACACTTTTCAAAATCTGTGTCACTAAAAGAAGAACATGATATGCTGCAGAAATAAAATTTATCTTGTTACTTGTTTTTTTACTTTATCACTGACAACTCCACTGGTTACTATGGAATAAAAAATTTGATTGCAATAGGGAAACTTCATAGATTGTCCTTCAATAAGCATAGCCATGGGCCTTTTTTTATTACTATGTTTAAACTACTTGGTGAAAACTAGTGAAAAGGCCATTTTAATATTGAACGTGTTCTGACCCGGAATCAAAAGTCTAAATTCTTCTCGGAGTTTATATATGGATGCTATATATCATCTTCTAAGAGATATCTATTTATATATTTTTCCAAAAATAACAAAATGCTATGCACATCAGACCAAAGCGTATTTGAATTTAGCCATGACTTGAACTATGAATCTTTGTTCTTCTTGCTATGTAGAAAACACTGGCTGTCCATCAGGAAGGCTAACAGGCAAAGGGGCAGTATGATGCCATTCAAGAAGCACTAGTCTGCAAGACAGGAAATGAGGGACAAGGGACTCCTTGACTCTATTCCTAATAGTGTTGTCTTTGTTGAGTGCACCTACATTTTGCCTCACATTAGTTCTGAGCTATATTAAAAAAGTATTTCTTTCATACCCAGAAACAGTATAATTTTTGTATACCCCCTACCAAGTAAAACAGAAGTATATTCAGCTTTAATAAACTCCAAGTTAGCAAGAATGAGAGATGGTTGTGTATGCATATGACCAATAAGCATGAGACTCAATCCATAAGTATTAATTAGTTCTATAATAATTACTGTGAAAGGCAATCTGGTATCGTTGGAAATAGAACTAGATTTGATAACAACCAAACCTAGGTTGATTCTAGTTTTCACACTTTTTGGGTGTGAGCTTTGACAGATTCCTCAAATTTCTGGGCCTCAACTGGTGACACAGACTTAGCAGTATCTACCTTCTGTGTTGATATAATGATTAAATAAAATAAATGATTTATGCAATATGCCTCACTCATAGTAAGTGTTCCAAAAATCATTATTTTTGTACTAAAAAAACCTCTGAAGCCTCACAGTAACTGATAGTTGCATGGTCTTCTTTCAAAAAAAAAAACCTCAGTTACCTGCTATTTATTTCATCCCCATTGGAAATTTGCGAAGAGCTTGGTGGTTATTCATTCCACGACTGAGACAAGAAGCTGAAGAACATCCCTTTATACAGAGATTATCATACCTTGTGCCTTGTGACTGTGCCACTCTGGCTAGCATTTGATTGGTCTATAACCTTTTGACTGTGGAAAGAGTTAATAGTCTATGGCTCAGTGTAGGGATATAACAGGAGCACAAAAGAGGCATTTATATTCCTTTTTTGAGTAATTTTGAATATAATACCCATAGCCACGTTTCTTTTTCATCCTATTTCCCATTATATCCTCACAATAAGTCCCCATGCATTGCATTGCCTGAGTATGTCTCTGTTCAGTACAACCAGAAAGATAATATATAACACAGCTTTCCACTTTGTATCTAAGTGATATTGTTCACAGGGAACATTTCTCCTGTAAAGAATCATGTATAAGTTATCATCATCCACTTTATTCCCAAGAAATAGAACAGCACTATTGAGAATTCCCCCAGAAGCACAAGAACTAGGAATATGAAGGATAAAACTGTCCACTGGACCAACTTCCCGATAAAATTGCTATTTAAGTATCTAATGCTTATCCTGTTGAGTAGCATAGTAAATGGTTAATTGGGGAGAAATTGATGAACAGTTTAGTTTTGAAGTGTAATGGTTGCAAAATTAAGTACAATGCCACTAAGTAGAAATTTTAGGCATAATCACTTTCAAGGGAGATAAAATTTTCAAATAGCCACTTTAGTAGCTTACTTAATTCATGTTTATAAAATATGTTGAAGATGAAAAGCACCATTTAAATGCTAGAGTATCCTCTAATGTGCCTCAAATAATTTAATTTATGTGCAAAGTGACAATTACGATATTTCAATTAAATAGTAACAGGGGGTAATGGTCTAATGTTTTGATGACAGACACAGTCACTGATAGTAACTGGAATCAGGTTCTAAGTTGGCTGGTCATGGGCAACCTCTTGTATTTTCCTGATCATATTGAATAAAATTTTGTTTTCATGGGAATTAAAAAAATATGATTAGAGTGTTTAAATTTGGTCTGGCATTCTAAAAATCTGTGTTAATTGATTTCACAAGAGCTAATCAACTATCTTTTTTGATTGTTAAGTTAAAGAAGTTAATCATTGTCTTAACCGTTAAGGCATGAGATAATGTATACATATATGCATGGATAAGTTCTATTTTATCATCAGAGTAAAATTACTATAGTCATTTATGTGCCTTTATATACATATGTATACATCTATATACATACATACGTACACATATATATGAATATGCAAAACAATGATTTAAAACAAAATGTAAAAAGTTGTGTAAGCTATGATATTGTGTTTATTAGTGGTAGATTTATCAAAAGACTCTTCAATGAATTTCATGTAGATACTTAACTATAGCATTAATGCATTATATCATAAATCCGCAAAGCAATAATTATCTACATCCCAGCCTTACTTAACAATGCACTTGGCTGAGTGCAGTGTCTCATGCCTGTAATCCCAGCACTTTGGGAGGCTGAGTGGGGCAGATTGCTTGAGCTCAGAAGTTCAAGACCAGTCTGGGCAACATGGTGAAACCTCGTCTCTACTAAATAAATAAATAAATAAATAAATAAATAAATAAATAAATAAGCCAGGTGTGGTAGCAAGTGGCTGTAGTCCCAGCTACTCAGGAGATTGAGGTAGAAAGATCGCTTGAGCCTGGGAGGTTAAGGCTACAGTGAGCTGAGATTGCACCACTGCACTCCAGCTTCGGTGACAGAGCAAGACTTTGTCTCTTAAAAATAAAATTAAAAAAAGGATCCACTTAGAAGGAAATAGACCTGTATCTAAACTGAATCATTGAGTTTTTTAATCCTTAGCTCATTATGATTGATTCACAACTTCAGTGGTAAATCAGAGTCTTTGCCACCCACCCATCTATCCATCTTTCCATCCATCCATTCCCTCACTCAACAAATTATCATTGAAACCTTTTTATGTGTCCTGGATACTCTGCTAAATTTAGAGAATGCAAAGAAATTTATATGTCATCTTCCACCCAAAACAATTTGCTCTCCAGGGAATAGGATCCATAAATAGATTAAGTAAACCAATACATTAAATTGTGAAAATAGTACATGCACTGGATTTTATGGGAGAATTGATGAAATATTCCAGCCAAGTCTGGGAAAGAATACAGAAGGCTCTCTAGAGTGTGTTTCCTGAATAAAGTATTAAAAGATAAGTAGCTCTTAGCCAAGGGAAGTGAGGAAAGTATGTAGTGGTTATATGCCAGTGAGATGGAGCAGTTTTATGAAAGATGAAGGGAAGACAGAGCATTAACTTTGAATATGCTATTGTGGTGTGTTTTGGAAAAGGTACTACTAGGTGATGAGTTTAGGAGAGAGGCAGGGATCATGTCATGATGGACCTGGCAGGCTAAGCTAAGGAATGTGGCTATAATAAAATAAGTCAGGAGGGGCCACAGTTTTTTTCTGCTTAAATGACAACTTGTCCCATATTTTCTCTGTACAAGAGCATTCAATTCCCTGCAATCATTGACATACATTTGTTTCCATGGCTATAATTAATAGACTGTGGCTCACCAGAAAGTGTACATAAAGGGATCTAGACATGAAGTTACTTTTCACATTTACTAAGAGCGATGACCATCATAAGGGGCTATGTAGTGCCCTTAAGCAATGTCTCTAAGATGTCAACCTAATGACCTTACCATTTAACTACATCAGGTGCCAGTACATAATAGATACAAACATGCATACTTAACCTGCACTAACAGATTCTTCAAACTAACTGATGGCCAACTTCAGTGGTAGAATTGAGACTGTAAATTATACTAGGTAAAACAATGAATTTCTATCCTGAAGAATTAGGCATTATATATTACAGAAGGTGGCCTTTTTCAGCACCTGGAAGCACATTTTCATTAGGCTACTTCCTCACTCACTCCCAAGGAAACAGAAAACTGTAGTTAACTTTTAGAATAACTTAACTGTAAAAATCCTTAGGGTAAGAGGAAAATTCCAATAGTAATTGGCATCATAATTACCTAAGATATCTATACATTAAGTCAGGATCTGAGATTAGCAGAATAAATTAAAAGGAAATGGAAGTTCATTCCAAGTTATGTCTTATATTCTGAGTTATTTTACTCTTAATTGGGGAAGCCATTGCCTTCTGTACCACATGGCATTCCAATTAATCTTCTGGTAGTGTGTAAGTAATGTGCATGTTAGTTCCACTTATGGGATGATAATATATCATAAACAGCTAAAATTGTCTAGAAATAAGGCAAGCAGCTTCATTTCATGACCTTTTAATTTCTGTCAAGCTAAAATATCCTACAGGGAATTAATTCATTTCCACATCTGGAAAATGCTGAGTACACGTACCAGTTAATTTTTGTGGCGAAGAAACTTATTGAGATGTAAAATTGTGAGTGTGTGGGAGGGTATACTATGTTATTTCAGTGTTTGGGAACCCCCCCATTAATCTCCAATCCCCAGAAAGGTTTTCCTCCTCTTTGTTTCAGGAGCTCTTTCAAGCCCAAAGCATGTACTACTAGCTATTGTTAGGACAACCACACATCTCACTTTTCCCGGGACATTACAACAGTGCTGTTGATGACAGTTTTACCTCCCCACTCCCCTACCAGGTTTTCCTGGGAACATATCCTAAGAAAATGCTTTAATACAAATCAGGGTCTCTTTCTGAGGAGCCTAATCTAAGACAGACAGCTATATGTGTTGCATTCTCAGGATTGCTAATAGCTCCTCCCCGAAAAGGCCCTGATTTAAAAAGCTATTTATTCAGGCATTCAAGCTACTACAAAAAGATAACTTTTTGAGGACATTATTCTATGTTCCCAAAAAAGATATGGAAAATGATAAACAAGTGGGTATGGTGTGGGAAACCTAACATGATGATGGACAAGAGATTTTCCAACCAGTGGGCCTGATCTAAGGTCTGTGGTTTCCAAGACAAGTACGATAATGTGCAGGGTCCTTGCAATACCCTGGAGGGGATGGAGGACATTGGTTATTTACTGTGACTAAAGGCTTGATGCTAGCTGTCAGGGTTTCTGTTCTTATAAAAATCTTCTATTCACGGAAACAGCAGAGACCAACCTGACTGTATAGGCTATGCCAGTTTGGACAACGTTCCTATCAGCAAACAGCCAGTACTAAAGCATGAAGCTATTGGAGACTGGGCTTCATATGGCCCCGAGCTGTGTATGTCTCAGCCCTAATAATGATCAACATTAAATTTTCCATTAACACCAATGGATGGAAATAAGTCACATTTAATTAAATTTAAATAACATAAAGTAACATGAGCTTTTTCTGAATATCCAAGCTTGTGGCTACAGATTTATAACATCACATTTTACAGAATTGTATAATAAAGCTAATAATTATTAAATTTCTCTTTAAGTTTTAGTTATAACTTCTTAAGAACCCAGAATGACCACCAAATAATTTTTGTATTTATTTGAAGCTTGTGAAATGAATCTAATTTCTAGTCTTAAAATGTGAATAATATTCAGGATCATTTTGATGTTAACTTCCAGTGATCTCAAAATAATATCCATGAAAGTGAGCCAAATATTTCAGGAGCATAAATGCATAGACAGAATGTGATTAGATTTGTAGGATTTCAAATTGAGTATTAACAATTAAATTACAATCACCATGCTATCATGCATTCATAGATCAAAAAAATTACATATAGGGCTGAAGTAAAATATTAGATTCACCTTTATTTAATGGAGATATAAATTAAGTCATATGAACAGGATGATATTAAACATACAAAACGAAAGAGTATATTTTCTATTGTGTTAAAAACTGAGCTGTTAATCAATTTCCTTGGCTGAATTAGCATAACAAGACCCCAACTTTTAAATGCACTTAATTTTTTATTATTAATACTCCTTCAGTGAAGAAATAAAATTGAGAAATTAGAAGACATGATGAATAGCCTTTATTCTAAGGTCAGATATCATATACTCAAAGCTAATAGAAAATATCATTCTAAGCCATAGCAAATGAGCCCTACCAACATAACAAAGTGCTGATATCAGCCTGGAAACCATCTTGAATGTCAAGGGATATGGTCTTCATTTGTGGTGTTTGATTGTTCATATAAATATTTAATGGGAATATTATTAGACTATTCAGTTGAGTGAAATAAACTGATGGTACAAGCAGCTAAAGAAGCTTACTTAATATTCACTAAATGAAGTGGCATAATAACTCATTTTGCATATTATATAAGTCTTTTGAGATATTTTATACTTTCAAACTTTTTAGCACTGTTTAAAAGGTGTCATTACTGCCATAATGATGAGTTTTTAATGTATTTTTATGGTTAATGAACATATAGCACACATTTTATAGGAAAAATGAAGACTGTCATCCACATTATACCTGGTGGAAATAAGGTACCTCTAATTCTGAAGGTTGGCTTACCTTTAATATAGCTTCATCGAATCTTACCATAAATGTTAACATTATACTACATAAAATCTCTCAGTGAACTTCTCAAGAGTAGAACTGAAATGATCAAACAGATAAGGTAGAAAGCTTTATAACTACATGTAAGCTTCGAATTTTTAGAAAAATTTAGTCAACTATTCAAGTCAAGTATATTTTAAACATTATTTTAGCATTTAATCTGAAGAAAAATTTGGAAAAACAGATTTTATAGAACTGTTAGGGGTTAATATATTTACATATAATATTACTCAAATTGTCTCTATAAATGCTGCATACGTTAGTTGTTTTAAAACATTATTTAAGGATCATGTGGCTCTATGAAGAATAATAAAATATGTAGAAAATATACAAAAAATTATACTCTATCTTTTAAAGGTATGATTTTATGGATGATTTTTGTTGTTAACTTGCTTTTGTTTTTGTTTTGTTGTTTTTGTTGTTGTTTTACTTTATCTCTTAATTTTACCTACTTGAAAAAAATTATTCAACCTTAGGGCAATGGCAATCTAGGAAATTAGACCAACCTTGAGACTGAAATAAAAATTCGTTAAAACTCAGCTTGAAGTCAGCACAGAGCTACCAAAGCAGTGAAGAATCATGGGGTAAAGACCTGGGAAATGAATAAAATCCAGGGAGGTGAGCCTCATACTTGGGGTTGCTGATTTCTGTAGGTAAATCTCAAAAAGACTGAGAATATGAGCAGAGTTTAGACAACCTCACAAGACTTGGGAAAAAAAGTTGGTGTTCAGGGAGCATTAAAGAGAGAGGAGACTGGTGCATACCCCTGTCTCTGGATAAAAGGAAATTTTGAAGAGACTGACATTTCAAAATATTTTAGTTGTGGATCTCCTCAATAACAAAATTAGATCAAGGTGCTATGAATTGCATGTGGCCCTGACCATTTGCTACTAGAAAGTATAAATATTCTTTGTGGGACTATAATATCATCTTAGACTTCAATTTATTTCATGAAGTCCAAAAGAACTAGTCATATGAGGTAGCAAAATTTAAAAAGTAAAAACAAAGTTAGAAGCAGAAGACAAGAATAAGAGGAAGAGGAGGAAGAGGAAGAAGGAGAAGAACAAAGAGGGAAGAAAGACTATAAAAAAGGGATCCACATGGAATCCATTTAATGGAGTTATCAGACACAAATTATACAACCACGTTTCTTCATATAGTCAAGGATATAAAGCATGAAATTAGAACCTTAAAAGAGAATATATAAGAATTACATATTAACATATGTCTGTATTAATAAAAGATATTAAAATTTAAATGGAAACTGTAGAACTAAAAAATAAAACAACTAAAATTAATAGCGAAATAGAGCAATATAACTCTATATTAGATACAATTGAAGAAAGTGTAGTAAATTGGGAGGAGAATCAGAAGAATATATCCAGAAGAAAGCCCAGAGACACAAAATGATGGACTTCACAGAAGAAAAAGTGAGAAACATAGGAGCCATAGTTGTGAGCTAAGGTATATGCAAATAGAAACACAAAAGTAGAAGGGAGAGGTTAGCCAATAAAACTGCTTATAAACCTGACACAGCAAAATAAGAAAAAATAATAAATCTATCTAATCTTATTTTTAAATTATTAAATATATGTTTTAAATTTTTTCAACAAATAAAATTACATTTTCTAGTTGTTTTCATCAGTTTCCACCAAATGGTTAAGACAAAAAATAACACTCCCATGATACGACAGAGAGATCTTTTCATATTTTATGAGAAAAAGATAATCTGAACCTAAACCCAAAATGACATTAAAAGCAAGGTGCTGCAGAAAAATTTCACATTAGGCATAGATTTTTAAAATATCAGCAAATTAAAGCCATGCCAGATTTAGTAATAGATAAAAATTATGATATATCATGATCAAATTTGGTTCATTTACGGATATGCAAGGTTTTTTTAACCTTTGATAATCAACCAATTAAATCATTCATTTTAACAAAATAAAGAACAAATGTCACCAATTTAATCTACTAAATTGAAAGAGAAAATATATTTTATAACATTAAACATATTCATGATTTAAAAAATTAAACTTCTAACAAATTATGAATAGATGAAACTTCATTAATTTGATAATGGGTAGGCACAGAAACCGTAGAAGAAACATACTGCATGTAGAAGTGAACTATTGAATACTTTCTCTCAGAGATTAAAACCAAAAGAAAGGTGTCCCCCATCAACATATCTATTAAGCATCATGCCTGAAATCATAGCAAATGCAATAAGGCAACAACAACCACAAAAACGTAAAATTAGCGTGGTATGGTGGCGTGTGCCCATAGTTTCAGCTATTCTGCAGGTTGAGGCAGGAGGATTGCTTGGGCACAGAAGCCAGGAGTGGGAGGGTACAGTGAGCTATGATCATGCCATTGCACTCTAGCTTGCTTGACAGAGCAAGACCCTGTCTTTAAAATTAGATAAATAAATAAATACATGTAAAAGAGTGGAAAAGAAAAAAGAATGTGCAAATAACTGTTTTAGAATTAATATGCAAATTTTGCAAAGTTGTTGGATACAATGTAAAAAGGTTGAAAGAAAAGTATATGTGTGTATATATGGGCTATGCAATACCATCAAAATATTTCAAATACTTTAGAATAAATTCAGTGAAAGAATGCCACACAGAGCATTAGAAAACGTTAAGGCAGACTTAAGATCTAAATAAATGAAAGTATACACCTGGTCCAAGAATGGAGAGATTAATTTACTTATTTGTTTATTTACTTTTAGTTTAAAGCTTTTTTTTAATGTTTTATTATTTTTTAACTTTTATTTTAAGTTCAGCAGTACATGTGTAGGTTTGTTACATAGGTAAACTTGTGTCATGGTGGTTTGTAGAAGATGTTATTTCTCCCCAAATATATTGGTATACTCAATATAAAATTAAATATAAAGAAGTATGAATCTCAGCAAAAATACTAGCAGATTTTTATTTCAACATTGGTAAACTGCTGTGGATTTGGAAATGCCAGGGACATGTTCAACCAAGACACCCTTGAAAAAGTGGAATAAGATGATAGGACTTGTCCTATCAGAGATACGGACTTAATATAAAGCAACAATAAATTGAGAGTAGGTATTGACTAGGATGAATAAATACATCAATACAACAGACCAGATATATCAGATCAGCCTCATGAATATCTATAATTTTATATGTGACAAGAATGACACTATAGTAAGGGAAGATTGTTATTTCAAAATGGGACAGTGCTAATTGGGTAATTATTTGTATGCAAAAAAAGACCTTAACTTTTACTCATATCATATATAAAGTAACAATGGCTGGTGCATTGTAGCTCTAAATATGGAAGGCAAAACATGAAAAATTTTAGAAAACATTGAAGAACATCTCTATGACATTGAGTAGAGAAATATTTTGAACAGGACTCCCAAAAGTATTAACATTAAAAAATTGATGAATCATACTACATTATAATTATGTATCAAAACATAGTGTTAAGACAAAAGACAGAATGAGGGAAAATTTTGTGATCCTTATGATCTAGAAAAGGCTTATATCTAGAGTATGAAAAAAACTACAAACCAACAAGAGTAAGACAGAATCCGAAAGAAAAGAGGCAAGAGACTTAGGCACTTTACACAACAGAATCTCAAAATGGCTAAAAATGGAAAGAATAGAAAAGAAAATGTGTACAACTTCACTAGTCATTTGGGAATTCAAACAAAAACCACTACAGTATATCATGACACACCCTACAGAATGGCTATACAGATTGATAATACCAAGTTTTTACAAGAATCTGAAGCAACAGGATTTCTTGTTCACTGCTCTTAGAACTAAAATTTAGTATGCACTTTGGAAAACCATTTTGTACTATTTACTGAATTTGAAAGTAGATAGTTTATATGAGTTTGAAATTCCATACCTGTCTAGCATATACAGGTGCACCGGTGCAGAAAGACATGTTGAAAATGTTCACAGCAGCCTTATTTTTAATTGCTATGAACTGGAAATAACACAAATGGCCATCAAGAATGGAATAAATGGCTGTGATATAATTGTTCAATGAAACCATATATGACAATGAAAATAATCAAACTTCAGCTACATATACAACATAAACATGATACTGATTAAAAGATGCCAGACACAAAATAAAAACATTTTGTATGTTACAAAGGCATTAATTCAGAGGACCAAACATACATACAACTGACCCTTGAACAGCAAGAGGGTTAGAGGTGTCTACCCCTATGTAGTCAAAAATACATGTATAACTGTTGACTTCCCAAAAACTTAACTACTAGTAGCCTACTTTTGACTAGAGGTCTTACCAATAACATAAACAGTTGATTAACACATAATTTGTATGTTAAATGTATTACATACTGTATTTTTGCAATGCATTGAGCCAGGCAAAATAAAATGTTATTAAGACAATTATAAGGAAGGGAAAATACATCTACTGTAACTACTGTACTTCATTTAATGATACCATAATTTTGTGCTATCTGTTTTCAAGATGAATAGTCTGAAGTGGTGAGAAATGGCAGCTGCAGACCTCATTCTATGGTACATATCAAGTAATCAAGCCTTTTCTTGTAATGTCATGACTTTTCTCTGCTCCTTGGGGGCACTTCCAGCATCACTAGTGGCACCTCCTGTGGTTTCCATGGTGTTATTCAAGGTTTATGGTATTGCACTAAACATGATGAAAAAATACACGAGAAGCACAAGAGATGTTTTACTGAGATACGCAATTTCCTGGAGAGATGAGCCACTTATGCAGAGATAATTAACATCACAAAAGTGTTTTAAGTAGACACTCTCAACACTTGACTCCACCACAATAGCTACAAGAGGGGACTACAAAATTATTACAGTAGTTGAGTGTGTACTACACTTAATTTTATGCCAGTTATGATTTAATACTGCGTCTTTACATTTGTTTACATTTCTCTCAACTGCAATTGGTGCCATGTACAGTCTGTGTTTGTGTGGGTAAGTTTTGAAGAACTTTAACTTTTTATAATAGATTTGTGTATATTTTATGGTAGTAAATGCTAAAACAGACTAGTGTCTCTGTATATTTTATGTATTTATGGCATACATACATTTTTCTTAATTTTTGATATTTCTAGACTACACAGTTTGTCTGCAAGTTTTTTCGAATTGTCACAAATTTCAAACAAAAGTGTTCCGACATATATATCGAAAAAAAAATCCATGTATAAAGGGACAAGTGCAGTTGAAAGCCATGTTGTTCAATATGTTTAGGGTAAAACTGTTTTCCAACATATGCATTCTTTTACTAGAATTTGTAACACTAAGCAAAATGCACTGCATATAACATGCTAAAGAAAGTCTTGCTATTGGATAAATCCATTCGTTGGATAAATGTTTTAGTGAGTGATTTCTATTATTCCAATTGGATAGGATCTGTTATGTAACTCAAAATCATCCCTCCTAAGCAGTTTTGCATTTAGGTTACATATGGTTAAACCAAGGGGAATAGAAAGGGTACAGAACAAAACAGAAAAGATCATGTTACAAACTGTATGACATTATTGATCTCTTATAATAATCACTTGGAATGAGTTTCTACCTACCAGGCCAGCTCAAAATTTTCATTTGGTTAGGGAAGGTAAACTGTTTTTCTTAGAACTGAAATCACTTGTCAGAAAAGGAGACTACAAAACGTGATGTGGACACAAGTACCAGTGACAGGTTTGATGGGACGTACCTAGAAGCTGTGTTTCCAGGCTCTGATAATTTAGTTCCACTGAACTATAACATTAAGCTTAATTCTCCCTCATAAAATACAGCAATTACAGGTGTAAATCAGACCCCTATTCAGTATCAGTGTTCTGTGGCAGTGGGGAATATTTAAGAGACACTGCTACTTCCTTTCTTCCTGATTTTGAGAAGTCGAGTAGAACCTTTAGAAAGACATTCCAACTTTTTTCTCTCCAAGTCAAACTTTTTAGCTGAATATTACTCTAGCGTATTTCTGTAATACTAACTAACATATGGCCAAGTGTAAATCTCCTGAGGTAATGAGTCTATTTCCTCTTGCTACAGAGAAGATTGAAACCAAAATGCTAAAGAAAATCAATATACTGAAATCCGAGTAAGTAACTCATAATGTGTTTCTTAGAATGTCAAAACTGGAACAAGACACTGAACCTCTCTGCTTAAACTTAAAAACAATAATTCTGTAATACAGAATAGGATCCATGTGGATAAGTGAACATATGTATTTCTTAAAAGGGAAAACTGAGACTAGCCTATGATGTAAATCTAATATTTGAACATTAATTTTAACATGAAAGGTATTTTTAGTGAGACTAAATATCTTGTGACTAGATGTCATTCCACAGAACTCACAGATAAAATCCTAAATATACAGCATCATCATATTGCTCTTTATTTCCACTGGGAAAATAAACTTAAGCTATAGTAGCAGAAACCCAGTCACATATATTGAGGACTACCTTAATAGCAAAGGTCACTGGATTCAAGAATGGACTTATTTGGAGTAGAATTTGGATTCTGCTACTGTGTAGTTATTGAATAATAAGACTCACCTGTCTAGCATGACTTTTATGCATTTTCAGCTGAAGCCAAAAGAATGAATCAGATACACTTTCAAGGATCTTTGCTATCATATAATTCTTCAAGATTGATTCAATATATTTTAAGAAGCGTAATTCAAAGATCAGAAGGCAGGGACATACATAGTATTGTTGTGAATACAAATCACTTCTGTAATATTTACAGATGTGGATAGATGGTGGATATTGAGCTTTTTGCTATCTTATCATTTGTCAATTTTTCATGAGAAAACTATAAAATTCCCAATATAGTAAGCTTTCTGATGGTTGTATTTTATTATGTGAAACCAAGTTTAATATAATGAGGAAAGCATTTTTGATGAGTTTTATTTGGAACCAGCACATTTTTGTAATAACATGAAATCCCATTTCTTTTGTAGACAAATGTATACCATATATTGTTGGTACCAAAATACTGTTAATTTGATTTTTTTAAACTGTTTTCAGTTACTCCAGATCTTATCAGAAGAAAAATTAATGAAAATCAAACCCTCTAAAAAGGCTTTGTGTGGTTGAGATTAAATTATATCATACTCTTTCCAAAGCTTGATGTTTGTATACTAAATGTTATCACCACACAATTGTGGTTTTATCACCATATCTTTCTGTGCCCAATTTATTAGCAGCAAAAAGAAAGGAATTTTAAAATCTACATTTTGATGCATTATATTACATTTTCTATAGTTTTCACATATCTGTGTATTTGCCTTAAATTATCCTTTTTATGATACATGGCATTTCCTTTTTATTTCCTTTGAGTAAACATCATAAAAAGAATGATGAGAATACACAACATCAGAATATCAATGTTTAGAATAAAACATCAATTTAAGAAGTACTGGTAATTTTCTTTATAGAATAAATTCAAACTTGTCTTTGTCTTTAGTAATAAAAGTTTGGAGTATCCCTTTGTGTCAAAAATAGATCATTTAGGGCAATCGGATGATGAGGTGTTTATTGCACCAACAAAAATCACATCAGACACGTTGGATGAAGAAATTCACACAGGCTGTGATCAGTTAGGAATGAAGGCAGTTATCACACTGCTTATTTTTTACCACTTTTGTTCACCTCAAATTTCACCATTATGCTACTGTATAGAGAGCTGAATTATTTTAGCCATATCCTCTCCTCTGGTGTATATGTCTGTAATTTGAAGTCATTTCCAGTAGATGGCAAAATAGGTATCGTATCCAAGTATACAGTTCTATCATAGCAGACATAACTCCTATGATAATGGATACCATAGGAGATCATAAGCAGTGGCATTTTTAGAGCATATTAAAGAATACTGTTTATTTTTAAATACACTATGTAACTCAATTGGGAAAAGGAGGCTGACATGTACTGAAGATAATTTGGCAAGCATAATTTTAACAATAACAAAATACTCTGAAATCTATTTCTATACCAGGCCCCACAAACATTTTCAATATTTGTCACTAGGATATATAATGTGTCATAGTTGAAGACTTTCCAGGTCATCTAATTTCACAGATTTCAATCTAGCTTGTTACCTCTGCGTATGGAGTTCCTACTTCTGATCTACCCTGGCCCTTTGGAATTTGATGCATGTCCCAGCAGCCAAGACACTCCAGCCACACCTGCAGTAGCTTCATATCCTCTCTACACCCTTCTCCTACTATTTTTGAGATCCTGGCATACACGTTATCTGCATTCTTCTGACCCTCTCTTTACATTTCTACATTAATTTTGCTTTTTCTAGGCTTGATCGTTGCATTCTCTAAGGATGCAGGCTGGGCACAACCCTATTTTCTCTCTTAGCTCCTCAGGTGGGATATCCAGCTCCCACATTCTCTTGACCTGTCACTGACCCCCTGGCAGAGTCTATTCCACATCTTATAAGAACAAAGTCTTCAATTCTTAGCTGCCTAAAACATAATACAGCTAACAAATCGTGACTTATTTTTATTTCTGGCAGAGTCCTTAGAAGACACTTTTGCTCCTTAAAGAGTTGACTGAGCACTTGCCATGTGAACATAGTCAAATATAAATGACCCTCGATATTTCAAATGTCTGGAGAAATCTGCCAATGGATTGCTGTTCCCACTTAAACATTTCTGATTTTAAATTCTGGGAAGTACCTACAGACTAGAAAGCTGAGAAAAGAGATAGCTTTGTTTTTTCAATGAAGCATTTCGTTGTTCAACTTTAATTAAAACAGATGTCTTATGTGAAGATTCTTTTATTTACATAGAATACACTGCTGAAACACACGCTTTCACTCTCTGAAAAGCCTTTACTGACCAGGAAAATGAGGCCAGGCTAACTCATCTTCATTTAACTACTTTGAAATTTCAAACATTTCAATTTCGAGTGCTCTTCACAGCATCTTTCATGCTAAGCTCTACGTATGGTTCTGCACAATGCCAAGCGAATTACCACAGAAGGAGTGAGAATGACAATTGACCAATCCTTGATTTTTATTCTTGAATCTGTCAAGACTCCTCAGTGGGAAGTGGGTTAATGTTTGCAGAAGGCTCTCAATATAAATCTCAGAGGCTATAGGGCTAAACTTGAGTGCCCATCTTATGAATCCCTTTAACAGCTATGTAACGTTCTGCCCTATACAGTCTTTATTTTCAGATTTAAAATCTGAAAATTCCTAGAGTTATATTCTCAAGCCTGAGCGTGTGTGATGATTTGCCGATTTTGTGAAACTTACTTTACTCACTTCTTTTCTCTCATCTGATAGGTTGATGACTTTTTTACTCTGAAGAATCCCTCTACTTGTATCTTAAGTAGATAATAAGGAAAGTCACTTCCCCTCCTCGCTTTTTGTTTTTAGGTTTTCTTTCTTTTATTCAACGTCTCATTAGTTTCTCTTTCTATCAGGGCTATTTCTTCTGACTAAGGTATTTGAAAGAGGTACTTTTTTTCCTCTTTTTTTTCTGGCTCCCACCATGCCAGGATGCCACCAACTGCAATGCAAAAGCTATAAGGAGTAAGTTTCCCTATTTTGTTTCCTTTTAAACATGTAGTGCAGTGTTTTACATAAAACGAGTCACAGCATTTTTTTTTCAAAGACTGATTGATTGACCTACCTTTTCAATATGAGGTGATGTAGCAGCCTCATAAAATGTTGATATTCATTTCCCATGTCACTTTTCTGACAGAACATGGGTTACACAGGGCATTTCCTGTACTTTAATTGAAAACTGGCATTGTAGATCTTCCTCAGAAGATTGTAAGTATGCATAAATTCATACATCCTTGGTAAGAATTCTCTCTTGCTGGCTAAAGTTGAAGAGAATGATTTCCATTTCTATAGGAAAAAATAAAACAGAAAAAGCATTGCATGCAACATAGTGAATGCTTAGTAAATAATAAACATCAACAATAATCATTTATTTTGAACAAATACTTTCAATTTTACAATGTTAATGGTAAAAAAATTAGCTGAGATTTTTCAAAATATTCAATATCAAATTGTATTTAGAAAGAAAATTTCCACTCACAACTACTAAAAATACATGAGAAAATGGTAAGTAGATGATTCCAAATATTACCAACCATGATGATAATCACAATGACAAACCTAATAGAAATAAAGTTATATACCACTTGGATGATGATGACTAAAGTTTCTCTAGAGATCATTTCTTTCTTCACAGAAGCAATACATGTTTATAGACAAAGAAAATTCATGATTCTACTATCCTTGTAAAAATATGAATTAGTAATTTTAAATTATTAAAGTTACCACTTTTCTAAGATTTTTTACCTCAGAATTGGAAATTATCAAAATTCAAAACTTAATTCAATTTAAAAAGAAATGTAAAACTTTCCCTGATATTTAACTAAAGTGACTAATTTTTTTTATTATACTTTAAGTTCTAGGGTACATGTGCACAATGTGCAGGTTTGTTACATACGTATACAGGCACCATGTTGGTGTGCTGCACCCATTAACTCGTCGTTTACATTAGGTATATCTCCTAACGCTATCCCTCCCTCCTCCCCCCACCCCAAAACAGGCCATGGTGTGAGATGTTCCCCTTCCTGTGTCCAAGTGTTCACATTGTTCAATTCCCACCTATGAGTGAGAGCATGCGGTGTTTGTTTTTTTGTAAAGTGACTAATATTTAATATTAGATAGTTTAGGTATTTTTACATAAAATAAGCAGTTTTGACTAGAATAATTTAGTTCTCAGGTTAACTAGAGATGTGGTTTATAGGGAGTCCTGTAAAAATATATTTTGCAAGATATATATGGTAACACTCTACTTTTTCAACAAACTCAACCCTATAAGTTTAGAACTGTAAAGGCTACTTCTTATATAAAAGTATGTAAAACTAAATCCTAGTGTTGCCTTTATTTAAAATCTATTTATACCTACTACATTAAAAATTATTTATTTTATGTCCAAGATGATAGTTGACTGTAACCTCTTGTTTTCTCCTCAGGTTCCCTTCACCAGCAAGGAGAATGTTCAATGCTAAAGACTTAGAGGCTCCTCTTTGACTGAAGAAATTTACCTCAGCTAAATAGGAGCAAACTTGTCTGCTCTATTCCAACATTCCCACCTCTACTGCACAGAACAGTCATTCCAGAATGACATGAGGGCACATAAGCCTAGAGCATTTGCTTCAAGGTGCAGAACAACTCTATGGTTTAGTCCATGTTCTAGTACTTCTCATAGGACCAGGCTGAAGTTAGTTTTCAGCAAAACTGCATTCTTGCTTGGCTTTTTCCCTTTTCTAGCCTGCTATGCCCATGTCTTCTCCTGAGAGTCCTCCCTTGATATATCACTTTAACAGAATCCTCAACTCAGCCTCTCCTTCTAGAGAATCAGGCCTATGAAAAAGTCCCAAAAGTTTAGAATCAGAAAATTGGAAGATTATGGAATGCTAAATATAGTCAAAATTTAAAACAAAGGCATGGAAGATGACAGTTTGAAAAAATACAATTCGAGAGAAGACTCAGGACTTGTCTTTCAGCCTTGATAGATTAACTGGTATCAAACTTATCTTCATACTCCAGGCATTTGACAATAGACAAGAGAGATCGGTGATTCTCCAGAGTAAAACACGAATTATGCCTTGTGTTCCTATTGGCTTTCTCCCTGGGGAACTCTGACAGTATAGCACGGAGGTAGTGCCCAAAAGTCTGAAGCATCTGAGGTGACTGCAGAGTGGGGTACATGAGGAAGGGCTGCTGAGCGAAAGAAGGCATTTGAGACCTGTGAGGAGTCTCTCAGGTGTTTGGTCCAGGGCTGGCCTGTACACTCAGAGAACAAACCTCAGCAAGCTCTAACAAGCTGCAAGTAGCTCAGATATACAAGAGGTTTGTTTAAGGTTAAAAGATGTGGAGAGAATTGCTGAGTATCTCAGGCATCCAGCTGAGAAACCATACAAATTACACCTTAAGAGTAATGACTATGCACCAGAATTAGGGTCATGATCTAGGGCTAAGGATGAACCAAAATACACTCCTCCTAACAAAGCATATAGCCAAGTCTTTGACAAAATCAAGAGAATCCCCAAATAATTAAGCTGCCTGCCATAACTAAACAAAATAACCTTTAAAGGAAGACAACATAACCAAGCCTCTATAAAATGTACAATTTCCAGCATACAAGTAAAAAGTATTAGACATGAAAAAAGAATGTGACAAGTAATCTATAGAAAGAACAGTCAGTAAAAACCAACAACAAAATTATTCAGATGATAAAATTAGCACAAGGACTTTAAAACAGCCATTACAAACATGTAAGAGATATGGTGGAAAATATAGACATAATGTGCGAAAAGCTGAGGATTCTTAGCAGAGAAATAGAAAAAACAAGATACCACATGGAAATTATAGAACTGAAAACTACCTTATCATAATTTAGAAAAATGACTACATTATATAAATAGTAAATTGGACATGCCAGAAGTAAAGGTCAGTGAACTTGAAGATAGATTAATAGAAATTACCCAAGCTGAAGAACAAAGAGAAGACTGAAAGAAAAATGGACTGTTGTTTGGTTTCCTGTGAGACTATACCAAGCAATCTAAATCCAGAAATAAAGAAAAGATAGAATAAGTCAGAAAAAATTGAAAAATAATGGTGAAAATTTTCCACATTTGATTAAAAACATTAACCTTCAGAATTAAGAGATTTAGAAAAAATACATGCCAGGTAAAAACAAACGCACTGAAAACCAAATATAAGAAGACAAGTTTAAGAGCAGCCATAGGAGGAAAATAAGACAAATTATATATAGTAGTATTATAAAAACAAATGATGGCTGATTTCTCATCAGAAAGAAAAAATGGATGCTATATTTAAAGTACTAAAAGTGAAAAAAAAGGCTTAGTCCAAAATTCTATATCCAGTAAAAATTACCTTAAGGAAAATGCTTGAAATTTTCAGCTAAGTTGAAAAGAGAGTTTGTTGGGAGAACAACTATACAACATGATATGCTAAATGAAGTTAAGTTGTAGAGAAATAATACTTGGTAGAAATTCAGATCTACTGGTAAAATAAATAGCAGAGGTTATAAATACGTTAGCAAACTAACAAAACTTTTATCCCTGTTCTTAAATTATGCAAGTAGTAATTGACTGAATGAAGTAAAAAAGAGCTGTATTATACCATATTGTTTCTATAGAGTGAAATGTTCACTTCCCATCATGTCTTGCTTCATATGTTGAAGCTCTACCCCCCAAAGTGATGGTGTTTATAGATGGAGAGGTAATTAGGATTAGGTAAGGTAGAATCGGAGGCCTTATAACAAGAGAAAGAGACATCAAATAGCTTGTTCCCTCTCTCTCCATTATGTGAGGAGACAGTGAGAAGACAGCCATCTACAAGCCAGAAAGAGCCCTTAACAGAACCTAGACATGATGGAACTATGATCTTGAACTTCCCGGACTTCAGGACTTTGAGAATAGATTTCTGTTGTTTAAGCAACCAAGTCTATGCTATTTTGTTATTGTAGCCTGAGCAGATTAGTACAGTTGTATATACAGGTTGAGTATCCCTTATCCAAAATGCTTCAAATTTCTGATTCTGTCAGATTTTAGAACATTTGCAAATACATAATAAGGTCTTGAAAACAGGGCCAAAATCTAAGCACAAAATTCATCTGGGTTTCATATATACCTTACACACCTAGCCTACAGGCAATTTTATGTAATATTTTGAATGATTTTTTTCATGAAATAAAGTTTGTGTTAAAGTACTGATGTGTGGAATTTTCCATTTATGATGTTATGTCAGCTCTCAAAAAGTTTTAGCTTTTGAAGCATTTTGAATTGCAGATTTTCAGATTGGGGTTGCTCAACCTGTATTATACTACATGATTTATGACATATGTATGGGTAAATTGTGTGATAGTAATATCAAAAAATATGGGAACTTAATGGAGATAATAGTTTAAGGTTTTTATATCTTACATGGAATAATATGTGAGAATTAAATTATGATAAGTAATTACTAGGTCTGCCATTATAAAAATCCAATAGTGAAAATATAATAAAAAATATTCAAAAAGCAACAACAAAGCAAAAAGCAATGAGCAAGAAACAGATGGGACAAATGGAAAATAGTGAATGGTAGATTAAAACATAATCATGTCAATACTTGCATGAAATATATATATATACATATATAAATTAATACTAAAAATAAAAGAATGTAAGAAGCATTTCAATTCACAGGAATATAAAATAACAGCATATACAAGTAAATCATAGCCTTAAATATAACTAGTAAAAATTAAATTAAAATCATAACTTTACGCAAAGTAAAAAATAAAAACAAGGAATAGAAGCATTTGTAACTGTCAATGGAGATTTTAGCTTATTTTCCTCAATAAGTGATAGAACAAACAAACAAGACAAAAGTATTAATGAGTGTATATTGGACCACAACTAATAAAATACACAATTTGCAAGCAGAGAGTACTTTATCTAACAATTTCAGAATATTCATTACTCAATTTTCTTACTAAAAATGCACATAGGACACACATAAATAGAAGTTTGAGGAGAGAGGAAAGTTATGAATAAGTCTAGAAAGTGAAGGAATGGTTGAATTAGGGAAACATGATCCTTTGCCAGGTAGCATTAGGGTTTATAGTGTCTCACGTGTTTATCGTGTCCAATCACATATCAATTTATTTAATACCAATATATGAGTATCTCTAAAGATGTAAAGTCAGGAAATTTAAAAAAATATATTTCAGAGAATCTAAGATGGCATTAGTTGTAAGATGTATCAATTGTATGTACTGCTAAGAAAAAATAGCTGCCAATTAAATTGTGACACGATACTTTTTTATGCAATGAATTTTAAGCAATATTGACTTACAGGTATTAAAATGTGGGGCAAAAAGGCATGTTTTTGATTGATGAAGTACAGTATGAGAGGATCTAATAGAATAAGCATTGTAGAAAAAGATATTAATACCTGTTTTGTGATACTGGTAACAAGAAGCAATACTCAGAAAAGATATATGCTACAGGAAAGTACTCCAATATTAGAGGTAGAGTGAGTTAGTCCAATAACAGATTTAGTTTGAGCAACAATGAATGGACATTGATTCTCAGTTTTTTTGGAATGGGGGTGTATTTTAAGGAGGCAGATGTACAAAAATTTAGAGCATGAACTCTAAAGTTTGAATTGTACCACTTGCTATGTGATTTTGAACAATTTAAATCTGTGTTTCAGTTTTCTTTCTGTGAGCCTTGGCTTAGAAACAACTACTTTAGAAACTTCTCTTGAGGATGACAAGAGAGACTATATGCTTACTATGTAATTTATCAAAACTTTATATCTAGTAAATAATCAGTAAAAATAGTATGACTGTATCTCTCCCTAATAAAAGTATGCAAAAAGATCTGTTAGGTGGTTGTTGCAGAAGAAAGAAGAAGTGATAGCAATATTCCCTACCCAACCCCTAAAATTTGGTTCTTTTCCAGGGTTTCTTGTTTCATTGAATGGTTCCATCATCATCCACTAATACGAGGCAGACATCTGAGAACTATCTTCGGCACTTCTACCTCATTCCTCATCTGCCCCTTATTCTATCTAAATCAGAGTCCTATGTCTTTTTCTCCTTAATAAATTTCAAATGTATCCACTTACCTGAATCTTTACCACCCCAACTCTAGACCAAACTATTAACCATTATTGTAATCTCTTACTTAGCTTAATTCAAAGTCCTCTTCATTGTCTACCATAGGTAATTCTTACCCTGTCATCTCCATTGACAGCTTCTATTCTCTTATCAAACTTTTCAACTATTACCATTGCATATAGGACAAAATATAATTCCTTCAATATTCTTTGCAATCTGGCCCAAATCTATCATTGGTTGTGGTAATTAACTAGGAAGGGGAAAAAAGTACATTCATTAAATCAAATTATATTTAAAATTTAGACCAATTCTCTGTTACTGAACTGGCAAAAGGAGGCCATTTTGTGTTTGTGGTGAACATGCACTACATTATTACAAGGATGAAATTCTTTATTAGGATTAGGAAAATTATACTAGAACATTGAAATGAGCAGCATATCAGGTGGTGTGGGGCTCTAGAAACAGGAAATCAGGGACAGGATGAAAGGAGACCTTGAGCAGTCACCTTGAGGTGAGTCTCACATTGGCATAGGCTGAACTCTGTGCATGGAAAGCACAGGGAAAGTTTGGATGCTGCAGATTTAAATTCAGGCCAGGTGTGCAGACATCCAGCAATGAATTAAGGTAAATTATGTGATTGGCAGAATAAGGTGGGGGTAGTACAAACTGGCTCAAGGAGCTGTTGAATATGAAAACTAGGGATGAAGCAAGTTCAGGAGTATGACCAGAGCTGGATTCTGAACACGCAGGTATGCCCTACTGCCTCATCCCCCTTCCCATCCTTATTCTGCCATTCTAAATATGATCTAATTACATAGAAATTCATTTTGAGATTATGCATATTACTTTTTTCTATGTTGCTGCAGACTATGTTCAGTAGTTCTTAATTTTTACATGCAATTAGAATCACCAGAGAAACTCCTAGAATTTCTGATTCAGTGGGTGTGGATTAGGGCCCAAGAACCTGCATTTCTAATGAGGTTACAGGTGATGCTGATGCTATCTGGAGACCACATTTTTAGCACGACTGGGATATATTTAAGTGTTGTAAAGATATAGAAAAATCCTAATTCATCTGAACTCCCTTTGGGGAGGGCGTACTGCATATTAGGAAGAAATATTAGTGTTTGGAGAGGGGAATGAGACTCCAAAATGTATGCTTAACAGGGTGGCTTCTCATTCAGATACTACTGTTCATTAGAAGCCTCTTTGCTTTTCTGAGCTTTGGCATGAATTGGGATATGCATGTCTGTGGAGCAAAGCTAAGGCTGAATTTAATCTCTCAACATTAAAAAGAGACAAGGAATTAAAATATATCAGAAATAGAGTGGAGAGGGGCCAGCAAGAATTCATGCAGAGAGGAGAAGAGAAGCAAAAATAAGTCTCTAAGCAATCGTAAGCCCCAAGTGGAACTTAGCAAAAGGAAAATGTGTAAGGGATTTTTAAGCAATTAGCTCTGGGTAAGTGAGATTATAAATGATCAAAAATGCTTTGAAGCAAAAGAATCCTTTGCCCCAGTTGAAGCATAGTGCTGTGTGGACACAGGAATCAGAGGATGAGGGGGAAGCCGATAACTGGTTAAAATAGTCTTATAAAATAGGATTAAAATAACAATTTTACTATTTAAATTAAAGCTGCAATTATGATGATATTTTCTCTGTCATATTTTAACATTTGCTATGTATGCACCCTTTTCAAATGAAATAAACATTTCAAAGCTGTCAACTGATAAGAAATTAGAATTATAAATCTCAAGAGCTTGTGGGACAAGTAGATCAGGTAAGAAGGAATATTCCTTCAAATGATGAAAAATAAACAAGTTCCAACTCATTTAATATCCCATGTTTCTAGAGACAAATTAAAGTCAAGGTCATAATATCTAAGAATATTCCCTTGTTCATAGTCATTAATTCCCAGACTTATTCATCTTTGCTAAAATAACAAAGTGCTGACCTGACTAGTTAATTAGATAAGCAAGAAGAGAAATATTTTACAAAAACAAAATAGTAAATGATCTGGAGATCTTTGTTTTTAAAATAAAATCTTCACCTCTCTTTTTCTAATCTTAGAATATATACCTTTATGGAAAAAGTAAAAATATAGAAAATTAAAAATCATAAAATAAAAATCAGCTGCACTGCAAACTGGTACAGATATTTTGGCATATTATTTACTTATATCTGTTCTTGTACACATCACAGAAAAAAACAATTAAATACTCTACATTCAAAACTGCATTTATATGTCACTTTATTTTTATTTTTGACTTTTCAGCTTCAGATGTTTCTCATATAAGCAGTATATTCTTAAAACATATATTGCTTTTATCCAAATCAGATAGATGTTCTTTCTTAATGGGAAGTTTAATTATTTTCCATGTGCTGATATTTGGTATGTTATTTTTATGTATTAGTATTTATACTATTTAAAATTATTTTCATTAATTGTCATATTAATTATATAGGTATATATTGGTCACATTTTTAAAATGATTTAGTGTTTATATAGTAGAGTTTAAAATATTACATGTGATTAAATTTATTTTCAAAGTTGTCATGTTCAGGATGAATATCATTACTTACAACTCCCTCAATGTAAAATGAAGAATCTAGTATAATATTCTCTTGCTCTCCAATTTCTCTCAAAGAAATATGAACTCAGTATATACACTCAAGTCATTATTATTAATTTGGGGGGGCATCAACGTTTAAGAATCATTAATGATGTTTTCTTTTTGTGATTTCATTCCCATATTGTCAAATATTTTTGTCCCTCATACTAGCATTATGATACGCTAGTATATCCCCTGGCACACTGGTGTGCAAAAGTATTTGTTGAATTAATAAGCAATCTAAACTTAATATAAAATAGCCATCACAAAGATGAGAGATACAATCAGGGCTTATGCCATTCTATAAATCCATTCTTCTCTATTTCGGAGTTTATATTTTCAATTAGTGCATTTTCGGGGCAGGTTACATAGATCATTTTTTATTCTGTGTTCTAATTTTGTATGTCCAAAAATCTTTTCACATTGCCCTTCTACATTAATGACAAGGTAAAAATAAACCAGGATTGAATGAGTTTAAAATAAACCAGGGTTACATGAATTTTCCCTAAAAGTGGTCTCATTATTTATATATGTGTGTTTATTATTTTATTTTCTTTATAATCAAAATTCAAGCCTTCTTCAAAATATGTCAAATGAGTGTTCTTTTAGTATTATTTGAACCTGGAGTACAGTGAATTCTTGCAGTCAGCAGTTTACTTTAAAAAAAGTAAAACATCCTTTTTTATGGCTGCATAGTATTCCATGGTGTATATGTGCCACATTTTCTTAATCCAGTCTATCATTGATAGACATTTGGGTTGGTTCCAAGTCTTGCTATTGTGAATAGTGCCACAATAAAAATACATGTGCATGTGTCTTTATAACAGCATGATTTATAATCCTTTGCGTATATACCCAGTAATAGGATGGCTGGGTCAAATAGTATTTCTAGTTCTAGATCCTTGAGGAATTGCCACACTGACTTCCACAATGGTTGAACTAGTTTACAGTCCCACCAACAGTGTAAAAGTGTTCCTATTTCTCCACATCCTGTCCAGCATCTGTTGTTTCTTGACTTTTTAATGATCGCCATTCTAACTGGTGTGAAATGGTTTCTCATTGCGGTTTTGATTTGCATTTCTCTGATGGCCAGTGATGATGAGCATTTTTTCATGTGTCTGTTGGCTGCATGTCCTTTGTAGGGACATGGATGAAGCTGGAAACCATCATTCTCAGCAAACTATCGCAAGGGAAAAAACCAAACACCACATGTTCTCACTCATAGGTGGGAATTGAACAATGAAAACACTTGGACACAGGAAGGGGAACATCACACACCGGGGCCTGTTGTGGGGTGGGGGAAGGGGGAGGGACAGCATTAGGAGATATACCTAATGTTAAATGGCGAGTTAATGGGTGCAGCACACCAACGTGGCACATGTATACATATGTATCAAACCTGCACGTTGTGCACATGTACCCTGGAACTTGAAGTATAATAAAAATAAAAAAAAAGAATTTGCAAAAAAATGGGCATGGACATTCTTCGTAAACAATAAAATACAAAAATAAAAAATGAAAAAATAAAAAAAGTAAAACATCATGGAAATATTTTTGAATATCACAACATGTTTCTGTTTTCTTTATGCCAGTTTATGTCTTAAAATGTAGTTCATCCGTGATTTAGAACTACACTCTCTCTATATTCTCTGCTTTTGATATTCATCATGTTTTTCACAGGTATTGTGTTTAAGGATATTTTTAGTCTATTTTCCAAATTGTGGATTTGACTTTGCGTATGACAGAATCTGTTCTTTCTTAACTCTTATGCAAATATGTTTTCTGCTTACGTCTTTAGTTTCTTAGCATTTGTTGTATATATAAACCAGTTCTCATTTTATTTAATCTTTAATACCTTATTTTAGGCAGACTATTATTTGTTAATATTTCTGAAAACTCAAACTGAATATAGTCTTACCTATACTGATGTATCCTGTAGTAAATAGTTTTTATAGTTCTACTTTCCTTCTGCTTATTTTAGGGAAACAGTTCCATGCTCATGTTACAGAATATCTTACAAGCCTCTCTGTCTATATATATTTTTTAAGCCTCTATATTTTTATTTTTCATTTTCCCCACCCTCCAATGTATACAATTCTAAAGCAGTAGAGATCTACTTTGATTAAGAGGTTGCTGATTGTCCCTCTATGCTTTATTTATTTCCACAGATGTTTATTTCTGAGATCTTAAGTTATATTATTTAGATAAGTTTTGCTTAGGGCTTACTTTCCCCACTTTGTATTAAGCACTTATATCATGTAGTTCTGCTGCCCTGACATGAGGATTTTACATTTTTTCATAGCCTTTTTCTGGTCTTAATTTGAAGCAATCTGTAGGTTTTGTTTTGTTTTGTTTCTTTGCATGCAAACACTATTCTTTCTAGAGCATACAGCTGTCTGTGCTCATTTCGTTTTTCCTTTATTTTACTTTAGATGACTTAACTCAGAATAAAAGGCACCATGACAGATCCCCTTCTGTCTCAGACTGTGTGGCCTTATAGAATTGTCTGATCTGGTATATAATAAGTAGTGACGCTGAGAGGAGGAAGCAGTTCTCCAGCAATACACAGAGGCTTCCTTCAGGAGGAAGACTGACCTAGAATCTTTGATGGCACAGGATCTAAGTCTTCGATGTGGAAGTGAGGTTGGGAGGAAGGCTTCTTTTTCTTTTTTGTTCCCCAACTCTTTTGTTATTTCAGAAATCAGTGCGAGTCGCTATTTTACAATATCCAAATCTGACCCATTCATTTGTTTGAAAATTCTGTTATCCTAGGTAAAAGAAGCAGCATGGCTCAATGCATTGTGGCTTGAGGAATCATAGTGATTCTAGGAACTAAAATGTAGTCAGCTGCACCAGAGCACGTCAAGCGAGACTATGATGCAAAACAAAGCTAGAGGATCCAACAACACAACGCATCTTAACAGGTGTAAAATATCAGCCCTGTTTAACAAATGTTGCCTTTCTCCTAAGAACAGTGGTGAGCCATCGATTTCCAGTGGTTTTCCATTTTTCCTAGAGTAAAAACCAGACTCCTCTCCCTGACTCATGAAGTCCTGTATTCCAACAGGCTTTGCCTGCCTCCCTGGCACCATCCACTCTATTTCTCCGACCTGCCCTAGCAGCACTGCTCCTCTCTCCATTTCTCAAAGATGCCAAGCTTGATCTCACCTCAGAAATTTTGCACAAATGTTCTATCCTTCACAAAATTTTTATGTGGATATTCATGTTTGCTCACTCTTGTCATTCATAGAGACATTCTTTGACTCCCTGCCCCATTCTGAATTTTTCTTTTGTATTAACTAGCTGTAATTTTCTGCAGAGTCCCTATCACTAATATAATATATATATATATAGAGAGAGAGAGTAGCGATGTGTGTGTGTGTGTGTGTATAAAACATACATATTATTTATGTTTTGTTTTGTTTTCTTTGCGTGCTTATTGTCTATTATCTCCACTCACATAAGCTCTGTTCAAATGGAGGTCTTGCCTATCTTGTTTACTGTTTTGTTGTTGTTGTTGTTGTTGTTTTTATCAGGGAAAAGAAAAGTATGTAATATTAAGTATGAGCTCAACAATATTTATCATATGCTAAATGGAGTCTTCTCTTCCTGGCTTACATAATAGGATGCATATATGAAGTTTCACAAAAATAGAAAATACTAGAAGAGGCCCAGGTTTGCAGTGAGGAGTTGGGAGGGGAACATAGTACATTGCAAATGAGATACTATTGGGACAAAAATGAAACAGGACAATTACTTGGATGTGGGTAAGAAATATCACTTGAATTGTGAACAAATGATACTTAGGTCTTGAGTGAAGATGGAAATACCTAGGAAGAGATTATGGGTTCAGATCATGATATTGTTTTATAAAGCTTCTGCACACATTTAAAGTCAGCGATATTCACAACACTAGTGGTAGTCAAGGTTCTCATAAAAGTTGATAATGATGATGGTGATGATGATGACGATGATGATGATATGTGTGCATAAACTTGGAATTCCAAAACAAATTCCTAGGATTTGAATCTCAGCTTTGTGTGACTCTTAACTATTAGTTAACTCTCCTGTCTCTTACTTTCCTCATCTATAAAATGGGGTTAATAATGCTTTACACCATATTGGTTTCTTACAAAAATTAAGATAATAAGACATCTAAAACTAATGCCTAACCAGTAGAAAATTTATGCTAGTGTGGTAATTATAAACATTTTTATGTCTCTCTCTTTTTCTCTTTCATACTGGTATATAGTTATATATCGCAAAATGAGCAATTCGAACTGAAATAGGCAATTTACATGGAAATGTACATATAATTGTGTAATCAAAACACCAATTTAAATATAAAACATGTCCATCACCCCAGAAATTCACTCAAGTCTCATTCTACATAATAACCTTTCTTCCTAAAGGCAAATCCTATTTGGAGTTCTGTTTTGCCTGTTTATGAAATTCGTAATAACAGAATCTTACGATATGTACTCTCTCGTGTTTGGCTTTGTTTGCTCACTACAAAGGTTTTGAAATTCTTCCATAGAACATACATAGTTCATTCCTTTTTATTGTTAAGTGCCACATCATCATGTGAAATTATCAAAATTTGTCTCTTCATTCTTCCATTGACAAAATGAGTTGTTGCCAATATTTTGCTATTCCAAATAAGGCTTCAAAAGTCACTTTTGTAGAAGGTCTTTAGTCTGACATATATTTTATTTTACTTTGGTTAAATATATTAAAGGGCTGGGTGCGGTGGCTCATGCTGGTAATCCTAGCACTTTGGGACGCCGAGGCGGGCGGATCACCTGAGGTCAGGATTTCAAGACCAGCCTGGCCAACATGGTGAAACCCCATCCCTACTAAAAATACAAAAGTTAGCCAGGCCTGGTGGCCGGCGCCTGCAATCCCAGCTACCTGGGAGGCTAAGGCAGCAGAATCGCTTGAACCTGAGAGGCAGAAGTTGCAGTGAGCTGAGACCGCACCACTGCACTCCTGCCTGGGCAACAGAGTGAGACTGTCTCAAAAAAAAAAAATACAAAACAATAAAAACAAATGAATTAATTAATTAAAGCAGAATTTAAAAATCATTGCATAGATACACATTTAACTTCTTAAGGAACTATTAAGTAATTTCCCAAACTATTTGTACAGCAATATATGAGAATTCCAATTGATCAAAATTCACTCCTACATTGAGTATGGTAACATTAGTAAATTTAGCCATTCTAGTGGGTAGAAAATGGTATTTCACTTTGGTTTTAATTTGTATCTCCCTGATAGCTATTGAACATTTTTTCCCATGTATTTATAGGCCATTTATATTTCTTCAAATATAAATTTCTTCATATATATTTCAAAATCCATTAAGTGTCATCCAAGACATTTGCTCAGTTTTAAGCTGAATTTAATGTGCTTTGTGTCATAGGTTCAGAGGAGTTTTAAAAAATATTTATTCTGGATATTAATCCCTTGTCATGCATATATGCATTGTGAATATTTTCCCCTGTTTATGGCTTGCATTTTCATGTTCTTAATGATATATTTTCATTGATATTTTTGTGTAGTCCACTCTATCAATATTTTATTTTATGGTTAGTGCCTTCTGTATTTTGTGTTAAGTTTTGCCTTTCCCTAGGTTACAAATATATCATATTAAGTTTACGTTTGTGAATAATATAAATAGGAGTCAAATTTAATTTTTCCCATATCTTGTGGTTCCTGACCATTTGTTGAAAAGTATCTCATTAAAGTCTATATTGCTACACTGGTGACATTTCTTTCTTCAAAAAAAAAAAAAAAGCAATTAACTGCAGACATGTGTGTTTATTTCAGACATGTGTCTTTATTTTGGTAACGTCTATTCTATTCCACTAATCTATGTGTCTATTCTTATGCCAGACCCAAAACAGTCTTACCTGTAGATTTAGAATTATGTATAAGTACCATCCTATAAGTTATTTAACTTTATTCAACATTAGAAATGGTTTTGTTTATTTTGGGCCCTTTTATTTCTAAATAAATTTTAATATCAGTTTGAAAAGTACAATAAACATCTGCCATTTTGACTGAGTTTTCATTGAAAGTACAAATCAAATTGGGTAAAATATTTACAATATTGCATGTTATGTATTTATGCAGTTATATATCTATATATTTATTGAGGTCTTTAAACATTTTCTCAGAAGTAGTTTGTAGTTTTCAAATTTGAGACATTGAAAATAATGCTGTATTTTAAATTTCACTTCCAAATTTTTTCTTGCTAACGTATAGACATGCAATTTTATTTTCTAACATTGTATTCTTGAGTATTGCTAAATTTGATTATTTTAAACTTTTTTGGATTGTCTACATTTAATTATGATATCTATAAATAAAAACTATCTTCTTTTTTCCCAAACAATATGCCTTTTATTTATTTCTCTTGCTTAACCAAACTGTCTTGAACCTCTAGTACAACATTGAGTAAACATGGTAAAAGCAAACATCCTTAATTTTTCCTGATATAAGGGGAAAGGGACTAATGAATGTTTCTCTAATAAATAAGATGTTACCTGTAGCTTTCTAAAAATGTCCTTATTTATGTTAATAATTATCTTTTCTTATTTTCTGAGAGTTTTTATTATTAATATCTGTCAATATTTACTAAATGCTTTTGTGTTTCTATGCATCTATCTATATAAACTAATGAATAATTATATCCATCTCAATGTTTTAATCCTTTGTTTGTAAGATTAATTATACCAAAAGTTTAATTTTTTTTTTTTTTTGAAAACAACTCTCGCTCTCTCACCCAGGCTGGAGTGCAGTGACACAATCTCAGCTCACTGCAATCTCTGCCTCCTAGGTTCAAGCAATTCTCCTGCCTCAGCCTCCCAAGTAGCTGGGACTACAGGTGTGCACCACAATGCCCGGCTAATTTTTGTATTTTTAGTAGAGACGAGGTTTCACCATGTTGGCCAGGCTTGTCTCGAACTCCTGACCTCGTGATCCTCCCACCTTTGCCTCTCAAAGTGCTGGGATTGCAAGTGTAAGCCACTGTGCCCGGCCAAAAGTTTTAAAATTTAAACCAGTGTGCATTCCTAGGGCAAACCCCACTTGTTCATGATACAGTTTCCTTTTAACATTTTGCTGAGTCAGATTTGCTAATATTTTGTCAAGGCGTTTTTAATGCCTGTATTTATAAGAGATACTCACCAGTTTTTCTCTTTTTTGTAATGCCCTTGCCAGATGTTTATGTTAGGTTAATTTATTCTCATAAAATAAGTTGGAATGTGTGCAATCCTCTTTTATTTCCAAAAATATTTTGTGTAAGATTGGTATCATTATTCCTTGAGGTTTTGATAGAATTTACAAGGAAATCTATGTAACCATAATGTCTTATTTGTGGAAAGTTTTGATATTATAAATTTATTTTGTAAATAGGTGTTAAACTACTCCATTAACTTTCTTGTTTTGTGTCAATTTTATAAGTTATGCCTTTCAACAAATTTGTCTGTTTCCTTTATGTTGTTGAATTTGTTGGCATAAACGTGATTGTATTTTTATTTACTCTATATCTGTAGATTCTACTGTGATATTGTATTACTTTTTTTCCTTGATCAGTTTTGCTTGGAGTTATCAATTTTGTAACATTTTTTAAATCTTAGTGTTGTGTTTTTTTCTTACTATTGTCTATTTTATATTTCATGAATTTGATATTTCTTTGATATTTATTGTTTTGTTCCTTTCTTTGATATTTATTGTTTTGTTCCTTCAGCTTTATGTTTATTTTGCTCTTATTCCTACATTCTTAAAAAGTATAATCTTGCCATATTGATTTTAAACCTTTCTTTATTTCTGATATAGGAATTTTAAACTATGAATTTTCCTTCTAATATTTTTATCTGTACTCTACAAAATTTGATATGTCATGTTTTCATTACCTATCATTTCTGAATATTTTCTAATTTCCCTTTAACATTCTTCCATGATCTATGTAATATTTATAAATATGTTGCCTAATTTTCAAATATTTTTTAATTTTTAATATATTAGTTTCGCTATTGACTCTTGGGGAGGAGCTATTTGACAGTAGGTCTCCATGTAAAATATTCTTTGCTGGAAAAAAATGTAGAAAGATGATCAGCTCAAATCTCCTTGTAAACACACTAGTGCTGGACTTTTTGGCAGACCCACTGATGATATTATTGGTAAAAGAGTTTTTATATATGAGAAGCTTTTTAACAGTTCTGTCTATGATTGCCTATGACAAGCACATTTTGGAAGCTATGGATGTATGCGACATGCTTTCTGCAAGATGTTGCATTAGCTATGTAAATAGACTATAAAATATTATATTTTACCTTTATTCCTTCTCTGATGATCTTCTTTCCTTTATGTAGCTCTGAATTTCTAACATATTTTTCTTCACTCTGATAAATTAAAAAAGGAATTCTTGCAGAGCAGGACTGCTTATGATAAGTTCCCTTAGTTTTTGTTCATTTGAGAAAGCTTTTTTTTCCTCTCTTTTGATATATTTCAGTGAATATAGAATTGAAGGTTGGTTTTCTGCTTTCTGTGTTTTATATATTTTATTCCACTCTCTTCTTGTTTACATAGATTCTGATTGTAATGTCTCTGTAATTTTTATCTTTGTTCCTCTATAGATAAGGATTTGGCAGTTGTGGGGTGGGGCGGATGTGTTTCAATGTTTTCTCTTTGTCTTTAATTTTCTGCAGTCTGAATACGATATGTTTACATGCACATTTCTGTAGTTGTTATTTATCCTTCAGGTGTTCTCTTAATTTCACAGATCCGTTGTTTGGTGTCTGCTGTGATTCTTGGAAAAATTATTTGGTACCATTACTTTAAATATTTTTTCTGCTCTGTTCTCTCTTTCCTTTTCTGGTATGTCTATGTTACCCCTTCTGAAATTGACCAAAAATTCTAAAATATTCTACCCCATCTCCTTAAAAATATTATTTTCTCTTGGCATTTAAGGTTGGGAAGTTTCTATTGATACATCTTCCAGTTCACAAATTATTTTCTCCGACATGTCCATTCTAACAATTAGCCCATCAAAGACATTCTTTCTTTCTTTTACAGGGTTTTAAATTTCTAGCATTTTCTTTTGATAATTTTTCAGAGTGTCCATTTCTCTGCTTACATTAACCATATGTTCTTTCATGTTGTCCGGTTTTTCTATTGGATCCCCTAACGTAGGAATCATAGTTATTTAAATTCTTTGTTAGTTCTCACTTCTGTGTCATATCTAAGTCTGGTTCTGATACTTGTTTTGTCTCTTTAGATTCTTCTTTCTTGCTTTTTGGCATGACTTGTTATTTTTTGTTGGAAGCTGGAAATGTTGTATTGTTAATAAGAACTGAGGAACAGAGGCTTTTAGTATGAAATTTTTGTTAAATCTGACTAGGTGTTGGTTTGTTTTCAGTTTGTCGTAGCTGTAGATGCTAGAGGCTTTAAATTGTTCTAGTGTTTTTTGTTTGTTTGTTTGTTTTGTTCTTCTTTCTTGACCTTGGCTTTCTTAAGCACTCCTCAGAGTCTGTGTCTTTTATCTCTTTAAGCTGTAATCCATTGTTATTATACTGGGATCCTGCTAGTGATATTGTAAGGTGTGAGGGGAAGGAAGCATTGTCTATACACTTAGGATCCAACCTCAGTCTTTTGGTGAGCCCCTGTCTTTGGTCTTTGAACTTGACAATTATTCTCTAGTGGTATGGTAACCTTCACTTTCAATCCACATACCTAAGGTGAAACCAGAAGGCTACAGAGATCTAAGGTTGGAAGAATGCTTTTCCTCCAACTGAAATAAAGCTCTGGTAATGGTTTTCTCCTGGAGAATAAGTTTGTGTTGTGTAGAATACTGTGAGTTTATTTCAGAATGTTTACTCTTTTCCCCCTACCAGAGTCAGGACATCCTTCTAAGATCTTCGCCATGAGAAGCTGGTAGGGTTTTAGAAGTAAAACCCATGAAAGAGTGGGGGTACCCCTAGATAGTACCCATAATTTTTCACTCTCATAATTATCCACCCACAACTCCAAGCAATTCATCAGAATTACCAGTCAAGTGGCAGTTTATAGCTTTAGTAGCTTCTTTTCTAGATAAGCAGGTCTCATTTGACACTGAGGATTCTGAATGGTGGTTTTTCCCATAACCTCAGTTCTGTGATAGATTCAAGAAAGTTTGGTTGATTTCAAATTTGTTCAGATTTTTTCTTACAAGTTTAGGATTGATGATTTCCAAGTTCTTTGTAAGTCAGAGCTCAAACTGGAAGTCCTCTGTTCATTTTTTTTCCAATCAATTTTCTCTCTGTTTTTTCAGATTGGGTAATTTCAATTGTTCTGTTTTTGAATTTATTGATTCTCTATCCCTCCATTCTGTTTGACCCATCCACTGGGGTTTTATTTTAGTTATTACAGTTTTAAATTCTAAAATTCCATTTTTTATATCATATATTCTCACTAAGCTATTCTATTTTTCCATTTGTTTCAAGTGTGTTCTGAATTATTGTTGAAGCATTTTTATGATAGCTGTTTTAAAATCTTTTCAGGTGATCCTAACATCTTTATCATGTTGGCGATGGCATCTATTGATTTACTTCTTTTTATCCAATTTAAGATCTTTCTGGTTCTTGAATGTTGAGTAACTTTTTTTTTCCCATTGGAACCTGGGCATTGTGAGTATTATTACATGAATCTATGAATCTTGTTCAAGTCTTCTGTTTGTTTATTTATTTATTTTTTAACTTTTAAGTTCAGGGGTACATGTGAAGGTTTGTTACATAAGTAAACATGTCATGGGGGTTTGTTGTACAGATTGTTTCATAACCCAGACATTACTAAGCCTAGTACCCATTATTTTTCCGAATTCTCTCCCTCTCCCATCTTCCACCCTCCAACAGGCCCCATTGTGTGTTGTTTCCTTCTATGTGTCCATGGGTTCCCATAATTTAGCTACCACTTATAAGGGAGAATATGCAGTATTTGGTTTTCTGTTCCTGCGTTACTTTGCTGAGGATAATGGCCTCCAGCTTCATCCATGTCCCTACAAAGGACATGATCTCATTCTTTTTTATGGTTGCATAGTATTCCATGGTATATATGTATCACATTTTCTTTATCCAGCCTATCACTGATGAACATTTCCATGCCTTTGCTATTGTGAAAAGTGTCGCAATGAACATATGTGTGCATGTGTCTTTATAATAGTATGGTTTATATTCTTTGGGGTACCTACCCAGTAATTGGGTTGCTGAGTTGAATGGTATTTCTATCTTTATGTCTTTGAGGAATCGCCACATTTTTCCACAATGGTTGAACTAATATACACTCCCAACAGCAATGTATAAGCATCCTTTTTCTCCACAACCTCGCTAGCATCTGTTATTTTTTTACTTTTTAATAAAACCCATTTTGACTGGTGTGAGATGGTATCTCATTGTGCTTTTCTATTTGCATTTCTCTAGTAATCAGCGGTGTTGAGCCTTTTTTTATATGATTGTTATCTGCATATATGTCTTCTTTTTGAAAAGTGTCTGTTCATGTCCTTTGCCCTCTTGTTTACCGTGTTTTTTTTCTTGTAAATTTGTTTAAGTTCCTTATAGATGCTGGATATTAGACCTTTGTCAGATGCATAGTTTGCTAAAATTTTCTCCCATTGTGTAGTTGACCTGTTTACCCTGTTGATAGTTTGTTTTGCTGTGCAGAAGCTCTTTAGTTTAACTAGATCCTATTTATCAATTTTTGCTTTTGTTGCAATTGCTTTTGGTGTCTTCATCATGAGATCTTTGCCTATGCCTATGTCCTCAGTGGTATTGCCTAGGTTATTTTTCATGGTTTTTATAGTCTGGGATTTTACATTTGAAATCTTCTGTTTTAGCTTCTTCTTCTGGCAGTGCTCTAGCAGGAGAAGGAGATAGGGTGCCACTTTATGGCAGCCATATAGTGGTGGAAGTCCATGTTCTCCCCTTGGCTTCCACTGGTAACCAAGAGAGAGGGACTCCTGTTTACTAGGGGTAGCCATAGAAATTCCAGCTTCTCACTAAACCTCCACTGACACCTTCCTGGCTAGGAGAGGTTAAAGTGTCTTGTCATTGCTCTCAATGTCAACTCCACTCACTCCACATGGGGTAGAGGAGGACCTCCTTATGCTAGTCGGTGGTGAAAGTCCTGACATTTTTCTAGGCTTCCTCTTATCCCACAGCAGAAGAGAGGTAGAAATGTGTGTGTTTACTGCTGCATGAGGATGGAGTTTAGGCTCCCAACATTCTCTCCCATGACACTGGATGAGTGTCTTATTCTGGCCCAACAGAGAGGAGAGTCCTGGCTTCTTACTTGGCTGTCTCTAACACTCTCCTGGGGATTGCGGCACCTCATAATAGCTTGACCAGTGTGGAAGTCTAGGACCTCCACTTGGCATTTGCTTGAGTAGTGGGAGGTGGGGCCACAGTTTTTTCTCACGTGTTTGGCTGCAGTAGACCAATTATTATCTAAAACTACTGTTTCTTTCTAAGCTATATATTTTCTGGTCCTTTTGATAGAAGGCAGACTTTTTTTTTTTTTTTTTTTTGCGGGTCGGGGGTGGATTTGCTTGTCGGTACCTATTCTGTACCCATTAGTGTTTCTAAATTATCTTCTTCAGTTTCAAACATGGCACATATAAGGCAAAAACAAAACCTAGAGAATGTGCCACCATGTTGTTCCTTGGGTCCTGATGTTTTACTCTAATCTATATTTTCAGGCCTTCTTATATTTCTCTTATATAGTGTTCAGCATTTAGAAGAAGGAATAAGGAATAAGGAAAACTGTTGACTACTACATCTCTTCCGATGGAAACCACATTTTATAAATCTATTATTTCAATTTTTTCTGTAAATTCTTGAACTTATATATAATAGGTTATTTTTCAATCTTCGTTAGTTCTAATATTTAGGTTATTTATAGGTATACTCTGTTGATTTGTTTTCTAGATCATAGGTCCTATATTTCTTTTTCTCAAACTTCAAAATACTTAATTTTACATTAAATTTCATATATAGAAAAACAGAGGAGTTTCAAGTATACTCTTGTTTGTTTGGTTTTCCCAGAGAACAATAACTCTTTCTGGCAGCTAAGACAAGAAGATGATCATTCAGATTTCATCAGGAGTCAAGTTGCTGTGGATCTGGCCTGTGTTTTAGAAATGATGAGCTTACTTTCTAACTTCATCAGCAGTGTTCTGCACAGTGGCAGCTGCCTCCTCTTTGATCTCTATGCTTGAGCTAACAGATCTTGGGCTATCGTTTTGCCTTTGATTTCATTGCTAGCAGATTTTTTAGTTCCAAATATCATGAGAATGCACAACTCTACTCAAATTATCATTTTTTTCTTCAGGACAATTTTGAGTGTATGGATGGATTCTGATGATAAGCAAATTGTTGCTATGTTTGATAGTCATTCTTACCATAATCCAGGCTGCTCACTCCCAGCAGCGCCAGTAGCTCTGCAGGCCCTTCCTTGATCTGGCAAGGTTTGTGGAAAACTAGCTCTTTCACTGGCCCAAACTCCAACATGATGTTTGTCCCAAATCCCCAGAGAGTTATGTTGGATGGCTGTTCAACTATGAAATGCTCTTCTCTTTGTAAATTAACTTATCTAGGCTTTCTTGTGTCAATCGCTCTTTGATAGTCTCATAGACATGATTTGTATTTGATTCAGTTATTTCCTGATCTAATTACATGAATAAAGGTATTTTGTGTTCTTTTACATCTTAATCATAACAGAATTTTCAAGAACTTAAGGATCTAAATATTTAACTATTTTCTCATCAAATGAATATAAGTCATTGTGAGGAGTCTTATTTCTTCTAGCAAAGAGTTGTGAGAAGCATGAGGTTTGATGTCAGACTATTTTAACTAAAATTTCACAAGTATTTAAGTGTATTTTATACAGGAAAGAAAAGCTTTATGTATTAAACTCACATCATGTACTAGCTCACTTTTAAAAGTATGCATAAAAATATGTATATACATATGCACACATGTAGATACATATATACATGTGCATGTGTACACATGTATCTATATCTGTATGTATACCTATATGTAAATATATATGTTTCTGTATCTATATGTGTGGGTATATATGTATATATATGTATCTATAGCTATATATTTTCATTAAGATTTTGAGAGAGGAATAACATATTATCCATATTTTGAGGATGAGAAACTGAGGCACCATGAAGTAGAATTGAATTCAAACCCTAGCCTGCTTGGCCTGTATTTTAGCTTAGATAAGCCTAAGTCACAACATTGACTTGGTAGACACTTAATAAAGCAAAGTATTATTATATTCTAGGACAAACAGCAAGATAGTTTTATCAATAAGACGATTCCTATTGATTCATATGAATTATTTTTCAATTATTCATAAATAAGTTTTATTTGAAAATATGTGGTTGTTATGAACTGAAGAATTGTAAAACTATTGATTTTTTATAATAGAAGAGATTTTAAGATTATGTAATCTATGTAATGTTATGGATTACATACATTATGCAAATATGTAATTTGTAATTACACGAATTACAAAATTGTTGATGTTTTATGATAGAAAAGACTACGATTATATAGTTAATCTATGTAAAGCTATGCATTACATACATTATGCAAATATGTAATTTGTAATTACAAGAATTACAAAATTATTGATTTTTTATGACAGAAAAGACTTTATGTAGTTAATAATCTCTGTAATGTTATGCAAGAAGAAACGAAGACCCCCAAATTTCCACAGATGAGTGGGGAAACATAATGGCATTCAAAATGATGAGTAAGATAGAATAAAGAAAGCCACTGCCTTATCTTGCTTGAAAGAAAAATGTAGCATTTTATCATAAACATTTGCTTCTTGGCATACAAACAGTTGTTTTACCCAGAAAATTTCTAGGAGAAGCCAGGCTTACTCTGATGATATTTATTGAACTGTGAATTCCTTGAGGGAGAAAATAAATCTTTCTCATTTTGACTCATCACAGTGGCCACCATTAAGTAAAATCTCAACAAATACAGACTTCATTGAAAAGCATTAAATTGGATTGAGCTGTGGAGTTTTGAACATCTGTGAAATGTATGTTAAAAATGTATTTTATTTATTGTTCTTCTTTGTCTTGAAAGTCAAATATATGTATGTTGGGGTAGGCAAGGATTAGGTGGCAATGCTGAGAGAATCTCTTATCCAAATTGGCCAAGCCTTAAAGGAAGGTACAGTAAAATCTGCTTCCTTGGATAGAGGCTTACTGAAGTGTAGAAATTTGCAAGCTCACTAGTGGTGAGAGCCTGCCTAAGAAACTGGCACGCATTCCCCAGAGTTTGGAGACAGACATGTTTTATTTTTACTATTGTGAAGAATGGCATTGTATATGTGTTATTTTTTGTGATTATCCCCACAGAATAAATTCTTAGAATTAGAATTGTTCATCCTAAAGTTATGCTTTTTGGAACTCTACAGGAAAGAGTTAACATAGCACGCCTGAGACTGTTATCCATTCAGGCCTACTTGTAAGGTTGGCTAGTGTCTGGAAACTTGGTTTTAGGGAGTGCTCTGCTACCCTAAAGAGAAGAATGGCTCACTGTACCTAAACTGTACAAACAAAGTGAACACTTGCTTTCTTTGTAAGAGTCTGGAAGTTTGATACATACTTATCAGAGGGTGCCTATGTGACCAGAACCCAATAAAACCCTTGTGCACTTTGTCCCTTACTTATGAGCTTCCAGTCTGTTAGATAACATTTCCCACAAGTTGTTACAACTTTTTGCTGGGGAAATTAAGCAGGGCACTGTAGCTCCAGTAGGACAGGACTCTTGAAATCTTTCCCGTGGTTTCCTCTGGGTTCTCCATGTGCCTTTTCTCTTTGCTGAGTTTGCTGTTTATCCCTTTGTGGTGATAAATCGTAGCTGTGGGTATGATTAGATGCTGAGGAAATGCTCATTTTGTGTAAACGATGAAGAATGTATTTTCTGTCTAGTAAAAAGGCTCATTACCAATGCACTTGGGACACAGTAGTACATGTGTAATTAATTTTTTTTTTTTTTTTGAGACAGAGTCTCACTCTGTTGCCAGACTATGGTGCAGTGACGCCATCTCGGCTCACCACAATCTCCGCCTCCTGGGTTCAAGTGATTCACCTACCTCAGCTTCCTGAGTAGCTGGGACTATAGGAGCCCGCCACCACACCTGGCTAATGTTTTGTATTTTAGTAGAGACAGGGTTTCGGGGTAATTAATAATTTTAAAACATTTAATAAAGTTGGAAATATTAAATATGCATTAGTTTAAGTAATTTCATCTTTTTCTAAAAATATTTAAATATATGCATTCATAATTGTTTAATGGATAGACAAGCTATTTTCTTTGATTATGGGTAACTTGATTGGAATTTTTCATTGTTTTGCTTTCATAAACAACATCTATAATACATTATCTGTGATTCTCAATTTTGTTTTACTTTTAAATAGGAGATAAAAATTAAGGCTTACATGATGCAAACTGTATGCAGAATCTTTCTAGACTTTAATATTTTGTATTTTACTGCTCTCAACCATAGCTCAACAATTATTTTTAGCAATTATTTTATTGAGGTTTTCATAGCAATCAGAGCATGGATTTAATTAGGAAAGCTCCTTGTTTTACATTCTCTGTTAATATAATATACCGTTACAGAATTACAGTAAGAAAATATGATGTAATCTTGTTTGAGAACAAATACAACTGTCTTCTGAGAAATGTTGGTGGGAGCAGAACTGTTCTGGTGTACTGGTCATGCATATGAGTCCATAAGTTTCATGGAGGGAATGAAGCCTGTTAGTCAGTCTAGAGATTTGGCTTATTGGAGAATGTTTTAAAAAATTCAACTATGTCAATAATAGACATAGGCATCAAAAAATAAATACATAATAAAATGACTAGGGTTGATGTTACATTATGGTAAGAACACATATCAAGAAATTTGAATATTACAGAGATGAGGAAAACAAATGGAATATGTGCATAGGGATAAAATACATAATAAGGAACAAAAGTAAGACAAATGATTTATTCATGCAATTAATACATGCTGAATAAATCATACATCTTAGCAATGACAGACATTGAGATAATTTGAACAAAAGAGAGAAGACTTCTGCTTTCATGAATGTCATAGATTAATGAAATCAAAATAATAGAAAGAACTAAAAAACTAATAAAATTTTTAATATACATTATGTTGCAGAAAGACAGACTATATAAATAACAATATTTAATACATTGGCTTAAAATAAAAAGCAAGTAATTTTTAGCATTTTTCTTACATAATTCTTATTCACTTAATTTAACTGAAAAGAGAATGCTCATATTAGCTGAATTTTTATCTTTTTAAAGTTTTATTTTATTTTAGTTGACACATACATACATATCCATTTAGTGCAATTGGATAATTCATGCTTTGGTCTTCAATTATCAGGGATTTTAGTGTTTAAAATATAAAACTCTCTATGTTTGCAAATCAGTGTTTTAAAATGAACGACAATAAAGTTTAGTTATTAATCCATTAGAGTTTCTTTTGAAAATCTTCAGTTTTTATCATTTGATCATTTATAAATAAAAGAAACAACCAGGCCAGGTATGATGGTGGCTCACTCCTCTAATCCCAGCACTTTGGGAGGCCAAGGTGGGTAGACCGCTTGAGCTTGGAAGTTTGAGACCAGCCTGACCAACATGGCGAAATCTCATCTCCACCAGAAACGTAAAATTTAGCCAGGCCTGGTGGCACAAGCCTGTAGTCCTAGGTACTCAGGAGGCTGAGATGAGAGGATTGTTTGAACCCAAGAGGGCGAGGGTGCAGTGAGCCAAGACTGCACCATTGCACTCCAGCCTGGTGACAGAGTGAGACCCCACTGCAAAAAAAAAAAAAAAAAAGAAGAAGAAGAATGAAACAACTAGCGTGCAATGTTTAAAATCTGACTTTCCCAACATATGCAAAATTATCAGGTTTCATTCTCTAGGAAAAAAAAAATACATTTAACTCTGAATGTTATTTTTGCAGATTAAAGACATGATAAATAAATCAGCATTTATTTAGTGGGTTAGATGAGCTTGAAATGGAAATAGCCATCGAAGTGCCTCTTATAAAATCATTTTGCAACAAAATGCATTAAGAATCTTAATGTGGCTGTGCGCAGTGGCTCACGCCTGTAATCCCAGCACTTTTGGAGGGCAAGGAGGGTGGATCGTGAGGTCAGGATTTCGAGACCAGCCTGGCCAACATGGTGAAACCCTGTCTGTACTAAAGATACAAAAAATTATCAGGGTATGGTGGCGCACGCTTGTAATCCCAGCTACTCAGGAGGCTGAGGCAGGAGAATCGCTGAACCTGGGAGGCAGAGGTTGCAGTGAGCCGAGATTGCGCCACTGCATTCCAGCCTGGGCGACAGGGAAAGACTCCGTCTCAAAAAATAAAAAAAAATTAAAAAATCTGAATTCAGACAGGAGCCTTTATGGTGTGTGCGTTATAAACGTCACTCCTTAACAACCAATCCACAGATTATGGGAAGAAACAACAACAATGGTATTATGAAAGCAAAACAAAACAAAAACCAGATGGAAACTCCATCTTTGGTTTGCTTTACTTTCTTATTTGTTTTTTTTTTCTTTGTTTAAAAACATCTGTCTAAATTACATAATGTTTTAGTATATATGCAGTACTTTTTTAACAAGGTATTCTTAATGCTATATTCTAATCTGATGCTTCTCTCAAGGGATAACCATTACAACCTTTTGTAATGTTTCAAGACTATCTTTCTCTCCCCACCACCTCCACCCCACCCCATAGAACTTTTCTTTTGGTCCAAGAATTTTGTCCAATATACACAGCTCAAAACAAAAGTTCCTTAGTACTCTGTTTACATTTTAAATGAGCCATAAATAAAACCCCAGCATTTGGCGCTAAATATTTATCCTCATAGTCTACAGATTAAAACTACACGCACCGAAAGTTAGCGAGTGATTCATCGAAGACCATATCTAAAGCTAAGTAGCAAAGGTAGGATACAAACCTAGACAATCTGCCTCCAGAGCCAGTGGGCTTAACCACTATAATGTGCTCCTTTTATAAAGAGCCTATGCATGTACTTTGCTTTCTTCCAGTGGACTTATTATATAACTTTGTGATGTGTCCATATTTTGTATATATAAATCAATGTAATGTTTTTATTACCTTACAGTAATCAAATGTACTGAAGTGCCATGATTTATTTAGTAATTACTTCATTAATGCACTTCTGATGGTTTACGAGTTTTGCTATTACAAATCAGGCAGCAATGAACATCACTGCATACACATTTTTGCCTGGAATCTTGCAAAGTGCTAATTTAGAAGTTATAAGTATACGGCATTTTTATAGATTATGCCAAATTGACCTATTGACCTTTCAAATGTATACATCAAGTTGTACTCTTATAATAGTGTATGAAAATACCAAATTTCCCACCTTTATCAGCAAATTCCTAATCATTTACATTTCTATTTAATATCAGTTACAAGTTACATCTTATTTTTTAATTTGTATTATTTAGGTTACTTATAATATTAAGGGTAGATTTTAGGATTTTTTTATGTGTGCAATTTACATTTCTTCTGTATGTTGTTTCTTCATATATGAAACATTTTTTAATTGGTAACTTTTTTTATGGATTACTTTATGGGAATTTCTTACATGTTAAGGATGTCGATACTCCATTAAGTATTGTAAACATTTGCTCTAGCTATGTCATTTATGACCTTTATTTATGGTGTCTTTGGTTATACAGAATCTTTAAATCTTATGTAGTAATATTCATCATTGAATTATAATTTTCACAGAAACTTTTTATAAAATTAAGATATTCTAAACTGGAGAACTGCATTTCTAAAAGCATTTTGTTTAAAGTGAGGGCGTTGCTAGTTAGCACTAGCAGAATTTCAGTAAGTATGCAAAAGTACTTGAAGTTTAGAAGAGTTGAGCTTTAACAAGCTTACTTCTGTTAGGATTCTATTGTACTGTTACACTCCTGCATCTCTCAGGTGAAGAAGCTCTCTTAGGATTCTAACAGGCAACTAGAAAAGAGCTTCACAAAATGAAGACAATAGGTTCCTAACAAAGAGCTCTGGGACAGCAAGGAACTAATGAACAAGGAAGCAGGGCAGATAAATAGTAAAAAAAAAAAAATACTTATATTTCGGATGATAATAGTCAGGAGCATTTAAAATTTGAATCTGATCAAAGTATCTGCAATCACGCTTCACTTAATGACGAGGATACACACCCATTGTTAGGTGATTTTATCATTGTGCGAACATCATAGAGTGTACTTACACAAACCTAGATGGTATAGCCAAGTACTTGCCTGGGCTACAAGGTATAGCCTATGCTACAAACCTGTATAACATGCTGCTGTTCTGAATACTGTATGCAGTGGTAGCACAATGGTAAATATTTGTGTACCTAAACATATCTAAATTATAGAAAAGATGATGCGTTTGCCCTACAACGTTACAACAGCTACAACATCCCTAGGTGACAGGACTTTTTCAGCTCCATTATACTCTAATGAGACCACCATCATGTATGCAGTCCGTAGTTAACTGAAACATCATTATGCGGGACATAACTGTATTTAAATTTGTTGGTAAGGCAGCTGAAAGTCCTTAAGGGATAAGTGTGTAAACTAATGTTTTAAAACATTATTCATACACAGGGTGCAGGAAGATGAGGCTCACATATACCTTTGATAATATCACCCAGTGTTAAATGCTATAAATCATATGCTTTGGTGTGTGTCAGAAGAGTCTCTGCTCACTGTTCTCCTCTCCAAAATGTACTAAGCTATTATTGCACATTTTCTCTTCCAGATACATTTTAAGACTGATAAATTTCACAAAAGTCCTGTAGGGATTTATAGAGGAATTGAAGGAGAAATGACGTTTTTACAATAGTGAATTCTCTCTTACAGGAATATGTTCTCTTTCAGTTCATCGAGGTCCTCTTTTATGACTTTCAGGAAAGCTTTATAGTTTTTCTTTTTCACTAGGACATGACCATTTTTTTTTGTTATGGTAGTTCTAAAATGATTTCTATGTGTGCTTATGTGTGTGTGTGCACTGCACTTTTTCTACACATTTTACCTTCACATTTTCTGTGACAAAAATGACACATAGGTTGAAAAATTATGTACATCAATTTTTATTTAGTTTAGTTGCTTGTTTAATTATATATCTGAATATGGGAAATCAATTTCTTACACTTTCACTGTAGATGATTATTGTTTTGAAAATAATTGCAACTTTGAATTCTGCATACCAATATTTTTATCTTAGCTAATAAGTTTGCCTTTTAATTTTAGCTTATTAATTTTTAATTATATAAAGTAATGTACTTGATTACATTGTTTCCATTTTTTCCTAATTTTTTTATTTGACTCATTCAGTTGACTGGCCAGTGGATACTGGTAGTTGGTCAGAGCTTTCAGAAAATTGCAGATCCTTTCCATGTTAGCCTCTCTAGAAGGCAGCTTGAATGTCCTCATGACATGGCATCCAGCTTTTCTGAGATCCAGGGAGCCATGAGAGCAAGGCAGAAACCATAATGCCCTGTAAATCTAGTCCTGGAAATCATACAGTCAACTCTGCTACAGTTGATATATGGGAAACAAATTACTAAATCTTCCTATATTCAATAGGAGTGAGATTAGGCTCCACCTTTTGAAAAGAAGATTGTCTGAGAACTTGTGGACATACTTATGTGTACCAGCATAATATATTCCTACAAACTACATATTTTTGTATATATTAATTTTTATGAGTGGTATTATAGTTTGTGTATCCAACCATTACTTTTTAAATCCAATGTTTTGTAATTTATCTGTAATGGTATATGTATAGAGAGACTTCCAATATTTCAATCATTTAATAACTATTTTGTGAATATACCTTATATTCATTATCATATTGATAAAATTTAGTTTAAGAGTTTTATTTTTCACTGTAAACAGTGGTTCTATAAATACTCATAGATGTCTCTTCATACAACAGTGAGAATTTTTGGTAGAGTATATATCTAGAAAAGGAATTTGTGAGTAATTATTACATAATTTCATCTTTGTAGACATAATCAAATTTCTCTCTACAAGCAGGATATTAGAGACCTTATTTTTACATTGTCACCAGATTTGGTATTTCTTATTTTTTTTCAATCTTAATGTAAAGACTGTCTCATTATAGTTTTCATTTTAAATTAATTGGATTTGGATTTTCTTTTCTGAGGATTTCTTTTTTTTTTTTTTTTTGGCCCACGTTTTCTATGGGTTTTTTTCAAATTTATTTGCAGAAATTACTTATATTTTGTTGTACAAATACCTTTCTCTTATTAAATCAAAACTGATACTTCCAGAAGTGAGTTTATGATTAAAGTCAAAAGAGAAACAAGCAAACAAGCAAAAGAACTTTCTCTCCAAGACTAAAGAAAATGCAAGCAAACAAACAAAATGGATTCACTGTGTCTGGTTCTGGTCTCAAAATAAATGAAGTCACTAACATTCCCGCTAACTTAACATTTTCTTTAGGCATCTATCTACACTATAATATCATCATGAACAATCTTCAAAACTTTTTTGTCTTGTTTTATTTTTCATAACCACCAATGCAAAGTTGAATCTGGATACATGAAAGTGGATACAGCTGTCTCATTCTCAATCTTGAGATGAAGGCTTTCAACATCTAACTCTGTTAGATGTTTGTGCTGACTTTATAAAATGTTTTGGTATATAATCTTTAATCAATTAAGGGATTGCCACTTAATTCCAGTTGAATGGGTAATTTTTAATCTTAAGTAGAAGTCTTTTGCATTTATATATGATCACATTATTTTTTCATTTATTCTGTTAACATAAATTACATTCTTTGATTTCTTTCATCAATGTTTTATAGGTTTCCTAATTTAAATCTTGAAAATATTTTGTTAGATTTACATCTAAGTATTTCATTATTTTGGGGAGCTAATGTAAGGGTATTGTGCTCATTCTTCTTTTTTAAGTAAGCTTTTTAAAAATTCTGAAATACTTTTAGATTTACAGAAAGATTGTGAAGATGTATCCAAAGTCCTCCATCATTATAATGGAAAACACTGGATACATGGAGTATGTAGGAACTGATAATGTAATCATAATGCTAATGTAATAATGTTACAATTGATGAAACAATAATGATACATTGTTATTAAATCTGTACTAAATTCCATATTTCTTACCTTTTACCTATATTTTCTGTTGCCAAATATCATGTTACAGTCATCATGTCTCTTAGATTCCTCTCAGCTCTGAACAGTTCATCAGGTTTTCCTTGTTTTTTGATGACTTTTACATTTGGAGGAGCACTGGTCAGGTATTTTGTAGAATGTCCCTTGAGTTGGATTTCTCTGATACTTTTCATATGAGAAGATGGAGGTTATGCCTTTTGCGAAGAACGACCAGAGAGGAAAAGAGCTATTCTCATTCCATTATATGAAGGATACATACTATCAACCTGGCTTTTCATTGTCGATGTTGATCTTGAGGTTAAGGTAGTTTTTGTCAGTTTTCTTCATTGTAAAGTTACTTCCCTCCTCACTTTTTCATACTGTACTCTTTGGACAGGAGTCATATGCATAGCCTACCCATAATGAGTGGGGTGTGGCCTTCTACCTCCTTCAGGGCAGACTATTGATATATATTATTTAGAGGTCTGCATGTGAATTTTTTCTGTTCTCCTCCATTTATTTAGTAATGCAATCATTTATTTATATCAGGAAGGACACAGATATTTATTCCATACTAGGGCTGTAATCCGTCTCTTCTTGATTTATTTCATTGCTTGGATTGTTCCAGCTTCGGGTATTATAGATCTTTCACTTAGTTCCTGTACCCCCTTGACATATCTCCATCGTTGTGTGAGTGCTATTTGTGTGGGGAGGAAAGGCATATCTGTACTTTCTGGCACTGTAAGATGGTCCAGGCTCAACTTGCATATTTTCTGCCTCAGTCCTAGCATCAGCCATTTATCCAAGAAATACTGGTTCTTTTTATTGGAGAATGGCATTAGAAATCAAGATCTGGGCAGTAGATGTACTCATTGATTCTAGGCTCACTCATCTGACAAAACAAGAAAATACATACATGGAAGCTAACCCATGTGCACATACTTATAAATATTACTGTATGTAACCATCTGTATTAGTCAGGGTTCCCTAGAGGGACAGAACTAATAGGAGATCTATATAAAGAGGAGTTTATTAAGTATTAACTTACATAATCACAAGCTCCCACAATAGTCTGTCTGCAAGCTTGAGGAGCAAGGAGACCCAGTCCGAGTCTCAAAACTGAAGAACTTGGAGTCCGATGTTTGAGGGCAGGAAGCATCCAGCACGGGAGAAAGATGTAGGCTGGGAGGCTAGGCCAGTCTCGCCTTTTTACACTTTTCTGCCTGCTTTATATTTGCTGGCAGCTGATTAGATTGTGCCCACCAGATTAAGGGTGGGTCTGCCTTCCCAGTCCACTGACTCATATGTTAATCTCCTTTGGCAACACCCACATAGATATACCCAGGATCAATACTTTACATCCTTCAATCCAATCAAGTTGACACTCAGTATTCACCACCACACCATCTGCATCTATATGAAGCTAAACCATGAGTTCATACTGATATTTGTATCTCTACCCATGACAACAAGGAACATTTCTTTGCTTATATGAAACTGCTTCCTTCAGCACTGAGAAACCTGGTTCTCACTATCACCATCCATTTATTTAATTGTTTAACTCCAGTATAACTATGTAGTGGTTTTAGACTTAACCTCTACCCCCGGGCAACAAATCTATCAGAGTAGTGTATACTACAGAGTAGTACAGTATAAGAGTGCAGCAGACAACTAAAGTGTACAGTACAGTGCTTATGAAAAATTTATTGGCCTTTAGTCTTACAGACTCCATTCATTTCCAAAGTTACCTAGGTTGGCATTTTTTCCCCTAGTCCTTCAGTGAGATTGCTTCATATATTTTAATACTATAATAACTAATCATAGTTTTGTGCTTTGTATATATCCGTATTATGCTTCTCCTATGGTTCTTCCTTTATTTTCTATTCTGTTGTTGTTTTCATTAGAATTTTGTTTTGTTATATGCCTGCTGATTTTTCTTTGTAAGTTAAACACTGCATATGAAATTTTTAGGCATAATTTGAGCTTCTGAATAGTGTTAACTGTCTCCAGAGAGGAATTACTTTTTCATCTGGCAGGCAGATGACAAACCTAATTAATACAATCAGCATTTGAAATTATTACAGCTGGCCTTTGCTCACTGGTTTATTTTCGGTTCAACTTTAATGATATATCATAGCCTTTTGGGTTGCCAAGCCTCAGTTATCTATCAGAACTCTTACTGGCAGGTATGATTTCCATTTTTTAAATCCTGATCTCCAACCCCATGAGCCTACAAAGATTTCCACTCAGATTTTCAACCTCTCACTAACAACTTTTAAATTACCAAATAACATTGGTAGAAAAGCAACATTCAATGTCATGTTTCTTTCTTTTACTTCAAATTTCTTGTAGATATTGGCTCAAAATAATCTTATTGCCCAGGTAACTCTCAGATGGCTTCAATGAGATGGTTTTAAACTTTTTTTAGCTGTTCTAGTTCTCTCAATGCAGGATTATTGCATACGACTTATCTCATCATGCCTAGAATATAAAGCATTTTCCAATCCCTGTATCTCTACCCTTACATCTGGAATGACTTGTCCTCTTCCAGAGCAATACTCTTAGATGAAATATGCAGTTATTTGGCCTTCTGGATTTATGAGTGAATAAGTCTAATATGGATTCTGTATTTAGATAAGCCAAGGTGGGTTTTCAGTGCCTCTTTTTCCTTACAGATGAAAAAATGTCTGAGATCCAGTTTATCAGATTTGGTAAATGCCATCAGGAAAAAATTGGATTCATTTTCCTCCATAGTTCTCTAGGCTCCAACTTTAACCAAACAAACTCTCAATATCTATTATTTCTTTAATAATTTGATAAAAATTTTTATCTCTGTATGAGTAGCCATACTTATATTAATGGAAAGAGAAGAGCTTCCTAAATATTTTTTTTATTTTGTATTTTCCCTTTTCATTATAAAAAAAGGTGAAGATTTACTGCTATTTAACAGAATCTTTCATATTTTTTTTTCTCAAAGCTGTTATTCTCTGATCCCTTTTTAAACTTCTCTGTTAAATACCACTTAGTTTTTCCTTATTTTAAATGGTCTCTAACCCGGACTTTTTATCACATCATACAGATGCAATTTCTTCTTAAATATCATTGAGAATAACAAATATTTTAAAATGCCTTTTGTCCATTTTATTACATTTTATAAGAAGATAATTTTAGAGTTTAAAATAAAGTCCATTTATTTTTAATTAGGGTATGTTTTCATATGTTTAGTGAGACTTTTTAAATGATCATTTTTAAGGAGTTTCTCCTTCAGTAGAAAACTGAGATAATTTCTGTCAGATTGCTTGTACTTTTGTTTTAGTATGTTCACATACTTCGGTCGTAACAAAACAAAGTGAAAACATTTAGATTCCTCATACTATTACATTGCTAATTAAGAAACACAGTGGCTTGTTGGGAATAGAGTGGAGGCCAATATTAGCTTGGCTTTTGTGTCAAATAGCTTTGTATTTTGCATTTTGTGTGGTAGCAAGATATCATTGTGGCATTTTCCATTCATGCCAAATATAAACTTGTACAAAGCTACCACAGAAGCCAAATGTTGTGTGACTGCCTTTGTCAGGACTGCTTACCAAAGGTGCTAGAGGGAATTGTATATACCGCACATATCCCACAAACTGTCCTTGATTCTAGTTTTCATTAACTGATAAAGTTTCTAAGTGAAGCTCTTCCGGTGTCCTCCCACTTACTTTCATGTGGTGTGTTCCTTTGCATTGTTAGAGAGGAAATTAGAGTTCTTTTCCCCGATGTGGTTATTTCTAGCAGAAATTTATCAATGTTCTATTCTGTGGATATTTATTTATATTGAAGTTTTAAGACTTCTAATTTTAATGAGTTTTTTTTTTTTGTTTGTTTTTTGGAAGGGCAGTAAAATTAGATAAGTGAGCTCAGGTTCCATCTTTCCTAAAACTATTCCTTTTTTTTTTTTTTTTTTTTTTTAGCACTGTTTTTCTTCAAACTGAAGATTTAACGGTATCAAACTAACACAGGGTAGTGTTTTTTGAAGGAAATTAGATGTCATCATTTCCACTTTTATTAACTTAGACATTTTATTTTATACTTATGTAAAGAGTTATTTTAAATGTACCTATACATACATAGACACACATGTAATCATATGTTATTTGCATACATTAAGCAAAACAAATTAGCCAACATCTCCCTAACCCTCTCCTCCTGAAATTAATGTTATTTTTAACATTTCTAAACATTCTGAGATTAATTCTTAATGTCTTTGTGGGTCAGATGCATGGTGACTTGGTTAAATATTTGATACTCTCTACTCGCATCCACCAGAATAGTTATTTGTCTAACCTTCACAGCTGGTGTTCTTCAATTTTTATCCCTACCTTTACTATTTTTCCACAGACACTGGGGCTTATCTTGCATAATTGCCAAGGGTACTTGGAGAACTGGATTCCAGTTTGCCTCACAGCTTTCTACTGCTGATAGTGTGCCCATCATGATGCCTTCACCATCAGCCAATGTAGAAGAGTATAGTAAGGTTTGCAGACCTCCTACTATGAAGTTTTTGTTTATAGTATATATCCCGGAGTCTAGACTATACTTATTAAAGCAGAATGCCTTGTACAATGGTTCAGAAATCTAACTATTTGCCAAGCTTACTGGGTCATAATTATGAACACTGATGTTTGAAACACACTGCCATGATAATTACGAGCAAAAATCTTGGAATCAGGAAGATATGGGCTCTAATACAACCCTACTTACTAGATGTAGGATAATGGCAATTGACTGAACATGTGAGGTTCAATTTACACATCCGAAAAATGGACTTAATAATGTATTATATATTAAATGTGAGGATATATTGAAGTAATATTTATCAATTTCTTAGTACAATTTCTGGAATATTCTATATTTCATCAACTCTAAGATGTCATTGATTTTAAGAAGTGTGATTATTTAATGTATAGTGGAAAGAAGGGGAAATGTTGGCAGTTACACTGTAACGAAGTACTTTCCAATTGCTTAGACATTTTATTTTATACTTGCTTCAAGAGTTCTTTAAAACTTACATATTATCACATAACATGAGATGTCATCAATATTAAAAGAGAATATAAGCAAAACAAATTGATGAAGTCATTTTCTAAAACTTCTACACATTCTGAGATTGACTTTTCTTAACATCTTTGTAACTCAGAATTTCATCTTCTCTTCTACCAGCATTGTGGTGTAAACATTACTAAAAAGAGTGTTCAACTGTTACCTCTAAGTATTTATTTTTCTAGCCAGTGTTTTGAAATTTTTACTTTTTCAGTTTGGGTGCTAAAAATCAAGTACAATTATTTTATCAGAATATTGTCAACAGAAGATTTTCAAATTATAACTATGACTAACATGCTTTCTTCAAATTTCTTATGAAATGACCTTTATACAACTTTAACAAATTTAAGTAATTTAAATTGTCTAGTCAAACTCAAAGGAATAACCAACAAGATCACTCATGTAAAATTGACAAATGTATCACAACTGTGTGTGGCTGAAAGTAACTAAAATATTTATTTTAAGAGTCAGCTCAGATGCAGATACTACAATGCGGGGGAAACGTGCATTATTATTTTTTTAAAATCAATGAAAGGCAACAGTATGTGTTCAGGAAAATAAGAGGCAGATGGCACCTGCTCATTTTCTATTGAATGTCATATTGTGGTCATCTCTCACACCATATGTTTGACCTATTTTGGGCATTTGAGTCTTGATTATTAACTTTGTAGAAGTGTCTAATTTCCATGCACCATAGTTCCTGTGAGGTTGTGTATCTGAAGCCCAGAACTTTGCACTTAGCACACTCTCATCAATGTTCGAGTCTGTTCTTTGCCACATGCTGCTGAGACTCTCCCTGAGTGTCTTGTTTCCAGGTCACAACCATTCCTAGAGTGGTCTCCACCAGCTTCCATAATCCACTTTTGGAAGAAGAGTAGAAGTGGAAGTGGAAGTGCGTGTGCGGGTTTCTGAACTCCACCCAGAGATGGATTTTGTTTCCATAAGTATATTATGAACTATGGAATAGGATATGAAAATATCAATATAACAAGGCATTTCTTTCTTTATCTTTTTTCCCCCAGGAATTCTGTATTTGCTGCTTCAGGATACTGGAAATCTGTATGAGCATTTGGACCTTTTATGAATCTGGGTTTTGGGTTCCAAATTTAGCTAGAGGATTTAATATAAGGTGAAGATTGTATACAAATGTCATTTTCTTCTTCTGCTTAATGAGCAGTATGATATATGTGGTAATCATTTTACTAAAACTGGGAGATGTGTTTCTGTTGGCCCTTATGTTATTTCTACACTTTTTTTCTACAGATTAAGATAATCAGAGTTATTTAAATTGACTTTCAAAGTCCTTAGTAATCTAGCTTCACATTAATTATTCAACTCTCTCTCCTTATGCTCCCTACTGAAGTCCTCTGCTCCAGTCAGGCTGATCTTCTCATGGTTGTCTGAACACACCATGAGCATTACTGCCTTCTCACCTTTACTCTTCAAACATCCCTTCAACTAAAGCAAACCATTCTCTCCTTTCATCCTTGAGTATTGCCTTTATTATAACATCTTCTTTTGCCATTCTAAATCACTCTTATACTTCTCTTCTTTAATTCATTCAACAAATATTTCTTGAGTACATATTACTACCAGCCTAGTGAAGAATACAAATCAAGCCTCTGCCATTAGGGAAAAATATAGGCTGTGGAAATCATCAAGTAAGAAACATGCAATATTTATTTTTAGATACGGTAGTTATGCTAAGGGAAATTATAATTATAAATGTAGTTTAATAGGCTTTGTCAATAACCTTCAATTCCAATCTATGATGCATTTAAATATAGTGCATTAGACTTTTATTTATTTATTTATAGCTTGTCTCCTTAATTAAAGATGAAATCAAAGAGGCTCAATTCACTGATATTTGCAGTGGAATTGTGACAGTATGGAGAAGAAGTAAAAATGCTTTTTAAGCTTTGCTCCTTTTTCTCACAAAGTGGCTTGCAATGGCCAGGTATGTAAACACATTAAAACCTCACAGTAACACAGATGCCTGTCCCCTTAATTGGCCCTTGTGTTTCTCTGCCCCTGCTATTTAACAGGGGAGTGGGGTGAACATTCTTAGGTTCTGCTTGGGGTTGAGTAAGAGCAGGGGTGTCACGAGGGAAAAGATGAGACTTGATTCTTGCCAGAAAACTGACCACCAACTCAGTCTCAGAGAGTGAACAGACAGAGGACAGATTCCTATGTCCTCAGTGTCCTGGAAGCCCAAGGACCCCACTGGTTGGGAGAGTCTTAGTACTGAAACCATAGTTCAGAAAGGCCTAGCTAGCCATAGAACCAAAAAATCTTCCCAGAATATTTAAGATGGAGTAGAAAAATTCCATCAGGTAGTGACAAATGGTAGCTAGGAAACAATAGATGATGAAACAGAGAAAATGGACCCTAACGTTTATGACAATATGCGCTAATATGTTATTCTAGAATTGTATTGAATGTCAAGATTGCAGTAGAGTTTTACCTTCTATTTTTAAGATTAAAGATATTGATAACATTTTTTCTATAGGTTTAATAAATATCTGATATTTTTGTCATGTGCATAGTATTAACTTGTAATTCTGTAGATATCAAAGCTTTTAGCCTAATGTTTATATAATTTTGTAAAACATTTCACCTTCTTTTTCATGCTTATGAAAGTAAACATTAGCAGTGAATTCAGCACTTAAGATTTAAAAATGTATCTTATACTCTTGCCTTCTTAATGACCTCTGTAAATAACTTTGGATAAAATCTATGGGACAGTTTCTAGGGTTTTTTTCCCATTGTCTACTGACACCTGTGGAGTTCCCATCTGAATGTGAAAATCTGTAGCAGCTAGAGTTATGTGGCTCCACAGGACATGATAATGGGCTAGTTGGAATTGGAAATAAACTGTATTTTCAAATGTTTTAAAACACCACACTGTTCTTTCTATAAACAATTGAAACCTCAAGTCTTCTCCTGCTCCTGCTCTTTGGAAAGTAAAAATCAGATGTTACTTCTGGCAAATTACTTTGTTCTTTCTTAATCATGAGGTCATCATTTCCCCCTTATTCATTATACTTTCAATTCCAACAGGTGTATTCTTTTGAAAATGCTGTATCATGTGTTATATCCGCCTGTGAAAAGAGATATGTGATCAAAATAACTGGAACATAAAATTATACTCAACTCCTATAATGAGTGACGAATACTGCCAGTCGCCTGAAAAAAAAAAAAAAAGTGTTGGATTTCACAGTCAGCAGGGGCGTTATTAATCAAATATCCTAATTGTTTTCTCCCTGTTGTTTTTCTATTTCCTTATATTTCTATCAATTCAGACTTAGGGATTTTGGCTCTAGATTCCAGCCCATTTTTCCCATTGGAAGTTTTCAGAGATCTATGGGTATAGCAGGATTTGGCTAAGTGGTTGAGCTCATTAACACTGCCTGCTTACTGTGGAGACTAAAAGGAATGGGAACATGAATTGAAATCGAACTGACAGAGGCTGAACTGAAACTCTGGCTTACATATGTGAAAAGCAGAGAGTGTTGCTCCATAGACTTTTCCAGTAGAAGTTCTGAACCGTCAGTGTCTTTTGTTTTCAAAGATGCCAATCTACAAAGTGACAATATTTACTAGTACTGAAAATAGACATCAGATACCCCCATAGAGATTAATATAATATATACTAAGAGCTCTTTAAGGTTTAAATTGATTCATTCTATATGGAAGATTATATATGACTTTTGTTATGGGCTGAATGTTTGTGTCCCTCCAAAATTCTTACGTTGAAACCTACTTTCCAATATGAGGGTATTTGAAGGTGGGGCCTTTGGGAGAAGATTAGGTCATGATAGAGGAGGCTTCATAAATAGGATTAGTGCGCTTTTAAAATAGGCCCCGGAGAGCCCCTTCTGCCGTGGGAGGACACAGCAAGAAAGCACCACCAATGAATCTCAAAGTGTGCTCTTATATGACACCAAATCTACTGGCACCTTGATTTTAGACTTAGCAGCCTCCAAAATTATGAGAAATAAATTATTATAGCTTATAACCTTCCCAGTTTATCCTGTTTTATTAGTAGTAGCCCAAACTGACAAAGATACTACTATTGCTATTTGCACATTACAGTTATAAATTATGAATTTATTCCTTCTGGATAAATAGTCCCTATCTGTATCTCATTTTACTCATTATTATAATGAGATTCTGTGTTATACTTTTATATCACACTACTTGTAAGTTAACTTTATCTATTTTAGACAAGCATAGGTTTTCCACCCTGAAAAACGAAGGTGTTTAACCAGCCACGCTGCTTGCCACCCACTCCCTTCTGTACTTTGTCTTTCTGTCTTTGGCGGTGCTCACTACTTCCTTTTTCATTTTAACTATTTGAAAATGAGGCTGTGCTTTACTCTAACACTTGATGTCTAAATAAATCCCCAACTTTAGCATGCCATGATTATATTGATATATTTTGTGATCAATGACAAAAAAAATTAAAGCTAACATTTTTCTGTACGTTGCTTCAAAAGGGTGCTTCCATGTGATGTAAATGAATAAAATAAGGAGCTTTGTACTTCTGTTAAAAAATAATTTTCTGCAGCCATAAAAAAGAACCAAATCATGTCTTTGCAGCAACATGGATGCAGCTGGAGGCCATTATTCTAAGCAAATTAATGCAGAAACAGAAAACCAAATGCTGCATATTCTCACTTGTAAGTGGGAGCTAAACCTTTGGTACAATGGACATAAAGATGGGAACAACAGACACGGGTTTCCAAAAGGGGGAAGGGTGGGAGAGAGGGAATGGGTGCAAAACTACCTCTTGGGTACTATGTTTGTTGCTTGGGCAATGAGATTGTTAGAAACCCAAACCTTGGCATCATGCAATATGCTCATGTAACAAACCTGGACATGTAGTCCTTGAATCTAAAATTTAAAAACTTTTTCAACATTTTAAACATATTTTTACACAGAACACATATCTTTATGTAAACAGAGTCTATACATCTTCATGCAAATGGGTTTTTAATCCTAATTACAAACAATTTTATGTAAAATATTTTTAAAGGAATTTTAGTTTGGCGAAAGAATTATGTTGAAGACAAACATTTAAAAAGATTTGAAGATGGAAAGAATTGATATATCACCTGTGTAAGTCTCTAACTTTTTCACCTACGTAATTTGTTTGGGGATGAAAACAGGGTCTTTATTTTTGAGGAATTATGATACTGGAAAAAGGACAAAACAGAAACTTAGGAGACCTGAGTGTGAATCCTAGCACCACCACTTATTAACTGGATGTACTTGTAAAAGGAAACATTTTCTGCCCAACTGCCCTGACAGGATAATTGTAAGGATCAAATATGTATAAAAGTATGTTATAAATTATGAAGTCCTATCTAAGTCTAATTTATTAATATTTATTGCTGGATCCCTGAGTTACAAAGTGAGCCTTATTTATAGGAGATGGACAGTGAATTATTTTTAATTAAATGTTTTTAAATTGCAAAGTGATATATGCTCCTTGGAAGAATAGAAGCAATGCAATAATAAATAAAGACAAAATTAATAATTTTCCTGTATACTCCTTTCATAACTCTCACAGATAAGCAATATTACAAAGCCCAGGATGTAATTTTCTACAATTTTATCCATGCTCACATAAATTATGTGACTATTAAAAGGGTTAACTCTTTGTTTTAAATTTGATAATTTTGCTTGTTTTTCCTAATTATTCTGCTACTTAGGCACATTTATGTTTTTCTGCAATTGTTATTTCACTTAATTTTTACTTAAAAGTATAAGATAGTTTGTGTATACTTTGTGTAATCTCCACAGATGAAAGCTGGAAAATCTAACACATTAAAAAAAAATAACTTGATTTTGATTTGCATTTCTCTGACGGCCGGTGATGATGAGCATTTCTTCACGTGTCTTTTGGCTGCATAAACATCTTCTTTTGAGAAGTGTCTGTTCATATCCTTTGCCCACTTTTTGATGGAGTTATTTGATTTTTTTCTTGTAAATTTGTTTAAGTTCTTTGTAGATTCTGGATATTAGCCCTTTGTCAGATGGGTAGATTGTAAAAATTTTCTCCCATTCTGTAGGTTGCCAGTTCACTCTGATGGTAGTTTCTTTTGTTGTGCAGAAGCTCTTTAGTTTAATTAGATCCCATTTGTCTATTTTGGCTTTTGTTGCCATTGCTTTTGGTGTTTTAGTCATGGAGTCCTTGCCCACGCCTAGGTCCTGAATGGTATTGCCTAGGTTTTCTTCTAGGGTTTTCATGGTTTTAGGTCTAACATTTAAGTCTTTAATCCATCTTGAATTAATTTTTGTAACCCAGCCATCCCTTTACAGGATATATACCCAAAGGTTTGTAAATCATGCTGCTATAAAGACACATGCACACGTATGTTTATTGTGGCACTATTCACAATAGCAAAGACTTGGAACCAACCCAAATGTCCATCAATGATAGACTGGATTAAGAAAAAATGGCACATATACACCATGGAATACTATGCAGCCATAAAAAAGGATGAGTTCATGTCCTTTGTAGGGACATGGATGAAGCTGGAAACTATCATTCTGAGCAAACTATCACAAGGACAGAAAACCAAATACTGCATGTTCTCACTCATAGGTGGGAATTGAACAATGAGAATACTAGGACACAGGAAGGGGAACATCACACACCGGGGCCTGTCATGGGGTTCGGGGACGAGGGAGGGATAGCATTAGGAGATATATCTAATGTAAATGACTAGTTAATGGGTGCGGCACACCAACATGGCACATGTATACATATGTAATAAACCTGCACGCTGTGCACATGTACCCTAGAACTTAAAGTATAATTTAAACAAAATAATAATAATAAAAATAAATAAATAAATAACTTGATAAGTTTCATATGATGAGAGTACCATAAGTTATTCAACTAGTCCTTTATTAATATACATTTATGCTGTTTTCAATATTTTATCATTGTAAAATATTCTAAATAACCTTTCTTCTGTAGCAAAGTCTTAATTTCTGTTGGATAGACCCATAAAAATGGGTCAAAAATGTGCATTTTTTAACTATAAAAGATAATATTAGGTAAGTTGATGAATTCACACTCGTAACAGCCATGAAATTTTTGTCTGGCTAGTCTTAGAGACTGAAAAAAGTAATCATTATGCATAGATTGTCTTTTACTGAATTATGAATTATGTTGTGCTTATTTTCATATGCTTGTTTACTATTAGACTTTGTTTTATTCTTGGTGAATCAAGAAAAATATCTGTGGTTTATATTTTACTTGTGTATTTGTATAAAATAATAACTATGACAATATCAATAATCTTGATATTTTTATATTGTTGAAGGATCTTACAAGACTTAATAATGTGATAGCCTTTAATATATTATGCATAAGCTTAGTTTCAGCCAGAGCAATTATCTAGAGCAGTGCTGTCCAGTAGAACTTTCTGCTCTGATAGAAACATTCTATATCTGCACCGTCCAATGTGGTAGCCATGAGCCTTTGAAATGGAGCTAGTGTAACTGAAAAACTAAAATGTTAATGTTATTTAATTTCAATTAATTTATGTTAAATTTAAATAACCACATTACTAGTGGCTACCTTAATAGAGAAGGTAGGTCTACATATTTTTCCTGTGTTTAGGACTGATTTCCTGGGGAAAAAATGTGTGTGTGTGTTTTTTTAACTTGAGTGTTTAAAATATAGCAAAATGGTTGTTTTGCATGGACAATGTATACATGTTACTGAAGAACTATAGTAATTCAACACAATCAGCCAATGTTGAATGCAATGCTATTCTTTTTTATATACATTTTTCATTCAATACTATGTATTTTTATGTAATGTCTTATGTTTATTTCTAATTAGGAGGAAACATTATATTTCATCTGAATTCTATCTCATGATTTTATAAACACAGGAATTTAATAAAATACTTTTCATAAAAGGAAAGTATTCCACTACTCTTCTTGAAGTTTGAATTTCATACAATTAGTTCATGAAATGATTCTTTTTCTCTCTGTCTGATTTGATATCAGACTAAGTCCCATCTAATCATGAGGTTTCAAAGCAACTACTTAGAAGAAGGATTTTTTTTTATTTTACTATTTTTTTTCATTGCGGAAAGGAAAGTCAAGAAGAGTTCTGCTTGTTTCTGACACTAATCTGGCCATCCCAGTTTCTAAATCCTACCAGTGTAATATGCAGATATTGGTGCCTTGAGTAACAGAGAGTGTAATCCTGTTACAGTCTTAGATTTCTCTGAGTCTTTAGAAATTCTGATTAGCCTTGGTAATCACCTATTTTTTTCCTTGGATATTATTAGTATTTTTGGTGGTTTCTCATCCTTCCATGTGAGAAAATACGATTTTGACTACAGCTATTTCCAGGATTCTCTTCTGTCGGAGAACTATCACACCATAATTTCTTTTACTTCAATCTGAGTTTGAGATTTTGTAAGAATATCTAGATACATATTTTATTAAACAGCCATTACATTAAAATTTATCTATTTGAAAAGTGAATTCACATTAAAACTTAAATGTTTGCAGTATCTGTTCTATTCTGCTTCATTTATCATCGAACACCTTGCAAAATAAGTATAAATGAATTCCTATTTTAATTCCAATTATATATAGGTAATAGAATCATGAACTTTCCAAGTGTGCTCAAATCCAGTTAATAATTTTTATGGTGAAATGAAGACTATGGCATACATAAGATCACATCCAAGATTTTTCCTCAATTCCATGACATGTGAAAAATATGGCATTGGGGGCATACCTTCCTTAGCTAGCTATCATTTCCCAACGTGGATCATATTTTTTTCATTTGTAAAAATCCATCTGATTACCCTAAGTTCTGTACTGTTGAAACAATTAAATGAGATATGTTATATGCCGATGGTAGAAACATGTCTACCAATCAATTCAGCTATTGGCTTATAAATGGTACTTTTGTTTGTTTCTTTCCCTTTTCTGTTAGTTTCATCATAATAAGGTATTGATACTACCTATAGTTTATTCACAAAATCACTTAAAAATTTGGTAAGGTTAAGAAATGAGGGGAAAAAAGGTCTTTAAAGATCAAATTTACCTGAAATTGAATTGCAATGATACCAAACCCCTGCAATATAACCATGTATCGCTTAGTAACTTCTTGAGCATCCATACATTCATTCTTTATATTTAAAACAACGCAGTGGGTTAGATCATTAAATTAGATGGTGCAGATGTTCATGGAGTCTGGCACCTACCAATATGCTCTATACACTATTTCCCTTCTTCCTCTCTTAGGCAAGGCATTTTGGAGAGTGAAATAAAGAAGCTGATGCTTAGTTTGCCTCTAAAGAATAATATAAGCTATTATTTGAACAAGAAAAATGTAAAACTACAAGTGGGAATCTTTTTAAGCCTGAGATTAGGTTTAATTTAAGAATATGAAGAAATCTAGTTGTTTGAACATAAAAGCTTTTCTTTGTTCATACTGTATGTGCTTCTCTTTTTTATGTTTTACAACAAAGCTGAGTTTAAAAAATTATCTACTTGATGACTAAGCAAATTGAAACAAGCTTTCTAACATAAGTATAATTTTTACTTTATTTATAAAAGGCAGATTGTGTTGGATTCCTGCCATTCATTCAGTTTTAAAAAATGACCTCTCTTACTGTCAAATATAAATTCTAAAATGTAAATATTGTTATTTGTTTAAAATTATGTAATAAGTTTTGATAATTATAAATAATCACGAAGCATGACTAGGATAGATTATCACAATGTCCCTATTGTTATGATTTCTTTTAAATATATCTCCTTTGACAATATATTTTATGAAAATTTCTGCCAGTAGCTAAAACTCTTGATATTCCAAAAATAAATAAATAAAATATTAGGTTAGCTTGTGGTCTTTCAAAGTGACTACCCAGCTACCATAATTTTCCATCTTCTTTTACAAAAGTATAAATAAAATTAAAGTGTGCCTGATAGTTTATAAATATATAAAAAAGAAAGCTTTGGTAGTATTTCAACATATCTAACTTAGATATATTTTGGGATCAATATAAATTCCTATTAAACATTTTTCAAGAAAACATAAAAAGTTTAAATCAGAATAATAATAAAAAGATTAAATTAACCTTTTTACTGATAATGTATTGTGGAAGATTAAGGATAACTGTGAATGTACTGGCACTTCCCATCAGGGATTAGAGGTTACTTCCCCTACTACCTTAACAAATAGAGCATGGTAGAAGTGATATTATGCTGGTTCTGGTCTTAACCTTTAACAGAACAGACAGATTCCACCTCAGTCTCTTGGGGCCCTAGGACACCATGTAAGAAGTCCAGTGAGCTTGTTGGAGAGGCCATATGGAAAGTCCCTGAAGCTCAGTAGAGAAAGAAAATGACCGAGCTGAGTCCAACCTTCCAGCCATCTATGCCAAGAAATAGGCCATCTAGGTGAAGTTGTCTTAGACTCTCTAGACCTACCATTCACCAGCTAAATACCATAGATGACCTTGTGTTTTTTTTCTGTTACTTATAACAGAATACCTGAAACTAGGCTATTTTAGAAAATAAAGAAAAGGAATATCTCACAGTTATGGAGGCTGAAAAGTCCAAGATCAAATGGCTACATCTGATGAGGGGCTTTGCACTGATGGGGACTCTCTGCAGGGTGAATCAGCTCAAGAAATCACATGATGAAGTGGCTGATCATGAATGCATGAATCCATTAGTCCATGAATGAATTCAAACATTTATGAGGGCAGAGTCCCTATGGCTCAATCACCTCCTGGAAGCCCTGTCTCTCAATAATGCCCCACTGGGGACTAGGTTTTAACATGAGTGTTGGAGTAGGCAAATATTCGAATCATAGCACTCAGCCCATGGCCCCCCAAAACTCATATTCTCAGATACAAATGCATCTATTCTATCCCCATATCCTCAAAGTCTTTACTCAAACTAATATCAACTCAAAAATTCAAAATCCAAATTCCTATCTCTTAAATGAAAAGTTACCTACTTCTAAGATGCAATGGTGAGACAGTCATAGTGTGCACACTCCCATTTGAAAAGTGAGAAATAGGCCATGTCGACCTAAAGGAAGAAACTGAGGCAAAAATAATATAAGTAGAGAGTTTAGTTGGGCCAACATATGCAGGCCGGATAATTTACCAGCTAGTATAGAAACCACAGAGAAGGAAAGAAAAAGTAAAATACCTTTAAATAATTACCCCCAGGCATGGCTGCAAGGGAGGTGATCAAAGTCTCAGGCTCATGTCTCTCTGAGCCTCACATTCCTTAAACTGCTCTGAGTCACTTTTCTTTCTCAGCTAAAAGAAAGAGGTAACAGTCCCCACGCAAGTACCTATTGGAGTGGAAGGTAGAGCCACACCTGAGGCCCCTTGAGCCGCCCTTGCGGGGCTGAGGAGTACTACACTGAAATGCAGGGAGGAGAGATCTGATGGGACTCCAGGCAGCAAGCTCATGGTGGGTATGCTGGGTCTGTCCTCTGGAACCCTTCTGCCTTCCTAGGCCTCAAAGCCTGTGATGGAGGGGCAGCCTGGAAGATCACTGAAATACCTTCAGCATTTTTCTTCCGTTCTCTTGATGATCCTTTCTCTCTATACAAATCTCCATAGCAAAAGGTCTCTGGACCACATCCTTGTTTTTCTCTGCTGAACATGCTTTTTCACTCTTCACATGATGAAGCCAGGCTGAGAGTTTTTCAAATCTTTCCGCTTTGCTTCTCTTTTGAGTGTAAATTCTGTCTTTAAGTCAGTGTTTCCCTCTCACAATTTAATGTAGCAGTTAAAAGTAGCCATGTAGCAGCCTGAATGCTTTGCTGCTTAGGTATTTCTTCTGCCACATATTCTAATTCATTGCACCTAAGTTCTGCTTTCCATAAAGCACTGCATTCCACACAATGCAGCCAGGTTCTTTGCCAATTTATAACAAGGATGGCTTTTACTCCAGCTTCTAATACCTTATTCCCCAATTCCATCTGAAATCTCATCAGAATGGCCTTTACTATCCACATTTCTATCTGCATTCTAGTCACAACCACTTAACCAATCCAGAGTTCCAAATATTTCCTAGTCTTCTGGTTTTCTAAGTCCTCACCAGAATCTAGGCTTTTCCTAGCCTGCTCCTCCAAATGATTCCAGCTTCTACTCATTACCCAGTTTCAAAGCCACTTCCAGATTTTCAAGTATTTATTATCAGTAACACACCACCACTCAGCATCAATTTTCTGTCTTAGATTGTTTTTTGTTGCCTATAACAGAATACTTGAAACTGAGTAATTTACACAGAAAATAAATTTGTGTTTTTATGGTTATGGAGGATAAGTTCAAGGTCGAGGGGCAACATATGATGAGAGCATTCTTGCTGGTGGGGACTCTTTGCGAGTCCTGAGGCAGCACAAGACATCACATGGCTAGGGGCCTGAGCACCCTAGCTTAAGTTTCTCTTCATTTTCTTATAAAGCCACCAGTCACATTCCCATGATAACCCATTAATCCATTAACCTATAGTCCATAAATTTATTAGTCCATGAATAGACTAATTCATTCATAAGGACAGACCCCTCATGACTCAATGATCTCTTAAGGGCCCCACCTCTCAATACTGCAATTTTGGATATTAAGCTTCAACATGAGATTTGGAGGGGACGATATTCAAACCAAAGCAGACTCCGTTAAATGTTAGATGGAACAGAAGAACAGCCCATCTGAGCCCTGATCAAATTCCTGACCCATAAAATGATGAAATATAATAACATGATTTTTGTTCTCAGACACTAAGTTATACAGTAGCTATTGCACTATAATAAATTAGAAAACATGTAGAGGTAAAGGACAAGAGTTTCTTTCTAGTTGTATTTAAACACACCACTGTTTCGTTGGTTTTACAGATACTAATTGTTAATATAGTAATTGCAAAATAATTTATTCAAACTTGTTCATTTGGGCTGATTAACTGGCCAAGGGTGAGTTTTCTTTGCAATAATTATTTATCATTACTGTCTTTATTTATAGGAATAACCTGCTGTAAAAATTATAAGATAATACAGAAAAACAGAAAATTTAAGGAAGTAGCATACTGTATTTAGAGAAAAGATTGCTGGGCTCTTGTTATGGTTTGAATGTATTTTGTCTCCTCTAAAATTTATGTGTTGGAATCTCAATCTGCAATGCAATAGTGTTAGGAGGTGAGACCTTTTGGGAGGTGTTTAAGTCATTAGGGCAACACTCTTATGAATGGATTAATGCTACAAAATGGGCTAGAGAGAATGGGTTCTCTCTCTTCTGCTTTTGTATGTGAGGACTCAGTCCTCTCTTGCCATTCCACCTCTTGCCATGTGAGGATGTCACAAGAAGGTCATTATCAGATATTGGTGATTTGATCTTGAACTTCTTAATCTTTAGAACTATGACAGGATAAGTTTCTGTTCTTTATAAATTACCCTGTCTCAGATATTTTGTTATAGCCACACAAAACAGACTAGGACAGCTGTTTATCAAAACATCTGAGATAAAAGATTTACTTTTTATTAGCTTGAAAAATTTGATCAAGTCTCTACCTTTATAGGTCTTAATTTCTTCATCTATAAAATGAACTTATTACATTGCCTGTGCCTAAGGTAGCTTCCAACTCTATTTGAAAAAATCTCTAAATTTTGGCTGTGTCATTAATTTACAAATGTTTGGAAATTTTACAATTAAAATAGTTCCAAAACTTGGAGATTTTAGAGCAAATAACTTCCCTCCACACCACTAAGTACTGTAGCATTTTAAAAATTCTTGGCTTTCCTAACTATTTCATCCTCCTAAATGAAGGCTTGATTTTTTCCCAGTAAGAACCACTTTTACAGAAAGGAGTCAATACTACTGCTTGATCTTCAGGTGTTGAATTGTCAGGTAACTTGTAGCTTGGAGAGTGCTTACTCATATATCATTTATCACAATGACTGTATTTTCTCATGCCTCACGTGAACATTCCAGTGTATAAATAGTTTGCTTTTGCCTCTTAATTTGATGTCTTTTCTGCAATTGCCCTGCTTTGAAGTTACTGTGATAGCATCAAGTTATAAAATAATATTTGGATAATTTTAAATATAGTTAGCTATAGAAATTGTCTAACATAATTGGGCATGTGAGTTTGGGAAGGAATACTGTTAGTGCATGTGAATTTTACCTTTAGACTCATGTGAATCTGTTACACTGTGGATTTCACAGTAGCATTTCCTGTCTTCTTGCCTTCATTTAGGGTGACACTTTGATCAAAGGTGGTAAAGCATGAAATTATGACCAGATGTAAGAGTGTCACATGCTATTTCAAAGTCCCACTGCAGTTGGAAAATTTTCTGATTATCTGAACCCACCCACATGGGAATTAAAATTCAGTGTGCCTGACATTACAGCATGTTTTAACAAGAGCACAATTATATTCCTACCCTGTTCCAATATAGAGTTGCCTAGTCAGAATTGTTAGACAAGTCCATAGAGGATAGAAACTGTCACCAAGCATTAGCTCACATGGGAGAGTAAAATGAAGCCAACTATTTCTTCCTTTATAAGAATCACCAATTGTATGTTATTTAAAAATATGTGCTCCTAGGCCAGGAGGAAGCCCTGAGAATGTAAGAAAATCAGCCTATTTTCAAATTATATGGTGAAATCCATTACTATATATATATATATATATATATATATATATATATATATATATATATATAGCTATTTCCTCTTTGTCTTAAAAAAATTTCTAGGACATCTGCAGCAAACGTCACAGTCATAAAAATAAGACATTTTGAAAATATGACTGCACAATTACCAGCTTTATTTTTATCAAGAAAGGAAGCTTCTCTGTGAGGTTCATTTTTATTGAAAAATATTGATTGTGCACCTATTTCATGCCAGGCAATTTCTTGGGCTCTGGGGTACAAGAAATGCATAAATACAGTTCCTGCCTTCAAGTAACTCACAGATTAGCAAAAGAGACAGAAATGCAAATAAAATAAATTCCTTAGTCAGAAAGAAAAAAAGATAAGAAAATAAACAATTACAAACCAAAGGTTGTCTCCATAACAGGCTCAAACAAAGTGCCTAGTTTGAATAGCAACTGCAGAAAAGTTGTCTGCAAAAAATTAGTAATCTTTCCTAAAAATGTATTTGTTCTAAAAAGGTAAAAAGGTGTGCTAATTCACTAATTTATAATAGTTTCTGATTAATGTATATCTTTCCTCCAAATTCAGGGATCACTTATATTCACTAAACATATTTGACATAATTAACAACAACAACAAAATTCACTGTAGTCTTACTGATGTTTATTTGGTGTTTACGCTTAAAGGGAAAAAAAATAACAATTCTAATATAACCTGAGGACATAAAGCAATGGGAAAGGTAATGGGGAAGAAAAAAAGGGGTTTTCTTGAAGTGTCTCAGAGGCTCCATGGTGGAAAGGTAGAGGTGTGCAGAGATGTCTAAGTTTTTAATCTACTTCCAGCAGAGTGTCTCAGCATTCATCTGCATCAAATCTTGAGAATGAACAAAAGATTTATTTGAAGAGTCATACCGATTATTCCTCTGTACAATTTTAGTACTGTAAGGAGAGATTTCCATTTCTCTGGCAGTAAGAGCAGTTTAATCCCATTGAAAATTTGACCAAAATCTTTCACTTTACTTGTTTTGTTTTCTTTGAGTCTCATGGTTCCACTCATTTTTATGGTTAGAAGGATACCAAGTATTTTAAAGTTCTACTTTTTTTTTTCTTCCTTGGTTTTTCTCTCCCTTCAATTTGACTGATCCAAAAAATTTCTTCTGAGTTTATAAATATAACTCATTCCTGATAGTTAAATTTGATAAATCTCTCTCCTCCTATGGAATCATTGGATCCTCTTAACTTATCTTTTGTGAATACTTCTTCCTCAATATACCACTGAGGATCAAACAACAAATGAGAAAATAAAGAAAATTAGGTCTCAAAAGTACCATCATGTGATAGTCTGGGGGATCACATTTCGTGTTTTTAAGAAATGTTTAGTCTCATAAGGGAAACTGGTTAAACATGGATTAATGGATTACATGGTGTTTTGGTATCTCGATCCTGACTTGGGAAAAAGAGAAGTGAAAACGTGTAGGAACTTTAAAAGTGTTTGGAATGTACTTTTTGGAATGACATAGAGAAAAACCCCAAAGTCAGCAGATGTCTTTTTCCCATCTTCATTCTTGGTAAACTTACTAAACCAGGCAAAATAACACAGTTTAACCAAAAGAATTAGTCTTTACTTCTAAGGATATAGTCTTGGAGATAATCATAAGCCAATTATAAGTGAATTGTCAATTCTTCTCATGTGGCAAACTGCTTCTGAAACCAGAAGTGCAGAAGAGTCAACTGGGTGCTAGTCACAACACGACCTGGGAATGCGCTAAAAGTACACTTGTGTTTTAGAAGGATGCTTTGAGACTCACAAGTTGACTGCCTTTTTCCCTCCTCCCACCTCACCTAAGTTGTAGGCTTAGGCAGAATAAAGCCATGATTCATGTACAAGGAGAGGCATTAGCTATACATCCATTGTGGTCAAGATCCATCTTGAGGGAGGAAGTCTGAAATGTGGGAATATTCTGTTTAGTACTAAGGATGAGAGATTAAATGGGCAGTTTACAGATGCCAGTATTTCCTTATTTGTCCACTTAGTGCCATCAAAATAAACTCTGCTCCAAGATTCTACATGTTAATAGTGATTAACTTCTCTGTGTATTTTGGGGACATCTGGCATGCTTTATTACAGGATCAATTTTATTGAATTGGTCATTAGGTGCTGCTTTCTTTGAATATGTAGTAGACAGAGCAGTGACTTGAAATATTAGGTTAAATAAAAGAAAATACAATGGGGTCATTAAATCTGTTGATCTTAGAGTAAATATTTTCACTACACATATATTCTAAAAATATCACTTGGCTGAAGACAAACTTTCTGGTTAAGCATTTGTTTCATGTATACTATACATCAAAGCAGATAGTTTCTTTCATTCTCAAAAATGGGATAATACCTACCTAAGTACACAGTGCATTTTAAAAAGACATAAAACTGAGAATAAAATACCTGCTTCAAACAGTTGTTAATACAATGCTATGTACCTAGAATAAAAAATAATTTTTAGGAAGAAAGCTAAAACCATTATTTAAGAAGTAATTTCACTAGAAATTCTCATTTTCTCCTTCTACCCAGGTCTTATCAATGAAAGCACAAAGTAGCAGATTATTTTACTAAATGTTTTGGTTAGAACAATTCTGTGAAACTCTAGTCATGTAAACAAGACTTCTTGGATTTGGCACAGAAAGCCAATGAAGAGAAAGTAGAAAATTTAGTCAAACGATATATAATTGTATATGCTATGATTTGAAATCCATAAATCCATTATTCTGGATGGGATTTCCTTTTTTTTTTTTTTTTTTGAGATGAAGTCTCACTCGGTTGCCCAGGCTGGAGTGCAGTGGCAGGATCTCAGCTCACTGCAAGCTCTGCCTCCCGGGTTCGCGACATTCTCCTGCCTCAGCCTCCCAAGTAGCTGGGACTACAAGTGCCCGCCACCACGTCTGGCTAATTTTTTGTATTTTTTTTTAGTAGAGACAGGGTTTCACCGTGTTAGCCAGGATGGTCTCGATCTCCTGAACTTGTGATCCAACCGCCTCAGCCTCCCAAAGTACTGGGATTAGAGGCGTGAGCCACTGCGCCCAGAGGATTTACTTTTAATTCTAAAATAACTAATTCTGATTCTCAATGGAAAGAACATGTACTATATAAAATGACAGAATTTTCGTGTATAAGCTCAATTGTATTATTTCCACATTTCTGCTATTTTCTGTGATTAGGAAGACAATGTAGCATTTCACTGTTACGCATTTTTTACTTCTTAGCTTTAAAAGATTAGATTAGGGCATTACTGCTGAAAAGAAAAGAAAAAAAGAATCAGGCTAATCATCTATATTTACTGAATGGAACTATCCCAATTCTTTTACCTTTAATGTTTCACAAGAAAGTTGTAACATGTATGGTGTTTCGTGCACGGAAATAAATACAATTGAGACAAAAATATTTAAAAAGTTGAATTTCAAAATAACATAAAAACATTAAATACATCCAAAGAGTTTTCATAAATTAAAGAAAAAGGTGGTGTTATAAATTGTAATTAAAAAAAGGCAAACTTCATAAAACCAATGCTGTTTCCATTGAATCATGCATATTTTTTTTCCTCTATTGATTTGTGAAAACTGAAACATTTGAACTGTTTTGGACAAAAAATGAATTATATTACACAGTAATAAGCACTTAAGAAATGTATTTAATAATTAATTTTAAAGAATTGTGGTAAAATCACTATATAACAAACTCCTAATAAAAATGGTTATTTATTTATTTATTTATTTATTCATTCATTCATTCATTTATAAAATAGAACTGGGGTTTCTCCATGTTGCCCAGGCTGGTCTCAAACTCCTGGGCTCAAGCAATCTGCCCGCCTTGACCTTCCAAAGTGCTGGGATTACAGATGTGGTGGCCCATGAGTCTGTCCAAAAACAGCTATTTTAATACTTTTTTGAAAGCTTAACTACAATGCCCAGATATTGGTTTCCAAACACCATCCTACAATAAAAGGAACATAGGTTTCTTGAAGAAGTTGTTGATTCCAGGAATAGGGCAAGTAAATAAATAAATATACACAAATCAATAAATAAATCTAGAACATATTGTGATTCTAGAAAGTAAGGAAGTGTTTTAAAAAATGAGAGTTTATCAGCAGAACACAAGAGCTAATCCAAATGAATTCCTAATGGCCAAAGACGGAAAAATTTGAACAACAAAATACGTGGTGGTAGGAGCATGTTAACCCATAGAATAAAATAAATATCCATGAGGCCCTACTAATAGAATTTTTGTAAGTATTTGCATGAGTGAAAAGGACTGGTCTTTATTATGGAAGAAGTACAATTAATAAATGCAAAAGGAAAAAGTAAAATGTAAAATCCCCATTAGGCAAACACCACAGTAATAATTGTCAAGGACAGATGGATACTAAAATTAGTGAGTAAAATTTTGCAGAGAAACAGGATATAGTCATAGTCTGAAAGTATTTCCCCCAAGCTACTCATTACTTCACATGGAAAGATAGTAACTTTATGGTGAACAAAGGTAGTAGGTATCACCTTAACCAAGGGGAGATTATTGATAATGACATATCAACTTAATAAATCCCTTATATGATGAAATGATGACACAACACTATCTTTGTGGTAATCTGAACAAAAATGTATCAACTCATTCTGATAATAAGAATATCAGGGAAATAATTTATAAACATACTAAAAAATAATTGAACAGCACTCTTTAAATGTATCATCACTGAAGTAAAGACAGAACTATAATAGACTGGAAGAAACCATAGGGAAATAACAGCTGAATGCAATGTGGGAGCCTGGAGATTATTAGGAACAAAACTTAGGAAAACTGCAAAAGTCTGTTTAGGTAAAAGTCTGAATTGGCATTAGTTTCCTTGTTTTGACAATTATACTATGATCATATAACATGTTCACCTTAGGGCAAGCTGAATAAGGGAATGCTCTGTAGTTTTATAACTTTTCCGTGAATCAAAAATTGTTCAAAATAAAAGTTTAACAAGCCTGTTATATTTTAATAATGAAATGAAACACCTGTAAAACCAATAAATTCAATATGATAAAAATTCCAGAAGAATAAGTGGGAGAAATTAAAGTGCAGTAAATATGTGGAGTGCAGTCATTGAAACAGATCACACGCATGAAAAAAGGGAGTGGTAAGTAAAGTAAACAAGAGGTTGTTAGATTTAGAAGTGCATGGTTATTCAAAATGTAGAAAATCAAAAAGTTTAAAAAAATCCATAAAATGTATCCAATTAAAAGTTTGAATTATTTAATATAATACTGTATTTAGTTATTAAAGCTCTGTATAAATGTTCATTTCATTTTCACTATCATTCAGATTTAAAAAATTAGGAACTAAACAATATTATATTAAAATTTACATAGAGATAAAATGACAGAATAGCTAAATAACTTTTTAAAGTGTTATCGAGGAACAACTTACATACTATAAAATTCACCTATTGCAGGTGTGCTAGTCAATAATTTTTAGTGAAGTTATGAAGTTGTGCCCTCATCACTATAATTCAGTTTTAGAATATTTTCAATATCCCAGAAAGTCCCCTCATACCCTATTCTTCCCACAGGTCCAGGGAATTCACTGATTTACTTTCTATCCCTATAGATTTGCTCTTCGAAAAGTATCATATAAATGGAACCATACAACCTGTAGTCTTTTGCGTCTAGCTTCTTTCAGTTAACATGCTTTTGAGATTCATCCATGTTGTTGCTTGTGTCAGGAGTTTTTACTTTTTATTATTAAATAATATTCCATTGTATGAGCGTATATTACATTTTGTTTATTCACCTGTTTGTGGGTAATATGATTGTGTCCAGTTTGGACTATGAATAATGCTATCATGAACATTTGTGTACAAGTCTCTGTGAAGATACACGTTTTCTTTCTTCTAGGGTAAAGCTTGCCTGAATAATGTTTTAAGAAACTGTCAAGTTCTTTTCAGGATGGCTACATACTTTTATATTTCCACCAGCATGGTTTGAGGATTCTGTTTTTGTTTTTGTTTTTTGGTTTTTTGGTTTTTGTTTTTTCATCCTCACCAACACTCGGAATTTTTAATTTTTTTGGTAGCTATTCTAGTGGGTGTGTAGTGGTCTTTCATCGTGGTTGGTTTTCATTTGCATTTCCTAATGATGAATGATGGTGGTCATCTTTTCATGTGCTTACAATCATATATATTCTTTGGTGAAATGTCTATTCAAATTTTTTTCCTTTTAAAAAATTGACTTCTATCTTTCATTGCCTTTTTTTAAAGTTTTAAGTCATCTTTATACATTTTCTATGCAAGTCTTTTGTCTGATTTGTGATTTGCTCATAGTTGTTCTCAGTCTGTAACATGCATTTATATTTTGTAATATCTTTTGAAAACCAAAAAGCTTTTCCTTTTGATAAAGTTCAAGTTATTATTTGTTTCCTTTCATTGAACATGCACTTGGTGTCATATATAAGAACCTCACCTTATCCAAGGTCACAAAGAATTTGCAGTATTTTTTCTACAAGTTTTATAGATTTGTTCCTTATAGTTGAACCTAAAATATATTTTGAGTTATTTTTTATTAATTGCTTGAGATCAGAATCAAAGCTGATATTTTTGTATAAGAATATACTCTTGTCCCAGCACAACATTTTGAAAAAACTATCCTTTTATTATTTATTTACTTATTTACTTATTGAAATATCTTTGTCAATAATTGACTAGAAAATCAGGACTCATTTCTAAGCTTTCTATTCTAATTCTGTAATCTGTGCATTTATCTTTATGTTAATATCATCTTATCTTTTTTACTTTAGCTCTGTAGCAAGTTTTGGAATAAGGCAGTATATGTTATCTAACTTTAAATATAATTGTTTTTTAAATTTTATTTTTAAATTTTTTCCTGCTAATACAATATAAAACTTTTTGTGGGGGAGCTGGGTTCTGTGGCTCACACCTGTAATCACAGCACTTTGGGAGGCCGAAGCGGGTGGATCATTTGAGGTCGTGAGTTCAAGACCAGCCTGGCCTACGTGGCAAAACTCCTTCTCTACTAAAAATACAAAAAAATTGCCAGGGGTGGTGATGCATGCCGGTAATCCCAGCTACTCAGAAGGCTGAGGCAGGAATCACTTGAACCTGGGAGGCAGAGGTTGCAGTGAGCCAAGATCATGCCTTTGCACTCCAGCCTGGGTGACAGAGCAAGACTCTGTATAAAACAAACAAAAAAGCAAAAAAAAAAAAAAAAAAAAATATATATATATATATATATATATATATATATATATATATATAACTTTTTTTGTATATTGATCTTTTCTTCATGGGACATTGCTAAATATAATACGTTATGGTAGCTTTGTTTCCTTTTGATTTACAAAATGCAGGATCATAGTGCATGTGAGAAAATAGTTATACTTCCTCCTTTCTAATCTGTATGATTTGTTTCTTATTATTATTATGATTTTTCTTTCTTCCCTCTTCTGTCTCCCTTCCTCTATCCCTCTTTTTTTTTCCTTTTGCTTTCTTGCATTTTATAGAATTTACAGGTCAATGTTGAATGAAGCTACTGATAGGCTATCCTTGTTTCTTACACCCCAATCTTAGGAGGAAAACATTTTGTCTTTTACCAGTTAGTATGCTGTAAGCTGTAGGCTTTTCATAAATGACCTTTATTGGGTTAAAAAAGTTTCTTTTAATTTCTAGGATGTGTAGGATTTTCTTTGTCAAGAATAGGTGTTGGGTTTAGTCAAATGATACTTCTGTGTTATTGAGGTGATCGTGCACCTTTTGTCTCTAGTCTTTTAATATGGCATATTACATTATTTGCTTTTTGGTTGTCAAACCAGTCTTGAATTCCCGAGATACATTCCATTTGGACATGGTTTATTATCCTTTTTACATATGTCTGAACTTGGTTACCTAATATTTTCTTAAGGATTTTTGCAAAAATAATCTTGGGTAATAACAGTCTGTAGTTTTCTACGCTCATGACATCTTTGGCCGACTTTGGCGTCAGATAATAATGATCTCATCAAGTAAGTTAGAAAGTGTTCTTTCCTAACATTTTAAAAAGTATTTGTGTAAGATAGGTATTAATTTATCTTTGGGTATTTGATTAAATTTTCTAGTGAACTATTTAGGTTTGAGCTTTTCTTTGTGGGGAAATATTTGATTCTTATTTTGTTACTTTTTATTGGTCTATTCAGATTATTCTTCTTGAGTCAATTATGGAAATTTATATCTTTTACAAATTTGTCCATTTTAGTTTGTCTAATTAACACAACATAGAATTGACAAATTCTTTGAAATTTATATTATTTCCTTCTAATCCTTTTAATTTCTGTGGATTCATTAGTCTAGTGATGTCTCCACTTTGATTCTTAATTTTTGTAGTCTGGGCCTTCATCTTTTGCAGGGAGAGAGGACTGTCAGACAAAACTAGAGCGTAACAGAAGTTGAAACAGTAAAACCAAATTTTTTTTTTTTTTTTTTTTTTTTGAGACGGAGTCTCGCTCTGTCACCCAGGCTGGAGTGCAGTGGAGCGATCTCGGCTCACTGCAACCTCCGCCTCCCAGATTCACGCCATTCTTCTGCCTCAGCCTCCCGAGTAGCTGGGACTACAGGTGCCCGCCACCATGCCCAGCTAATTTTTTGTATTGTAAAACCAAATTTTAACCAGGAACTATTGCAATAGGACAAAGGAGATCTCAGTATAGAACTGGGCTCAATTCAAAATACAGTGTAGACAAGTGGAAATGTATAGTCAAGGAACAGCATGGAATTCAGTGGGCAGAAAATTACAAAAAGGAAACATCAGGATTAAGAGAAAGTCAGATGAAACAGACTTAACAGGACTCTTGCTGAAGGCAGGTCAGGGTGATGAAATATCACCTGTAGGATGTTGCAAGGTAAGGGAATTGATCAGATATTGAGGTTGGGGGATTCTAACAAAATAAATTTAACAATCTGTACTTTTTGACAAAAATTCTAATCTATCTAGATTTAATGTAATATTAAATGTATAAGGTTAGAAAACCTCTGCCATTTTGCTACCTTGTTTTGTGATTGTTAAATAATGTTTTATTTTACAATTGTTATTCCTCCATTTTTGTTTTCTTAGTAATTTTACAAAGTTATTTTCTTAGCAGTCACTCTAGGGATTGAAATACGGATCTTAATTTATTACAATAAACTCCAGGTTAATACCAAGTAAATTCTGGAAACAGACAGCAACTTTTCTCCAGTATAGTTTCATTTCTTTTTTGCTTTTGCACTATTTCCATATATATTTCATTTGTGCATGCAATAAACCCAACAATTCAGTGTTATATTATTGGCTTTTATAATATTTCTTTATTGAGAAGGAGAGAAAAGTCTGAGTTTGCAGTTTTTTATATTTATTCACGTTTGCCATTTTCAGCACTCTATTTTTTCTGTAGATTTGAGCTAGGATCAGGTGTCATGCCCTTTAAGCCTGAAAGACTTCCTTTAATATATTTTAAGGCATGTCTGCTAGCAATAAATTCACTTAATCTTTATCTCTGAATATGTTTATTGTTTTCATTTTTGATGGGAAGTTTTATTAGATATGTATCCTAAGTTGGCAGGATTTTTTTTGTTGTTGTTTTGTTTTTACTTTCAGCACTATGAAAAAGTCTTGCCACTGCCTTCTGGATTCCATTGTTCTGATGAGAAGTTAACCATTAATTATATTGTTGGGGTTTTGTAGATGTTTAATCATTTTTCTCTTGTTGATTCAAAGAATTTTTTTTGTCTTTTAGTAGTTTGACTCTGATGTGTCTAGATGTAGAACTCTCGTCCCATGTGAAGTTTTTTGAGCTTCTTGGCCCTGTATAGATTAATGTTTATTATCATATTTGAAGAGTTTTACTTAGGTCATTATTTCTTCAAATAGATTTTCTCTACTCTTTTCCTGGAACTCCTAGAATGTTTGCATGCATATTAGTATGCTTGATGTTACCTGATACGTTTTTGCAGCTCTATTCCTTTATAAAAAAAATTTGTTTCTGTCTTCGGATTGGAAAAATTAAATTGATCTATCTTCAAGTTTGCTGTTTCTTTCTTCTATTATCTAAAAATAAGCTGTTGAACTAACCTATTTTTAGTTTGATTGTAGTACTTTTTCCACTTTACAATATCCATATGATCCTCATAGAATAGTTTCTGTTACATTATTTAGGTTCCCTATTTGTGGATTCATTGACCACACATCTTCTAATTCTTTAAACATGGCTTCTTTACATTTCGCAAACATATTTATAATTGCTGCTTTGAAGTCTTTGTTACATCTAGTATCTGCACTCACTCAGGAATAGTTTCTGTTGACTGCTTTATTTCTTGATTGAAACAAACACACTTCTCATTTATTTGCATGTTGCATAGTCATGTTGAAAACTGGACATGTAAGAAAACATATTGTTGTCTACTCTGGATTCTGTAGTAGCCAATGTCTCTGCTCAGATTTTCTTTTTCAATTCTTATTTTCATTTTTTAGTCTGGCTTCCTAAGGGGTTGCTACTGTATCTACACATTTCAATGATCAGCCAAAGATTGGTTAGAGGTTTTACTCAAGCACTGTGAGCCCATGAGACTTCCATCTTCTGCAGATGTATCTCTGTTTAGTTAGGGAGCATATTTAGAGTTCACCAGTTTGAAGCTTTTTTTTGTTATTTGTTTTCCACTCTGCCCTCTTAGATCTCGTGATCATCATGTCTCTGTAGCCTGCCAGTCACTCAGAGATGAATGAAGAGTTATCTCACTCTTCAAGTGCTCTTTCATTTCTAAGATTTCCTTGTAAAATATATGGCATATTCATTGCTATCCCCAAATGGGACTGCAATCCAAGGCTGGCAGAATTAAAGACTTTCTTCATTTATTTCACATATATATTTCATATATATATTATATATATATTTCATAAATATATATGAGATATATTTATATATGATATATATATTATATATTTATATCATATATATTTATATATTTATTTCATATATATATTTATATATAAAAATATATATTTATATTTATATATATTTCATATATATTTATTTCATAAATATATGATATATATTTATATATGATATATGTATAACATATTATATATATTTATTTCATAAATATATATCATATATATTTCATATACATAATTTCATATATATTTCATATATATGATATATATATTATATATATATAGTTGGTGCAAAAATAAGTGTGATTTTGCCATGGAAAGTAAAGTAACCTTATATAAGGTTGGTGCAAAAGTAATTGCTGTTTCTACCATTTCTCTCTCTCTCTTTCCATATATCTATATATGTATATATAGATATATACGGTTTTTTTGTTTGTTTGTTTGTTTTTGTCAGAGTCTTGCTCTCTGTTACCCAGGTTGGAGTACAATGGTGTGATCATGGCTAACTGCAGCCTCTAACTCCTGGGCTCAAGCAATCTTCCCACCTCAGCCTCCCGAGTAGCTGAGACTAGAGGTGCACACCACTACCACAGCCAGCTATTTTTTTTTCCTTTTCCTTTTTTTTTTTTTTAAAAAAAAAAAAGAAAGACAGGGCTTTGTCATCTTGCCCAGGCTGGTCTCAAACTTCTGGGTGCAAGAAATTCTCCAGCCTTGGCATCCTAAAGTGCTGGGATTACAGGCGTGTGCCACTAAGTTTGTTACTTTTACTGATGAGACATTTAGGCTTGTGCCTTGTCCTTTGCTGCAAGTCAATGATAGCACTCACCATGCAGTGTAGCTCCTCTTTTAGGTAACCATCATGTACCAATCAGGCTGGGGATTGGGTAAGAGAGCAGGCCCATGCACAAAGGCCCCTGTTTGACATGGTCTTATTTAATGCCTGGGCAGCTTTTCATTAGTAACAACTTTTTAATTTGCTCTTTGCCTTTAATAGTTTCCAGTGTTATTATTGCCCATTTTGCCCAATTTTATAGCTTATCCTCTCTTTTTGGTGGGGGAAGGGATTTGCTAGCCTCTTCATTTTTCCCAGTCATATACGTTTCTGAAAAAATAGTGTTGAGTGGAAACTTACTATAATAATTTACTTATATCATGCTATAAGATTGCTATAATCCAAACAGTGTGAACCTGGAGTAGAAATAATTTATTGATCTATAAATAAAAGTATGCTAAAGAGATGCTAAAATATGGAAATCAAGCTATGACACGCATTGCTTAAAATGGATAAGGAAAGGGTAGTTTACTTAACATGGTGGCAATGTAATTGACTATCCATGTGGAAGAAAAAAAGGAAATAGTAAGTCCATCAAAATAAATTACAGCATAAAATAATAAATTTTAATAAATCTAAGATTTAAATGTCGGTAATTTATACATAAAAATACTACAGATAATTATATAATTTTGAAGTAAGTGATATTTCTCAAAGGAAACTAGATGCTCAGATGTTCCAAATAGAAACAAAATGCTTGAGAAAAGAATCATATAGAAAGTGCAAAGTCAAATGATACTCTAGGGAAATAAAATTTGTAATAAATACAAAGACTAAACTTGGCGCTATCCAAAATATACCAAAAGTCATAAAATTGATGAGAAAGAACGAACAGAGAAAAACTGGTGAAAGAGATTGTGGTAGACACTAGACCTTGCTATTCAGGTCTCTTTTCAAGAGTGAGCCTGCCACAGCATGGTCACTCTGCTGACAACCTCTTCTGGATCTGTCTCTGCAGCAGCACACCTCTTCAGCGCCCCAGGCAATAACTGAGCAAGGCAGTGTTACAAGGACTCATCATTTCTGCCCAGGACAGGAGCAAATTTGTATCATTTCTCCCTACTAGACTGACAAAGGCTTTCTCAAAGCTACACTTCCTATGAAAAGATCTTTTCTTTCATCTTGACTTTCACAGGCCTTAAACAGCTATCTTGGTCTGAAGCTTCTCTTTCCCCTTCTACTCTCTCTTCCCCTTATCTTTCATATGAATTGCCCTCAATTAATTGTTTGTTTTCTTCCAACTCTTTCATACTTCTGTCGTTGTTCCTAAAATAAGGTTCCTAAAGCTTTGAACTTAAGAACTCAGAATAATAACCAAAAGAAAAAAAAGGCTTTTCATTAACTCTTTTAATACACTGGCTTATTATTACAGCAAAATAAATCTTCCATGAAAAGAGACCTGGGAATTTAGGTTGTAGGTTGTGTCATTGTGCCAATTTATTGCCAAGTCAATAAACGGATCCGATGTATTAAGCTTTGGAAACCATTCCACTACTTTGATGACAGAAGGACTTCATAGTTACTCTTCCATTAAAAAAGAAATTAATTACAAAAACATTATCATAATAAATGTGAAAGAAATACAAATCCTGAAAGGATGAACATAATAAATATTTGTGTGAACCAGCTGAGTGATGTCTATTATAGAATGTTTGCATCTTGAGTTCCTTCTGCCTGAATAACAGTTATTCTTCTCTTGGTTAATTATTACTCACCTGCCTACATTCAGGTCAAATCCCATTCTTAGTATAGGTTGGAGACCACTGTTAGGTGCTGTCATATACTTTTACTTATTAGAAGATACTGGAATTTGTCATTAAATCATAAATTTTGTAATATCCTAACATGTTGCTCTCTTACAGATTATAAATTTCAAAAAAAGAGAGACTGTGTCTCAATTTTTATTGATGTACCTTTGTCACCTAACAGAAGACCTCACACTAGGAGATTCTCTATAAACATTAATTAAATTACTGCATAGAAACATATGCAACGTAAATAGCATAACAATCTACATTTATGTAATCCTTTAAGTTTCAAAACATGTAAAGTATAATATTTTCTTTAAATTTCACAATTACCATGTAAAGGTGAGCACCTTTATTCCCATTTTATAACTGAGCAAATTGTGTCTCTTAATAGATTGGCACCCACTAGTATTAAAAAGGGAGAAAAGGAGTTTTGGCCATTAATGTTCATCTTCAATTTTCTAATTCTTGCTACTCAAAGGTTTGTCCTCAGACCTAAAACATTAGTGTTACCTAGCTTCTTGAAAATTCAAAGCCCTAGACAAGTTTCCCCCTCAAACCCACTAAATAAAAATCTGCATTTTAAAAACATTGCCAGGTGATTTGAATGCATATAAGCTTTGACAAGTATGTTTTTTGTTTTGTTTTGTTTTTTGAGACAGGGTCTCACGTTGTCACCCAAGCTAGAGTGTAGTGGTGCAATCACAGCTCATTGCAGCCTCAATCTCCTGGGCTCAAGCGATCCATCACAGCCTCCTGAATATCTGAGACTACCAGCACACACACCATGCCTAGCTAATTTTTTTTTTTAATTTTAGAGATGAGGTCTCGTTCTGTTGCCCAGGTTTGTTTTGAACTCCTGCGTCCAAGTGATCATCCGTTTCAGCCTCTCAAAGTGCTGGAATACAGGCATTAGCTACTGTGCCTGGCCTGACAAGTATGTTTTAAGGCATGTTGTTCTGATCATTTTGATGAGCACAGTGAAGGATGTAGGTATGGTTGGTAAGGGTGGGTATGGAGCTAAATTACTGTGTGTAAATAAGAGAGAGGAGGGACAGAAAGGATCAGACAAGGATTAGGAAATGTAAGACCTGTAAAGGAAAGAAAGATAAGAGACTGTGGTTTCAGAATGAGAATTGAAAATTGAGAAAGATGTCTACATAGACTTTCTTAAACATTTCAGTGTTGTATAATGTAAATTCTCTCTTCATGTCCATCATAAAAGCTCCAGTAAAATACGTATTGTTTATATTTATGAGGAATACCAAAACAATAGCAACCATAGTGAGAGTATTTTTTTTGTTGTTTGGTGTGTTTGTTGGTAACTTTTTGGCTGAATTGTACTCTACCAATTATTTTATTCACAAAACAGTAGGTTCCTAGAAAAGAAGGTACAGGAGGCAAATGAAATAATATAATAATATGCATAAAGTGTTTTAAGCAGAGCAGAAGGTACTAGATGAAAGCATACTATTATAATGATAACACTCATGAGTCACCATAATTATGAGTGAAACTGCTTATTAATATTTTATAGAATGATCCATAGAAGGGTATGAGTAGAAGAATTTAAGTCTTGTGGACATTTTCTAATTGCATTTCTAATTTTTACTTTTTCACTGCCAACTACTGTGGAGTTATACAAGAGCATAAAAACTCAAAAAAGAAAAATTTAAGACAAAAATATACTGCAATGAAGATAAGCAGTTTACTCATGAATATGATAGGTACAAACAGTGTTCCTTATGAGTTTGCATATAATATTTTATAGGCAAGGAAACCAGCATTCAGTTATAGTTACGTTCAGAAAGCCTTATGAGTCCTACGCTATGGGGAGCTGGAAATGTGTGTATGATAGTCTCTTACTTCAAATTCCTAGACTCTCCAGACCACATATTTGCTATTGTGAATGTTACTCTTTTAGAGAAATTGTTCAGGAATGCTATTTACTTAGATCAACATAAATATCATTTCTCTTAAATGAATATATAGATAATTCACCTCCAAAACACAGGTTCTCAGTATATTAGTCATGTACTCAAGACACTTTTTTAAATTAATGATAGAAATCCTAATAATTAAAGAGAAAATATTAATGGATTATATAATTATAAATTATAAGGTTAGACATGCTTTTAAGCAAAGCAGGAGCCTGCCTTGAAAACACTGCCATCAGAACTATGTTTGTCTTTTCCACTCACTTTTATCTGTGCTTCCTGGTTTTCCTTTACGCTTAGGCAGACTTTTACTATATGACAGTAATTAGCTAGCATGTTCTTTGGCATCCAGAAGCTTCAGCAGCAGAGAGACCCTCTCCCAGCATCCATAGTTCCAAAATTGAGGCTGACTGCTGCACTTGAGTTATATGCCCACTCCTAGATCAAGCATTGAATCCAAAGATGTGGAATATTGTCACTGGGTCTCCCAAGGCAGAAGAGTTGGAAACTGTGTAATTGACAACACCAACAGATGAAGCCAGTGCAGGTTTGAAAGCAATCTAGTGATGTCCTACCAGAAGATATGAGAGAGATGAAAGAAAGACAAGGGAAGCAAATCCTTTAGGGAATATGTTTGCATTTTAGTACAAGTTTTATAATACTTCCCATTGCTCTCTGAGACAATAAGGGTGCAAGATTCTAATTCATCTTGAAATAGTAGTGTCTATAAATGAACATGTACAATATGTTTGTCTTGAAAAGTAAAATGTACTTCATGAGGAGTGTGTTTGCACGATGATTTCAAAGAATTAGTTCTGAGGAAATTCAAGTTTTATTCAGCAAAGTATTTTGTTCTTGGGTGGGACTAATTTTATATTTTCCTTATCGAAACCAATGATAGAAAACCGGTGAAGCTGCAAAGTGATCTCAAACCTTAATAATGTTACAATCATGCCTAGAACCTGAATATCCTCCTTTCTCCTTCTCAACAAAAAGTTGCTAAGCTGTACTTAGCTGAATTTGAAGTCGTCACATGACGGTTTAATCAACTCTTCCTTTTCCTTTGCCAAGAAGCCATCTGGCAGTGCGTCTTTTTCACTGAAAATGTGTCCCTGATCCAATTTTCATTTGTTACCCTGTCGAGAAAGCATTCATTCCAATGGGGAACTAAATTTTAGCACTGTTTTTTATGCCAACTTTAAGGATGAATTTTCATTTTATTTTCAATGAGTAAATTTTTTTTAAGGTTACAGAATGATTGGCAATTATTTTTTGCTACTTTTGTATGTTCTGCTGATGTTGCTTTCTTGCTACTTTTGTTTTGTCATGAACATTCAAAGACAGGCTCTTTAGTTCTTGTATGCTGGCATCTCTTTCAGTATGGTGTGTGCACAAGTCAGTTAAGTAGACTCAGCTTCACAGACAATGCAGCTATAAAGAAATGACTGTGATAAAAATAAAATAAAAGTGCATGTCAGCATAGACTTTCAAAAGGATAATTAAGATTTCTGGAAATATTTATTTCGGAAAGATAGATAAAATTTTCAAAATGTTCTCTCTTTCCATCACACTGTCCAAAAATATGACCAAACTATAATTGATTTGTTGTTCTAACAAAGTCAAACATCTTTTCATAACTATCTTGGGTTATAACAGGCATTTTATTATATTCTGAGTTAGGGCATATGAAATGGAGTGAAGAAATACAACAAAATATATAAAGTTCCTGATTATTTGTTTAACTCTAAGAAGAGAGGTGACCAGAGAAATGAACCAGAGACAGTATAAAAAATAGGAAAAAAGAAAGTTAGATCGATAGAGTATTATTTTAAAAGTTTGTAGTGTGCTACATGAAAAAAAGGCTAATGCTTAGTAAATGCAAATAAGTCAAATTGCCTGGAAAAGATTTTTCTTCCTAGGCCTGACAAACTTGTATTTCACAGGCAAGTACCTTCTCTGCTGTAAAACCTTTGTTAACCCCTTTGTTCTACCTCCCTATATGTCTCTATCACAACATTTAGCACACTGTGTTGCCATTATATGTTTAAGATCCTATGTCCTATCAAGATTTGAACTTCTATGGTTTAAAGTCTTTGTCTTACTTTTTGTGCTAATGCCTAGCATGGTGGTTATCATGTAATATGCAATGAGTGAACACAATGATGAGTAAATTAACAAAAGACAGCTTTCTTATAAGCTTCTGAAGAACAACAACAACAAAAAAACTGTAGTCACTTAGAGGGGAAGAGGAGAAAAATAAGAGTTAATCTAAATCTCGGAAATATGTTCTCATATAAACAGCCTGAGAGATCTGCAGCATTTGTTAAAATACAAGCACAGGTGCCATAATTACAAACCATCCATTGTCTAGAAAAATGTGAAAGAATTTGAGAAATGGCAAATTTACACTTGGTTTACTAGAGAGGATGAAAAGTTAATAAACAAAATGAGCCAAACAATCAAATCCGGAGTTAAAAGTGTTTTGGCATCAAAGATGCCAGTTAGATTAACCAGAGAACCCAAAGAAGAAGGAAGAGACAAACTAAACATTTAAATTAAAGTAAATAAGATGCTTCTTGTATAGAATATTAACTAAAAGCTTCAGAAGAAATAGTCATTACATCATTTAAAACTTGGGGGAAAAAAAGAATGTTTACTGACACTAAGAAAAATCCTGTTACTGGTTTATGGATAAAAGACCAATTTTATGTGAAAAATTATACAAGAATTATAGTTGACTTAAAGCTAAGACCAACAATTTAATTTAGGGGGAAAATTGGCTATTTCTAAAGTAATATATTTTGTTTCAAAAGTCCCATTAAAAAACAGGAGTATGGGGGGAGGGAGGTGGGCAAGATGGCTAATTACAAGCAGCTGCTGTCCATAGCACTCACAGAGAGGAAAAAAAGGGGTGAATGAATACAGCACCTTCATCTGAAATATCCAGGTACTCATATTGGGACTGATAGGTAAACAACTCAACCCATGGAGAAAGAAGAAAAGCAGGGTAGGGTAACGGCCCACCCCGGAGCTAGATGGAGGCAAGGGAATCCCCACCGCCAGCCAAGAGAAGCAATAGCTGAATGTGTGACCCCAGGAAACCCGTTTCTCCTACAGATCTTTGCAACCCTCAGATCAGGAGAGCCCCTGGTGAGCCCATGCAACTAGAGCCTTGGGTCTGACACACAGAGCTATGTGGAGTCTCGGCAGTGCAGCTGCTCAGGAACACATAGAGACCCCAGCCCTGGGATCCCCCAACAAAGGTGACTGCCAGTCAGGCAAGGCAGGAGGTCTGTACGTACCACTAGCAAGGGGACTGAATCCAGAGGGCAGAGCAGCCTTGGTCTGCAGGCCCCACTTCCACAGCACCTCACAAGATAATACCCATTGGCTTGAATTTCCAGCCAGCCAGCCACCAGCAACAGAATGGAGCCTGTCTGAGACATTTCTCCTCACTGGGTGGGACCTCCCAAGCTGAGACCTCTACCCATCACCGCCTGCCCATATTCTATGGACAGAGCTCTGATCTCTCCCTGGGATGGGTTGCCTGGGAGGAGGGGTGGATCACCACCTTGTTTGTTTGGATGACTCAGCCATTCCAGTTTCCAGGCTTTGGAGAGTCCTAGCTGACCTGGGCTGAGGCAGTTCCCCAGCACAGCAAAGCTATTTTGTCAAGGCATGACCAGGCCGCTTCTTTAAAGTGGACCTGGATCCATTCTTCCTTGCTGGGCAGGTCCTCCCAGCCAGGGCCTCCAGCCACCCCTGCACATCTTCTATGGCTGACAGAGCTCTAATATCTTCCTGGGATGGAGTGCCTGGGGAATGGGGCAGGCTGCCATCTTTGCTGTTTGGGCATCTCAGCCAGCCCAGCCTGTGGGCCTTGGAGAGCCCAACCTGATCAGAGCTGAAAGGATTGCCAACACAGCACAGCTGTTCTACCAAAATGCAGCCAGTCTGCTTCTTTAAGCGGGTCCCTCATCCCATTTCTCCTGACTGGGATAGACCTCCCAACCCAGATCTCCAGCCCCTTCCTACAGGCATTTGGGCCCACAACAGATCAGTACTCCCTGGGATGGACCTTCATGAGGAAGGGCCAGGCTGCCATCTTTGCTGTTTCACAGCCCTAGTGATACCTCCAGGTATGGGAAAAACCAAGGTGACTAGGTTCTGGAGCAGACCCCCAGCAAACTGCAGCAGCCTTATGGAAGAGTGAACATACTATTAAAATAAAAACAAAGTGACAAACAACAGCAATAAAACACACACACACACACACACACACAAACCTACCCAAAGGTCAGCAACCTCAAAGATCAAAGATAGATAAGCCCACAAAGATACAGTAAAAAAAAAAAAGCACAAAAACGCTGAAAATTCAAAAAGCCAGAGTGCCCCCTTTCCTCCATATGATGGCTACATCTCTCCAGCAAGGGTTTAGAACTGGGCTGAGGCTGAGATGACTGAAATGACAGAAGTAGGTTTCAGAATGTGGATAAGAATGAACCTCGCTGAGCTACAGTAGCATGTTGTAACACAATGCAAAGAAGAAAAGAATCATGATTAAACAATACAGGAGCTGACAGCCAAAATAACCAGTATAAGGAGAAACATAACTGATCTGATAGAGCTGAAAAAGCACTCTACAAGAACTTTATAATGCAATCACAAGCATTACTAGCAGAATAAACCAAATGGAGGAAGGAATCTCAGAGCTTGAAGACTGTCTATCTGAAATAAGACAGGCAGACAAGAACAGAGAAAAAAATGAAAGAAATAAACAAAACCTCCAAGAAATATGGGATTATGTAAAGAGACTGAATCTATGATTGATTGAGGTATTTGAAAGAGATGGGGAGAATGGAACCAATTTTGGAAACATATTTCAGGATATAATCTGGGAGAACTTCCCCAACCTAGTTAGACAGGTCAATATTCAAATTCAAGAAATGCAGAGAGTCTCAGTAAGATACTACACAAAAAGATCATCCTCAAGTCATATAATCATCAGATTCTACAAGAATAAAATGAAAGAAAAAATTGTTAAGGACAACCAGAGAGAGAGGCCAGGTCACCTACAAAAGGAAGCCCATCAGACTAACAGTGGATGTCTCAGCAGAAACCCTACAAGCCAGAAGAGATCAGGGGCCAATATTTAACATCCTTAAAGAAAAGAATTTCTAACCCAGAATTTCATATCTGGACAAACTAAACTTCATAAGCAAAGGGAAATAAGATCCTTCTCAGACAAGCAAATGCTGACAGAATTTGGTACCACCAGACCTGCCTTACATGAGCTCCTGAATAAAGCACTAAATATGAAAAGGAAAAGTTATTACCAGCCATACAAAAACACACTGAAGTACACAGATCAGTGACACATGAAGTCATAAACATAAACAAGTCTGCAAAATAACCAGCTAGCATCATGATGACAAATCCACACATAACAATACTAACCTTAAATTTAAATGGGCTAAATGCTCCAATTAACAGACAGAATGGCAAATTGGATAAAGAACCAATACCCATTAGTGTGCTGTCTTCAAGACCCATCTCATGTGTAAAGACACACATAGGCTCTAGATAAAGGGATGGAGGAGAATTTACCAAGCAAATGGAAAACAGAAAAAAGCAGGGGTAGCAATCCTAGTTTCTAAAAAAGCAGACTTTACCAACTAGATCAAAAAAGACAAAGAAGGGCATTAGATAATGGTAAAGGGTTCAATTCATCAAGAAGAGCTGACTATCCTAAATAGATATGCACCCAATACAGGAGCACCCAGATTTATAAAGCAAGTTTTTAGAGACCTACAAAGACACTTAGACTCTCACACAATAATAGTGCGAGACTTTAACACCTCACTGACAATATTAGACAGATCATCAAGACAAAAAATTAACAAATATGTTCAGGACCTGAACTCAGCTCTGGATCAAGTGGACCCCATAGATATCTACAGAGCTCTCTACCCCAAAACAACAGAATATACATCCATCTTATCACCACACAGCACCTACTCTAAAATTGATCACGTAATTGGAAGTAAAACACTCCTCAGCAAATGCAAAAGAACTGAAATCATGAAAAAACATCTCTTGGACCACAGCATAATCAAATTAGAACTCAAGATTAAGAAATTCACTCAAAACCATACAACTAAAAGGAAATTGAACAACCTGCTCCTGAATGACTTTGGGGTAGATAAAAAACTAAGGCAGAAATTGAGAAGTTCTTTGAAACTAATGACAACAAAGATACAATGTACCAGAATCTCTGGGACACAGCTAAAGCAGTGTTAAGAGGGAAATTTATAGCACTAAATTCCCACATCAAAAAGCTAGAAAGATCTCAGATTAACAACTTAACATCACAACTAAAAGAGCTAGAGAACCAAGAGCAAAACAAACAAACAAACAAACAAACAAACAAACAAAAAACCCCTAAAACTAGCAGAAGACAAGAAATAACCAAGATCAGAGCTGAACTAAAGGAGATAGTGACACGACGAACCCTTCAAAAAATCAACAAATCCAGGAGCTGCTTTTTTAAAAAAAATAAAATAAAATAGATAGACCACAGGCTAGACTACTAAAGAAGAAAAGAGAGAAGATTCAAATAAACACAATCAGAAATAAGGGGGATATTAGAACTGATCCCACAGAAATACAACCATCAGAGAATACTATAAATGCCTCTATGCATATAAACTAGAAAATCTAGAAGAAATGGATAAATACCTGTACACATACACTCTCCCAAGATTGAATAATGAAGAAATTGAATCCCTGAAGAGACCAGTAAGTTCTCAAATTAAGACAGTTATAAAAAGCCTACCAACCAAAAAAAGCTCAGGACCAGATGAATTCACAGCTGGATTCCAGCAGAGGCACAAAGAGGAGCTGGTACCATTCCTATTGAATCTATTTTAAAATATTGAAAAGGAGACTCCTCCCTAGCACATTCTATGAGGCAAGTATCATCCTGATACCAAAACCTGGTAGAGATACAACAAAAAAAGAAAACTTCAGGTGAGTATATTTGATCAATATCGATGCAAAAATCCTCAACAAAATACTGACAAACTGAATCCAGCAGTGCATCAAAAAGCTTATCCACCACGATCGAGTAGGCTTCATCCCTGGGATGCAAGGCTGGTTCTACATAAGCAATTAATAAATGTGATTAATCACATAAACAGAACTAAAAACGAAAGCCACATGATTATCTCAATAGATTCATAAAAGACCTTCAATGAAATTCAACATCCCTTTATGTTAAAAACTCTCAATAAACTATTGAAGGAATATAATTCAAAATAGTATAAGCCATATATGACAAACCCACAGCCAATATTATACAGAATGGGTAAAAACTGGAAGTATTCCCACTGAAAACTGGCACAAGACAAGATTTACCTCTTTTACCACTCTTATTCAACATAGTATTGGAAGTTCTGGCCAGGACATTCAGGCAAGAGAAAGACATAAAGGGTATTCAAAGTGGAAGAGAGGAAGACAAATTATCTTTGTTTGCAAATGACATGATCTTATACTTAGAAAACCCCATCAGCTCAGCCCAAAAGCATCTTAAGCTGATGAGCAACTTCAGCAAAGTCTTCAAATACAAAACCAATGTGCAAAAATTACCAGCATTACTATACACCAACAAAAGGCAAGCCAAGAGCCAAATCATAAATGAACTCCCATTCACAATTGGCACAAAAAAATAAAATACCTAGGAATTCAGGTAACAAGAGAAGTGGAGGACCTCTTCAAGGAAAACTATAAGCCACTGCTCAAAGCAATCAGAGATGACACAAACAAATGGAAAAAACATTCCACGCTCATGTATAGTAAGAATCGGTATCTTGAAAATGGTCATACTGCCCAAAGCAATTATAGATTGAGCACTATCCCCATTAAATTACCATTGATATTCTTCACAGAATTAGAAAAAGAAAACTATTCTAAAATTTACATGGAACCAAAAAACAGCCCATATAGCCAAGGCAATCCTAAGCAAAAAGAACAAAGCTAGAGGCATCACTCTCCCCAACTTCAAACTATAATACAAAGCTATAGCAACAAAAACAGCATGGTACTAGAAGGAGAATAGACCCATAGATCAATGGAACAGAATAGAGAACCCAGAAATAAGACCACACACCTAAAACCATCTGATCTTCCACAAAGCTGACAAAAATAAGCAATGAGGAAAGGATTCTCTATCTAATGTCCTGTGCTGGGAGAACTGGCTAGCCATATGCAGAAAATTGAAACTGGACCCATTCCTTACACCACACACAAAATTCAACTCAAGACTGATTAAAGACTTAAAAGTAAAACCCTAAACTATAAAAACCCTAGAGTAAAATCAAGGAAATACCATTAAGGATATAGGCACAGGAAAAGATTTCAAAATGAAGACACCAAAAGCAATTGCAACAAAAGCAGAAGTTGACAAATGGGAGCTATTTAAAGTAAAGAGTTTCTGCACAGCAAAAGAAACTATCTTTTGAAAATGGCCATACTGCCCAAAGCAATTATAGACGCAATGCTATTCCCATTAAATTCCCATTGATATTCTTCACATAATTAGAAAAAAAAACCTATTTTCTATATTTTTTCCATTTGTTTGTGTCATCTCTGATTTCTTTGAGCAGTGGTTTATAGTTCTCCTTGAAGATGTCCTCCACTTCTCTTGTTAGCTGAATTCATAGGTATATTTTTTTGTGGCAATTTCAAATGGGAGTTCATTTATGATTTGGCTCTTGGCTTGCCTGTTTTTGGTGTATAGTAATGCTAGTCAATTTTGCACATTGATAAACAATTTTGCACATTGGTAAATTGGTAAACAGACAACCTACAGAATGGGAGAAATTTTTTGCAATCTATCCACCTGACAAAGATCTAATATCTAGCATCTACAAGGAACTTAAACAAATTTACAAGAAAACAATACAAACCTATTAAAAAGTGGGCAAAGAACATGAACAAACACTTCTCAAAAGAAGACATTTATGCGACGAACAAACATTTGAGGAAAAGCTCAACATCACTGTGCATTAGAGAAATGCAAATCAAACCATAATGAGATGTCATCTCACACCACTAAGAATGGCTATCAGAAAGTCTGTCCAGGGATCCCATTACTGAGTATATACCCAAAGGAATATAAATTTTGCTATTATAAAGACACATGCACACGCATGTTCATTGCAGCACTATTCACAATAGTGAACACATGGAATCAACCTAAATGCCCATCAAGGATAGACTGGATAAAGAAAATATGATACATATACACCATGGAATACTATACAGCCATAAGGAGGAGTGAGACTATGTTCTTTAAAGGGACATGGATGGAGCTGGAGGCCATTATCCTTAGCAAATTAATGCAGGAACAGAAAACCAAATACTACATGTTCTGACTTACAAGTGGGAACTAAATGATGAGAACACATTGTGGGGAATGACACACCCTTGGGACTGTTGGAGGGTGGGTGTCAGAGGAAGGAGAGGATCAGGAATAATAGCTAATGGATGCTGAGCTTAACACCTGGGTGATGTGATGATCTGTGTTGCAAACCACCATGGCACACGTTCGTCTATGTAACAAACCAGCACATTCTGTACATGTACCCCGAACTTAAAAGTTGGAAATTTTAAAAAAGAAATAAAATAAATTAATTTTGAAAAATACCATAGAAATATATATCAAAGAATTAGGCTAATGATACAGCAGCTAGAAATTCTAATTTTCAGGAATTGAATATTTTTTGTCATTATAATATTTAAGTGTCTAATAATTGAAACTACCTGTTAATAGAAAGCAATATCATAAAAGAAAGTTATATTTCCATCACTGAAAAAAAACACACTTGGTAGAAAAAGGATAAATAACTTTGTAATGCTATGGAAGGAATTTCTGCATCAATGAGATACTCAATTGGTGACTTTTAATAAGATATCATTTTGAGTAGCAAATATTAATGGACTTTTGCAAAATACTTTATTGCTACTGAATACAAAAAGCTAGCAACCTTTCATCTAGCCATCCAAGATAAAAACTTGATAGCCTTCATATCTCATTAATTCAGCCATTTTCTAAATACTATTAGTTTCACCATTAAAAAAAATGATAATCCTTCCTTTTCATCCATGGTTTTTATTGCTTTTGTTCAAATTCTCATCTCCTCTAATGATTCCATGGCCACCAGGATTTTCATTCTCCACACTGTGCCATAATCATTTTTGTAAATAATATAAAACAGAAATCAGCTCATGCCTCCCTTGTACTTAAAAATATTCAAGGAAAGAATAATTTTTGTTCTGATTTTGTATTAAGATGACTGGCTGCTATACCAATATACCATAAACCAGGTAGCATAAATAACAGAAATTCATTTCTTACAGTTCTGGAGGTTGGGAAGTCCAAGATCATGATGCTAGCAGATTTGGTGGCAGGTGAGGGGTTTCTGGTTCATAGATTTTCTAGCTGTGTCCTCCTGTGGTAAAAGATGTGACGGGTCTCTCTTGTCTCTTTTATAAGGACATGATTCCCCTTCATGAGAGTTCCACTCTCTCTCATTCTTGAGATTTGTATATACTCATGTACCGCATGGGCTTGGTCATGCGACTTTCTCTGGCTAGTGGAACATGAGCTTATTTGAAAGAAGCATGACCTACTTACCTCTCAAAGTCCCGACTTCCTCATACCATCACCTCGAGTGTATTTTAATATATAAACTTCACGGGGGCATGAACTTTCAGACCATAGCAAGTCCCACCCATGGACATGTTCAGTGGATTAAAAGGGAAAGCACGCATGAGATGACATATCCTGCCATGTGCTAGCTCTTCCTGGGTCAGTTTATCATGCAGATAGGATGTGTAAGAGCATCAGAGACAACGTGGTGGTGGACTGCATTTGGTAAGGTGTAGAGAAGGAAGGAGACACATCAAATGTCTGCCAAAAATATACACCAATAAATGGGGCTTAATCAGTGTCCTGGAATGGGACTCCATCTGATTATTATACCTTCTCGTCATTTAAAGTAGAAACCAAGACAGCAGAGGTGGTTTGGGAGGGAAAAAAAAATATATCTTCAAAAGTTTTCTATTTGGCTGTACAATAAAATCCAACCTTATACTGGCAGCTACCTTAAAAGTTTTATTTTCTATTATAGTGTATTGATGCATTATGTTACTGATTGACAGGTATTTATTCTCCTCTCTCCTATTCTTGAGGTTTGTATACACTCAGGGCCTCCGTGGGTTTGGTCCTGTGACTTGCTCTGGCTAGTGGAATATGAGCATATTTGAAACAAGCAAAGGTTTTAAATGTGCCTGCATAGTTTGGCTTATTGTATTGCACTCATGCCATTCTCTACAAGAACACGTCCCAGGTGGCCACTAATAAAAGGAGAATGGGAGAAATATAGAACAGATCTCATTCCAACCAACAGTTTGGAGATATGCCCAGATGCTTGAAAGCCTGTAGCAGTGCCACCACGCACAACCAAGGCTAGATCAGCTGAACCTGTGGGCAAGAATTAATTTCCTGATTTGTATGCCACAGAGATCCTGTAATTGTTTCTTAAGTAGTGAAAACTAATGTGTGTGTTAATATACTGCATTATACTTATTCTACGTGTTTACTTTTATGTGTCAATCATTAATTCATCCAGTCATACTGCAAAGTAACATTTTTTTTCATTTTCCATCTTTGTGACACCATTACATAAAGCCAGTGGTAAGTACTTAGAATGAGGTGTGATATAGTAACAGAAGAAATCAAAAGCCAAAAGCCAAAGGACAGAGTGAATATTTAAAAAATGCAAAATATGAACAAGTATATGCATAGAGTATTACTATAAGGTCTCTTTGACAATCACAAAACCAACTTTTTGGCAGCATTAAACTTTGATAAGATTTTATTCTCTATTGCCACAAAAGTCATTGGTAAAGAGTAGCCAGGTGTACATAAATTGCTAGAAATTTTTAACAAGTTTTATTAAGGATTAAAAAAATAATAATCCCTATTACACAGAAAGCCCTAATTAATTACTTAGCATCCTTTATTTCTGATCTTTTCTTCAGTTATCAAGCTATCATTTGAATTATGGTGCAGTTCTTATTTCTCCCCTACAAAGATATAAAGTGAGTGTGCTAATGATTATTAAAGCACACTATATTTAGAAAGCTGTCATGTCCTGGTGAGAGAGAGAGAGCACTAGAAATTGAATAATACCTGTGAAATCTGAAAAGATGGTGTAAATATAATTCACATCAATTATTACAGGCTTTGCAAGTGTACAAAAGTAAAGAAAAAGAAAATAAATAAAACATAAACCCAGGGTTTTAATTCTGAGTAATAGAAAGATTTCGATGTCATTACCATAAATTGGGCAGTCAGAAAGAGGGGAGCTAATTTGGAAAGAAAGATGATATTTTCAATATTCAGGTTAGTGGTTCCAAATACATTTGATTGTTCACTTTGTATTATTTATTAAGTAGAAATACTCAGTTTAATTATAACCACTATTTCCAATCTAACTGGCACCTGTATACAGAGAAGTTATGGCATGAATTAGTTTAATTCCTTTCTCCACCCAAACTCCTAATTTGATATATTAGACATTAATAATAATTTGAAAGATGAAGAGACAAAAGAGGAGGAAAAGGAAGAAGAAAAAAGAATTGCCCCCTAGATTAGTTGCCTATGTGCCAAGCATTACGTTACATATATTATGAATATTATTACAATTTAGAAATTATCATATTTCCTTGTGTGCTTGTTCATTTTTCTATATTTTATTGATGAGTACACTGAGGGCAAAAAAGGTTGATGATTAGCCTTTTATGTAACAAAATTGGAAAATATTAGCTGTGAGATAAATCCCACATTGCCTCACCTGTGATTCTTCTCTGTTAGAAATCAGTCATAAGTGTAACAAAGGAAAGTTGTTCTTTCTGGCCAGAGATATAACCAAATGTCCCCTTGCTTCCCAAGAAATTGTGTATGTACATCAGCTGGATGTGGTGGCTCACCTCTGTAATCCCAGCACTTTGGGAGGCTAAGGCAGGCGGGTCGCTTGAGACCAGGAGTTCTAGACCAGCCTGGCCAATGTGGTGAAACCCTGTCTCTACAGAAAATACAAAAATTAGCTGGGTGTGTGGTGGTGCATGCCTGTAATCCCAGCTACTTGAGTGACTGAGGCAGAAGAATTGCTTGAACCCAAGCGGTGGAGGTTGCAGTGAGCCAAGATTGTGCCACTGCACTCCAGCCTGGGAGACAGAGGAAGACTCCATCTCAAATAAATAAATAAATAAATAAATAAATAAATAAATAAATAAATAAATGTGTATATTAAATATCAATTCAGCTATGTTATAAGAATGGGATTACCCTAAGGAAAAAAAAATCTTTTCAGTGGCATTTTAATGCAAATTGAATTTGATTTCAAATCATTACACATGGATTGTTTTATACCACCACATATTTTAACTCATGATTTATGAGAAATTATGATCCGACATAAAGCAATTTTTGAGCATTTTGTAATATGGAAAAAAAAGTTGAGAAACTAACACATATTACAAATTGCTATCTCATACCAAAAATATTTACAAGTGGATTTTTGATGTCCTCTCTAAATATTTTTTTCTCTCAAATATAAAATATACTGTGAATTCTGTGACCTTAGAGAGTTCTAGAAACTGCTAGCATTTGAAGAAAAAGTTAAAGATCTATTCCTGTCCTCTTCAATTATGGGTTTATCAAAAATGAACATATTTCTTTCTGCTCTGAGAATCAAATACATTTTTCTCTTCTCCAGGTTTGTGTTCTCCTTACCCTACTCTCAAGGATCCCTGCTTTAATTAGCCACAATTACTGATAGGATTCTGTGAATGTCACAAGCATGATGGCATGAAGAACTTCTGATAACTGTGTAACCCCATTTACAACTGAGATTAAATAATGTGTTCAATGTTACACAATTAATTATTGCCAGAGATAGGAAAGACCTCATCCTGATACTCTTACCTCCAACCTAATGTGATTTCTACCACACTGATGGTATTTATGCCATGGGAGAATAGTGGATATAACTACCAACCTGTTAGAGAGTGATCAACATTCCTCCTATTCTTCCCCAGTTGCTGATAGCTGGGCAGAGTAATTTCCTTTTTATTCTTTTCCTCCAGCTACTAGGATTTCAAAGAAGAAAATAGGAGTATCCTTAAGTAAATTTAAAGTACCCAGAGAGAAAGGAACTTTTTAACTTGGTTTCTAAATATTGTGTCTCCCCCCAACCCCCGCCCCACATAATTCTTATGTCCCTATAAGTAGAAGCAGAGAGTTTTAAATGTGCAAATATATCAAATGATTCTACAGGGCACAATGGTGGAAATGTGTCAATTTTCAGATGAAGATGGCAATCTGAGAAGAATAAGACAAATTACCACAACATGTATTTTAGAGTCTATAAAGATATACTTTAAATTCAAGTTGTAGGAACAAGAGATAATAAATAAAACAAATAACTTGTGGGTGATGGGCAACCAGGCCTGATGTTACCCATTAGATATTCAGTAAAAAGTGTGTTAATCCTAAAAGGAGTGGTGATTAGAATGGCAAATTCTAGTGGTAATATACAAGAGAGGATGCTTTAGCTGACATATTTGTCAACTGCCTGTCTCCTAAGCAAGAGACTCCTTGTTGTAAAATGGACATATCAGGCTGTCACAAATTGAAGCCTTCACATTTGCTTCTGCCAGCTCTCCTTTTTGTAAGTCAAGGACCACCAATCACCCTTTAGTTTATGCTTTGGTTTCCTGTATAGATCTACTGTCAGGAAGAGAATGCAAAAATCAGTGACGAAATATCTCATTTCAAATGAGTAAATGAGCATTCTGACTTGTGTAAGGAAGTCTGATTATCTTGGTTAGTGGGATTGGTCTCTGAGAGATTCACGCACTCTGTGTTTTAAAACAATTAGACTGCAGACTCCTCAACATTGATCAGTAGGTCTTGTATCATAAGAAATTCACTAAGGCAATAAAGGGCCCCTGTGAGGCCTCTTGAGAGACAATCTGTAGGCTTCAGTCCCTGAAGAGACACATTGATATTGTTCAGTGACTGAAAGAAAAACAATTATGTATGTTTTCACCTTCTATGTTTATTCATTCAATAAATAATTTTTCTGTGCCCACTATGTGCCAAATACATAATTTTGATTTATTTTTAATCCTGTTTAGATGCATCATATTCTGGCATTCTTTTTATTCTGCTTGCATCCTTTCAAACTTTGCATGGTCTGTGTTCTTTCATTGATATAGCAATTGGTTTGATCTGACCCACTGATGATGCCCATACATTTGGGTAGTTATTTGCTTAAAAAGGAATACATTCTGCTTGTATTTTATAATGATAGGATCAATATGCTTTCATTTTCTTAAATGTTCATACTTATATTTGTGATTAGACTTACTCTTCAATACATTGTTTTACTGCCAGACTAGTGACCTGTAGTGCTAATATTTTTACTGCACTGAAATAAAGAGACAGCATTCATTAAAAAAATTTAATTTTTGAAACAAAGGAAATATTAAAAATGATTGATTTTCATGATAAAATTTGGAAACTCAAAATAATAACAATGTAATAAAAATCAAAATTATGCTATGCAATTTTGTATTGTGATGGTCATTACATTATCTCTAAATATATCACTTGGCCTTTTACTTTGAAATAAACAATATGGTTAGATATGGAGAAGATGAATCTGACTAGATGGTGTCTACCAGCAAAGACATCCTTTATTGTTTCTGAAATCAGTATTAGAGACTTATAAGATAAGATTGAATAGTAAACTAGTTCTTCACACTCAGCATTCTTCAAAACATTGTACAAATTGTATACCAGAGAGTGAATGGTCTCAGAGAGAAGAGCTCTTTCCTAATAGCACCCAGCTGTGTGATAAGAAGTACTTCAATTGAAACTAAGTTAAACATTAAACATGTAATTATTTCTGCTTTGGATTCTTCAATGATATTAATTTTATAAAGATGTTCTTTTATATTTTCTATAGAAACTTTTAGAGGGAAATACTTCAAAACCAAGACATGTATTAATCCTTAATCATAGATGATTTTGTAATTGAAACATTGGTAATCACTCAGAAACCATTGTCTGCAATAATTTGTAGCCCAACTATTTATTTCAAACTTGATAAACCACATAAATAGTGGCAAATGTAAGCCTAATCTTTATTTATTGTACAAAAATAAGATCCTTGATATCTTTGACCCAAATAAAATATATGTAGCTTTCTATAACACTTATTTTTTATTTTTATAATCAATTACTATAATTACATTGTAATGAGTTTAGAACTTAGCTAATTAATCATCAAACCAATTAGTTCATTACTCATTACTCAAACGAATTGTATGTGCCTACTGACAGTAATATCTGAGCTCAGTAGGCACATGATGGCATGATGGCGATTCAAACATCCACCCAGCCTTACCACCAGTTTTCTGCCCTGCTTATTTCACAGACAGTGCAAAATGGCGATTCGAAGTTTTGGCTTCGAAGTGTTAGAAGTTCAGAATACTTGCATTTGTGTTCTGGTGTCATCCACTGACTACTTTTTCTGACCATCCGCAATGTTTTTGTCCTCTTCAGCCTCAGTTTTCTTTTCTGTAAAATGAAGACAGTGATAGTACTGAAACTCACATTATAGCTGTGAGGATGTAATAAGAAGCCTGGGCAATGTAATAATAGATAAAACATAAAAAATAGATAAATAATGGTACACATTAGATGTTTTAATAAATGCAGACTTTTCACCTATTGTTTACAGTTGTCTTCTGAAAAAAGTTAGATGTTCTATAGACTAAACAAAATAGATAACATCAACACATTGGAATAAAAAATGGAATATAGAAAATAAGAAAATTCCATAATACACCCGAGAAAAAATGGTTACCGTAACTGGGCAATTAATTTGTCTTTAAGTTTCTTGGTTGTTAAAGCAATGCTCTGATTTATTTATTTATTTATTTATTTATTTATTTATTTATTTATTTTTTGAGACAGAGTCTCATTCTGTCACCCAGGCTGGAGTGCAGTGGCACAATCTTGGCTCACTGCAACTTCTGGCTCCTGGGTTCAAATGATTCTAGTGCCTCAGCTCCCAAGTAGCTGGGACTACAGGCCTGTGCCACCATGCCCAGCTAATTTTTTGATATTTTTAGTAGAGACGGGGTTTCACCATGTTGGCAAGGCTGGTCTCAAACTCCTGACCTCAAGTGATCTGCCCACCTTGGCGTCCCAAAGTGCTAGGATTACAAGTGTGAGCCACCATGTCTGGCCCTATTTTTTTTTAAGTGAATATATTATAGATAGAGATTTGCAGTCTAGAATAGTCATTTTACAAAGTATTTTTAACATTTTTCATTGAGTTAGCAATATTCTGTAACATGGCCTAATTGCTAAGATAAAATAACAGTAACAACTTGATGTCTGTTGGTATTACAGACAGCAATCAAGCTCATGCATCCTTTAGATGTGTCCTGAACGTGATGACATTTTAGTAGTCTTTTCTATACGAGGTATTGGGTCATCAATGTGTTTACTTTTTAATTTTTCATGGTGAAAAATAGAAAGTCGTTTTTACTGAGTAGTTTATATATGTGGTAGTTGAACTTATAAATATAGTAACTACAGTTTGTATTCCAGAGGCTAAATAAATGTTGATACTAATTCTTTGAGTTTTTAATGAGTGGACTCATTTCAGTGATGGTAGAGTTGAGGACAATAGGTTTGAAGTTTATCGCTTGAATTCTGGTATCACATTCAATATCTTCTAATTCCACATTAATTTTATATCAAATTTACTTTTTGTTTTTAAAATGAATTCAGTTTAGAATATTGCTTGAATATTTTGACACTTTTTAAGACAACAATTTACTCAGCACCATTCATTGCCATTTCTCCCCTGATGGTGAATTGAATTTACATAGGCCCAATTCCATTTGACCACTCTCTCTAAATTTAGTGTAATTTTTAGAAGGCCGAGTAGATGTTTTGAACTTCTCCCTGTTCTCATGGAACTTTTCTTCACCTCACTTTTTAGCCTGAGGTTATTTCAGTAGTATTTAGTTTTCTGCATATGACTGTTTCAAATAACTAATAAGTCTTTTAAAAATAGTACTTTTTTGGCAAGTTAATATTTGGTTGACATTTTTTAAATCTTCTGTTTCATTTAAAAAGACACAAGTGGCTATCCTGTTGGTTGATCTCATATCTCCAGATATTAAATCATTATGGACCTGGCCTTATAATCCACAAAATACATCCTATGAATGAGTAGGAGATTAAGTGAAAACCATTTAAAATAGATATTGCATTTTTGGGGTCAATTTCTTCTGTGAGGATTTCCTAAGATGTTGTTTAAAATGTATACTCTTCCTAGCATCTCTTTTGAAATCCAAAGTGCTTTCCATGGCCTGTAATACTCCATGTAATCTTATGTTTGACTATCACTCTTAACTTCAGTTTCTCTTTTTCTCTTTCTTTCTATGTGCTTCAATTACACTGACCTCCTTGCTACTCCTCAGACACACTTCCCGCACAGGGAAGCGTGATTTATCTTCTGGAGGCTTCTCAAATAGTAGCACAGTTTGCTTTAGCATGTCTTCTAGACATCTGCTCAAATGCCACCCTCTCAGAAAGGCCTTCCTTGACTACCTTATTAAAACTGCACTTCTTCTGATTCTACTTTCCCCTACTTTTATATTTTTCTTTATGTCATGTATCACTTGAAATTTCATTATTTATGTACTCATATATCTGTTTATTATTTATCTTGTCCAATAAAATATAACTACCAAGTGGTGTGGACCTGATCTATTTGTAATCTAATGTATTGTCAGGGATTATAAGAGAGTGCTTGGTGGACATCAGATATATATATTAAATTGACAAATGAATTATTGTATTTATATATTCTCCTATGTCTTATCAAGTGTAGAAAAAATTTTGGTGTATTTTAAACCCAGTAAATATCTAGACTATGTGATATATCTCATACTTAAAATGTTACTATTTTTAAAATGAGTACCTCTTTTCAAAAGTTAATGCCATTATAACTAGGTATTTAATAACAGTAATGTTGTTATTCGAAAGGTGGAAGTTGGCATAATACCTTTATTATTATCAAAGTGTAGGTCTGAAAGGAAACGAAAAACCTCATAGCTTTAGGAAAGGTTTAGACACTCTCAGAATTCAGATGGCCCTTTCCTAAATGAGCTTCCTCTTCTCTTTATTATGTACATGGAATAAATATGTAAAGGTCCATTCTCATCCTCAAAAATGGTTTACTCTCAAATTTAATCATATATCAACTTTTGTCTGCAAAAGGCACTTGTGTTCTCATTCTTTAGCCTCGTTATGTTTTTCTTTTCTTTTCAGGATTGTGTTTTACTCTTATAGCCAATTTCAAAATAGTTGTGAATCTTACACAAATTTTATTTAAATCCCTTGTGCTCCAGCAAGATTAAGCAATGCCTTTCTTGACCATGTATCTGAATATGTATGACATGTGAGTTAATAAAAAGCTGATGAGTAATTTTTTAGTCTAAAATCTGTTTTGCATGATGGATGCCTGTAAAGCTGCCTATGAATCAGATGGCAGCATAATCTTAATATTGGCAAAAGTGAAAAGCAAAGTTATGGTTTTATGCTAATACTATATATTTGATGGCTGCTCAAGGAAATAACTATAGTAAGATTAATCTGAAGAGAGCAGAAGCTAGACCTTTTCAATAAATCATTTTGAATACAAAAATTCTTCCTTTTTATTGGTTAAAAAAGCAGAATCCTTCAAAACTAAGAAAAGAAAAATTTTTATTTTGAAGTTTTTTCTGAAACAAAATAATGAGTAGTAGCATAGAAAAGTAGGAATTTGCCTTCTTTAGAAAGTTTTAAATGTATTCTTCGTAGGAAACAGTATGATATAAAATGTTTAATTTTGGTGTATTTATAAATCTAAATGGTTTGATTTAACATGTAATCATTTCTTAAATAAGAGGTAACAGAACACATATTTTAATTTGGGCCTAATATTGATACCACAAAGCAGAAAATATGGCATGTTAATTATTTATTTTTATGCATCCAATTATACAAGCTCTTTTCTGAAAGTGATAGAGTACTGAACAAAAACTTCCTAACTAAAAGAATAAATGCTAAATAGTCTTACACAAAGAGAGACGATACCATAATACCTAGAAATGATCTATAGAGGAAATACAAGAGCCTTGTAGATTTCTATTGGGTATTTCTTAATTGGATATTGGACACATCAAAAATTTTAATGCTGGTGCTTTTATGTTGTGTGATATTGGGCAGTAAGATTAAGAGGTTCAATATTTAACTTGATTATTTTTAGTCTAAAAGTTTTAGAAATCCTTTCATTAAGTTTCTAGCTAGCTTTAGTCCTCTGGGAAAAAGAGTGAAAAAGAAATATAGTAAATTTGTTATTTAGACCACATATCTTCATCTTCTATACTTCTTCTCCCTTTGGGCCCTTCTTCCTAGGCACCCCACCCCCTCATTGCAGATCATACAAATCATTTCAGAACTCCCACAGAGTTCCATTTTCTGCTGGATAACTAATAGACTAATATTTGTTAAGGTGCTAATAATAATGCATGACCTGGTCATACATATTTTAAAATATTTTGTTATATGATACTTTGACACAGAGAAATTCAAACAGAATCACTGGAGTTACAGTAAGAGATACTGAGTACATAGATGTAGATAGTATTAGCAGATTAATAATTTAAACTTTTTGTAGAAAACCACTGTGATAAGCATGCCATTTACAAAATGTTCACAATAATTGAGTGGCAATGAGATAAGAACATGCCTTATATTTTCAAGTGCTTATTTCTGTGAACTTATGTTCCATATGTTCCTTAGCACCTACATCCATAGAAATAAGAAAACAGTATATAAACTTTAGACATAGAAATGTCACAGGCAATGAGACCTCATATTTACTCCTCATGTATACACTAAGGGTACAAGCAAACAAATGGTAGCTGGTTCACATTCAAGCAGGGAGGTACTATTTTTGTTTATTTTTTAAAAGAATGCTAACTACTCCTGTTGGAGGCCAGCTTTCAATTCTCAAAGGATTTTAAAGTCAGCTAATATTATCCCAGGTTTAATCTCTTGGAAATAGTACAATTTTCTTGGTACAAAATGTGTTTAAATATGTCAAATATGTTTGAGACTTTCACTTAGACATACAATTAATTTTTATCAAAATGTCTACTTTAAATATGTTACATCGATTTTTTAAATTTTGGGAAATTAATATAAAAGATACAAAACCTTCAAATCACCTCCCAACTCCTTAACCAGATATAAACATTGCTAGCATTCAGACTTGTATTTCTGTTGTCACTTATAAAATATTAACAATTTTTCTTTTAAAAATTTAGAATCATGGGCATTTATTCAGGTTTTAAAATTAAAATTAAGCTATTAATATGTTCAAGTACTATTAAAAATACTTTAAGTTTGTAACTTTAGTGTCTGAAAAATATGTTAAAGAAATAAACCAAAATATATTTCAATATTTTGTGACTAATAATGCTATTTTGATTATCTTTTATAAAAATTATCAGGCTGTGCATGGTGGCTCATACCTGTAATCCCAGCACTTTGGGAGGCCGAGGCGGGCAGATCACTTGAGGTCAGGAGTTCGAGACCAGCCTGGCCAACATGGTGAAACCCCAGCTCTACTACGAAAATACAAAAAGTAGCCAGGCATGTTGGCATGTGTCTGTAATTCCAGCTGCTCAGGAGGCTGAGGCAGGAGAATCACTTGAACCTGGGAGGCAGAGGTTGCAGTGAGCCGAAATTACACTACTGTACTCCAGCCCGGGCGACAGAGGGAAACTCTGTCTCAGAAAAAAACAAAACAAAACAAACAAACAAACAAAACTCTGTTGCCTAAATCTCCAATTCTTTTTTCTAGAATTTATTTGAACTAGTATCTCTGAATCAAAAAGTTTGTATAGATGGGAACAAAAATGTCCATCTCACCACATTCTTGATATCATTTAGTATGATATTTAAAATGTTTTCCACTTTGCTAGGTGAGATATTTTAATTAGCCTTTATCTGCTTATTTAGAGGTTAAAGGTTTTTATTTTTCTTTTGGGTCATATAAATTTTTTTCTTCTATAAATTATTGAGGAACATATCTGATATTAGACAGGTTCTCCATTTTATTCTGTAATAACCCCAATAATCAAAACTATAAAACTATCTCTTTATGATCATCTTAGTGAACAAAATTCCAGTTCAGTCATTTCAGGGTTTACACAGAGAAACTGCTCTTTCTAAATGACCTTGTTTCAATGAGACTTTATTTCCATTATATTGGAGAGGACTAATAATTCCTGTGTGGGTACATCAAGATTTAAGGGGCCAGTGTAACAGACATGAATTTTCATTTGCCCTGAAAAATAGTAGAAGGCTCTCTCAGTCTTTTGCCAAATGCTTTTCATGTACCTCTAATTGTTGCGTTTCAAAAAAAGTATATGCCATTTATATAGAACCAGGAGGAAATACAGTTTTTATTTTAAAACACTGAAAAAACAAAAAGCTCATCATTTCCCTTAGTACAAAGAACTTTATTGGTCCAGGAAACTCATTATCTATAACAACACGTGAAAAATTTCAAAATACATTTGCAGTGGAAGCCAAAAATCTCCACACCTAAGAGCTGCTGATGTAGTAGTAGTTGTTGCTGGATTATTTTTAGTTCTGCTAGCTGAGATCAAGCATTTCCACATTATTTGCATCTGCATCCCCTCTTTGTAATAATTAGCAATTCTGTTTCACAGTCAGCAGGACAGCCAATTTAATGGCATCAACGCTAATTTACAACAAAAGTTAGGTTATTATTCAGAGTGAAGCATTACTGTAAACTCCACTTAGCATAAAGGGTCTTTTAAAAGTCACTTCAGCAAAATTTTAACTAAACTATTTGATGTTTGATATTCTTTTTTTTTTTGACTGAAATGTTGATGTCATCATTGAGGGATTTATACAATTTATGAAACCACTTTATAGCTACATTACGTTTTGTTTATCTGAAAAAGAGAAACAATTTTAAACCAGTGTTTCAGGGCAAGAACATTAAATACTAATAAGAAAAAATATTTTGGTACTGAGATTTTTCTAAGCCACTGTGGTAAACAAAGATACTAGGTAAAGTTAAATTATCATTAGAAAGCTCTGTACACCAGCCAGACTGTCTAATTTCAGAGAAAGCTTCCTAGGGGAATAAGACTATTATTCACCGATAAGAGCTAAGCCTTGAACACTTAACAGTAAAAATAAGTGACTTGGAAAAAGTGATTAAAAATATTCAAGGAAAAAAGTTTGAAAAGCTTTGACAGCTATAAACTCCCTTCTTCTGCAAACACGCACACAAATTTTCAGATGAGTTATCAAGTATGGAAGTATCTCGGACTCTGTAGACCCAACTGCAGAATCAAACTCAAACTAAGCCTGTGCACCTATTCAATTAATATTAACATGAATTTATGGAACTCATAGGGAAGACTGATGTGAGGAGTAAATGAATCAGGACATGTAAGATGTTTATAACAGTGCCTGATTACTGTGAGCATTCAGATATATCAGCATTAATAATACATGTTGTCGTCATAAAGAAATATTATAGGATTGCTAAAATGAGATAAAGTGTCTCATTTCAGGGTTTTTTTATTTCTATTTTTATTTATTTATGTATTTATTTTGAGATGGAGTCTCACTCTGTTTCCCCAGCTGGAGTGCAGTGGCTCCATCTTGGCTTATTGCAACCTCTGCTTCCTGGGTTCAAGTGATTCTCCTGCCTCAGCCTCCGGAGTAGCTGGGACTACAGGCATGTACCATCATGCTCGGCTAATTTTTGTATTTTTAGTAGAGACGGGGTTTCACCATGTTGGCCATGCTGGTCTCGAAGTCGTGACCTCAAGTGATCTGCCCACCTCGGCCTCCCAAAGTGCTGGGATCACAGGCGTGAGCCACTGTACCTGGCCCAAAGCCAACCACTGGTTTTAATTTCAATGTAATTTTTTTGTATTCTCTAGAATTTCTGGAGATATCTCTTATGAGAGAGTGGGAAAGAAGTCTGTGACACTGGCTGGTCTCAGCAGATCAAGATCCTTTGTGCCCTTTCCAGACAAAGCAACTGGTTGCACCAGGGCACCCAGAGTGTTATGAGTTAGATCACTGGCCCTCTTCCATTTTCTTTTTGGCTTAAAATAATTCATGAGGTTAAAGGGGCAATCTGACAAGGAGAACATGGCCAAGATATCTAGCAGTAAGCTTACAAGTGTGTTCAAATTGGAATCACCTAAGTATTACCCTATTGGAGTCATTTCCTAAGCAAAGAAGTCTAACCACACCAGCCTAATTAGAAGTGTTTGTTTTCCAGCGATGTAACTATAGAATACTTTAGTAAACGTGCTGAACTATATAAACTCTTTTGTGAATAGAGATCATGCTTCAAAAATATTATGTATCTTCTATAATCTCTAAAATCATACTACACATATAGAAGCTAATAAATACTTAATTGATCATTAACTCTTATTACTCAGGGATTTGAAGTAATTAACACAAATCCAGAGATAACTCATATTTTACAAAAAGTAGCTTTAGTAATTATAAATCATCTATGTCTTATACATTCAGATTGGAAGCTTTGGATAGAATCTTTTTCTTTATCCATTATAATTCCACTTAGTGTCTGGTACAGACTTTCTTTTAGCACCGATTATTCTGTTTTACTAGTATTTATTTACATGACTACTCTACTCTTCGAATTAAGAGATTGTGTTTTATTCATATTTGTCATTTCTCTTGTCTTTCAAGACACTCAAATGTTTTTGTTGAATTAATCCATGTAGGATTTTTTTTAAGGCAAATACAGATGGGATAAATATATGTTCTTGGAGACTTTCTAGATGATTGAAAGTTTACCCCCACAAAAGGAGACATCCTAATGGTCAGATGTAATTTGTTTATAACAATATGTGAACACTTTGAGAGAAGCTATGTTCCTAGAAGCAGCAGTCGGCACCTCTCAATCTTCATATGACACAAAGTAGTGAAACCGAGGTGTATAAGATCTTCTTAAATGTAACTTCTATGAATATTACAAAGCCATGACTGAAATATTATTGGGGAGTTGCAAAGCTTGAGGAATGTTATTAATAATAAGTGAAGGAGAGTGCCAGAGGTGAAAACCATGAGCCCAGAAAGGAAATAGTTCTCTCCTATGTGGAAGCCCTTGGTGCTTGGAACGTAGACACAAGGGAAAATGGGAGCGCTTTTAGCTAACGGACTCAGGTCTTATAAAGTCTTTATCCACTCTTTCAGTAGTTCAGCTTTTTCTAACACAGCTCAGAGTGTTAGATTGTATGAAGCCAAAGGGAACAAATGTGTATGCAAATTTCAACACATACTGTAAGGAATAAGATGATAGCACGAAAAAAAGAAAAAAGAAAAAACCACGCCAAGCATTGAGCATGTGTAGAAATAATTTAAGAAACTGAGGTTTAAAGAGATGGTGAGATATGTTGAAGGCTATGTGGATTCATATTAATTCAAATGTAACTTATAAACACCTATTATGAGCCAGATACTGTAATAAAGGCCTTCACATGCATTTTCCTCATTTCTAGATCAGTTTGACTCTGAGAGGAGAATCTCAGTGTATTTGATTTAGCCACAGAAGTACAACATTATCAAGACTGTTATTTTGTGTCTTCAACTGTTGCGAGAAACTATCTTACATAAACAATACCTGCTGGATAATGGAGAATCTACTTCTGTTGTCCAGATAGCACTGTGACAGTTCTCCTTCACAACTCCAGTTTAGTAAGAAGTGATGCAGCACTTTTAAAATCAAAGTTGTTAAATAAAAGAGTAAAGAGGGTTATTGGTAAAGCAAGTAGCATTCTAGTCTATTGGATTCCATTTCTTTTTGTGAATTTGTGGAAGTGTTATCTTTGGGCTATTGCAGTTCTTGAATAGGGCTAAAGTAAACATTAGGGAAAACTCTGATATTTTCATCAATTCTAACGGGTTAAGAACTGATATAAGACTACTACATCTCTTGGCCTGTAAACCACCCAATCATAGGCATATTCCCAGAAGGGGAAATGACGGTTGTCACAAAATTCTATGTTACTTTGTCACCAACAGATTGAAGCAGAGAGGCCGGGATGAACCTATCAGATAATTTCCATCAGAGAAGAATGATCAATGTGTGATCAACTTTCAGCAAAGGCAAAAATAGTTAAATGTCAGCCCCAGTAGTTATAATGGTCCACGTGCAAAGGTGGAAAGGAAAGTCAATCAGATGAACAAGGAGAACGCAGAAGACCTGAAAAGAACGTCAGAAATTAAAGGTATTTTGTAACTCTTTTCTTTCAGATTTGCCTTGCTTTCATTCCAATTCCTTTGAAGTCTGGACACACTTTCTCCCCTGTGTTCCATAGGAGTCTATTTGTACTAAGAAAGCACACACCAACCTATCCCTTTTTGAATGGAATTTCTATTTTTTTTTTCAACCCGAACAAACCTTGGCTAAAACAAGCTCATGCATTTGTAAAAAATCTTTCAATCTTGTGTCGTTACATTAACGTAGCAAATTATAAAGTGCCTTTTATTATACAACTTCAGTAACAATTGGAAGATTCTTACTCTCTTCATTTTCACGTCTAAAAATAGATATCTGGGTTTAAGTGGACTGATTTGTGTAGTTCTTTAATATGAAGTCTTTTTGTTAGTAAACTTCTATTTGATTGCTAAGGCTTTTTTTTTTTTTCTAAACTTTCCTTAATTTTCAACCATTCAACAAATATTTTTACTTTTGTAAAATGACTTTAGGAATACACTATTTGTTTTATATTTTCTCTGAACTTCAGGTTTGGAAGTCTGGTTTATTTTAGTTACTATTAAGTGTAGTCTACCTAGAATTTGTGACTGTTTTGAGGACATTTTGCCCAATTCAGATAGTCAAGGTTTCTATTAATTTACCTAAGACATTTTCATGTAATCTTTTACGTATTAAATACGATATATCGGGACTTATTTCTCCTACTATTTAAATAGATTGCTTCCTCTGGTTAACTTGTTCTTATGCCAAATATGTAGTTTTCATCTTTGAACCTTAGGCTGATATTTCCATAGAGCCTGTATAGGATTTGGCATATCTGAATTAATATTTAGATTTTCCTGCACAAGTCAATTATGTTTTCTGCTTTGTTGACAAGAGTTATATCTTTGTGTGTTTTAGAAAATTTCTCTTAATATTTGAGATATGAATAGTGCACACTCAGTAAAGTTTTTATGAGCCATTAAAAATGTCAGTGTAAGAGGATGTCAAAATCAGAATTTCCTTCCAGGCACCAAAAAGTAATAATTGCCAAGTAAGTTGCCAACTCAATATTACAAAGGAAATGAAAGCCATTTGGAGCCAAGACTTTCAGAACCTCTCAGGCAAGAGCATAACAAATGCATCAGATTTGGATAAGTGAAAGGTTTTTTGAAGTGGTTTTGTTTGTGTTATTATTTTTTCTATATTCATGTGTATGTTTAAGAGTGTTGTTAACGTGCTTGGAATGAAGATTGAAATATTGAATAATATCTTACAGTGAACACTTCTAATCTCTAAATTAACACCATGTTTCGTAACTTGAGGTAAACTCAGATCCATTTACTACTCTAGATTCACCAGGAAAGTCTTACAGCTTGCCACAGTTTTCTCCGGTGGGAGGATATACAAAATTTCCCACGTAATACAGTTTAAAATAAAATTGTGTTTGTTTATATCCACGAGGTGCAGTTTTTCAACGTATTGGATGGATCAATGTGCATTTAGACAAAATATGCTTTTGGAAAGTTACTTTTTGTATTTCACATATCAGGTAATCATGAAAGATCACTCAAAATAAGGCAAAATTAGAACTATAGCATTCAGATGATGACTCTTTCTGGAAACCACACCTCATAGGAATATTTTATTTTGTGATTGATAAAACTGGTAAATGTATTTTCTATGTGTGGATAATTTCTTGAAGTGACTTGTTTTTAAAGCCTAAGCAGGTAGGTAGGTAGATGGTGGTGATGGAGTATTTCAGTGTGATACATTGGACCCTTGAACCAAATCAATACTGTTACTCAAATAGAAGTGATAAGAAGGGACTTTAGATTGAGGTGAAGATTTTGGAAACAGCCAAATAAATAAGATGAAAACAGTATTTTAAATTCAGTTCTATTAATATATAAGGCTAAGACTTTTGAGTTAATCCTGATGATGGTAATTGTTGAAAATGGCATTTGGTTGCAGTGAGGACATTCACTTACTTGAGCGTTGAATAAGAATTAGTTGGCTGGGATTTCTTCTTAAACTACAGCAAATGGAAACAAAGTGGCCTTTTTATATGTTCCTAGGAAAGCCAAGGGGGAAACTTAATTATATTTCTATACGGAAATGAGGGAAAAATAGAACAATTCATATATTTCTAATACATAAGAAAAGTCAATGAGAAAGAAAGGACGGGAAATAAAAGCAAACATGGAGAGGTTAAGAAGACAAGTCAGTGAGGAGAGATGTGTTTGCCATTATAGTTAAGCCTAGATAGTCAATAGAATAAGAGACAGAAGGAGAGAGCAGCTGCCTCCACTAGAAAAGAATGTCCTAGTGCAAAGAGACATTAAAGACACTGTTTTCATTTCACTGAATATGTCATTCACTCGCAAAGCAAATGTCATTCACTCACAAAGCCATTTTAACAGCTCATGGTTGATTTTTTTTTTTTATGGGTTGGAATGAATACAATTGAATTGTTGGAAGAAATAGATAGTAACAAAAATAGTATACATTTATTAAGTTTGCCATCGTTAAAACATCTCCTTGCGGTAGGATGTCATAATGGACAACCAGGATCTGAGAAGCTATGGATAGACCCGCCTTAGTAATAAAATGTAAGTGAAAAATTGGCATCTGTATACCATTATATTGGAGAAATAGTATCACATAAATTCAGGACAATTAATGTTTTATATTTAACTTCTGGGTTTCCTAGCCTGACTACATGTTAGTCAATTCCCAGAGTCCCTCCTTCTCCTCCTTCTTTCTGTTGATGATGCTTTTCAATCATTTCATTGCATGTCAATAGGCTCATCAAAGAGTGGGAGGAGGATGACAGAGAGGCTATAATACTCAATCCAGTTAGTGTTGACAATTGTTAATAATACTGTTAAAAGCTTAGGCAGAAGAAGAAATTGAAATACTATCTAAAATTACATTGGGGGATTATTTGTGGCTTTTAATTATCCATGCAATTTTTGTCTCTCATTACCACATATAATTGAGGAGTAGCCATTCAAGATGAGGCAATGATAAGACAAAAAAAGTGTCTTTTGTAAACAATAGAAGTAAATGTATTAGTTAAGACTCTAGCAGTTTTAGTTTGTAGAATTATCCACTTTCTACTATATCAGTGAATATTTAAATGTAAAGGAACCAAATTGTTTCTGATAAACAAAATTTATTTCATTCCTTTTCTAGGTACATATGTTTGTATATTATCCAATTGAACTTCTAAAGTAATTTTTTATTAATCTGCAATTGTCAAATTAATTTATTTTGTTATAAAAGATCAAAACAATATAGTAGTCTTACAACCTGAAAGTATCAAAATTTCCCTATAAAATACCATCTTCAATCCTGCTCCCTAGAGGTAACCAACCACTGTAAACAGTGTAGTAAGTAACTTGTAAAAAGAATAGTTTCCATGAATGTATAAACACCATAATCTTACCTATAGCTAACCTGTTTATTGAAGAGTCACAAGGCACTTAGTAATGAACATGATGTAGTTCCAGGTTTATTGTGTCTAAAAACACTTTGTTATCTCTCCTCTGTGAAATACCTCTTTCCTGAAGTTTCTGATTAATTTTACTTATTGAAATTTAATTCAGCAGCCTGGGCACAATGGCAAGACCCCATTTCTACAAATAATAATAATAAAAAACTGCGCATGGTGGTGCATGCTTGTAGTTCCAGCTGCTTGGAAGCCTGAGGTGGGAGGATTGCTTAAGTCCAGGAAATCAACGCTGCAATGAACTGTGTTTGTGCCACTATACTCCAATCTGAGTGACAGAGGGAGACCTTGTCCCCCCCAAAAAAAAAAATTGTAATTCAGTATTCAGTACATTTTATGATTCTAATAGCATATCTAGTTCAATAGTTGTCCTTTCTCTAGCATTGCTCACACGTTTTTTTTGTTTTGTTTTGTTTTGTTTTCAGGAAGGTAGGGGCCATGGGACTCCATGGAAAGCAGAAGACACAATGATCTGCTGTTTCACTCCCTGTCCCCAACCCTCTGGGTCTAAGCCCTCAGGGAATTGCATGGGAGAGGAAAAGTTGAGGCCAGAATTTTTTTATGAGAGGACTTCTACAGTGGTGGGAGAAGTCCCCAGACTCAGATTGGTGTTTTCTCTTTCCATGAGGTTCTGTCTGCTAGTGGCCTCCACTGGTGTGTGGCTTCTGAGTTCACAATGTATGTGATTTCTCGAGGTGACTATTAGCTTCACTCATAGTCGTAATTGTCATACAGCAATCCCTGAGGTAGAACAATCCCACTGTCTTGACATTGACTGGTGTCCACACCTTTTGACACAGCATGGCCTCCCTGGGGACACACGGTTCTTACTCATACTCTAGACTCCATGCTTTTTTATGGCATCTACCTTCTTCTTCAAGAAGTGCAGAGATGAACATGGGGGGTCTATTGCTTTCATCTTCTCAAGGACACTGTTCCATGGACCTTTTCCAAGTTGCTTGTGGCTACTCTCAAAAGCCTCTACATTCAGAAACGTCACACAAGATATTATCTCAATACTCAAGATTCATACTTGCCCCTAGGCTCCAGAAACACAGTCCAGTTCTTGCTGGTACTTTGTCACCACATTTCACTGTTTTGGCCACAGCAGAGAAGACTCAACTTTAGCAGTTGAGCAGGCAGGCAGAGAGAATCACTCCCATTATATATCAGCCAGTTTCTTGGAGCTGTCAATTCATTTGCCTTTGAGAGAACTGGGGCTCAAACCCCCTTCCCAAATAAGAGGGAAGGAAGTGACCTCCCACTCCAACACCTTATCACTAACACCACATTTCCAGTAGAGCCATGGTTCCTGCTGCCCCTCCTCTTCTCACTCTTCTTACACAGCAGGTGTGGAGGAGTGCAGGGGAAATCATTAGAGTGGAAATGGAGTTTCAAAGTTCTTTCTATTGTTCCTTAGTAATCCTGGGGAAGGGATCTGTCCCTACTTACCATTTGAGGCGCAATAGGAAATGACTCACTCAATACAACGTCACATATTCACACATACGTGCAAAGTGCAAGAGCATGTTACTATACTAACCATCTTGTGCAACTTGATATTGTTTTCTTGATATTGTTTCTTGATATTGTAAAGATAGTACCACATTTTATTAGTAGAATAAACGTGAATATGTGCCACCTCCCAGCAGGGATATTTAATTGCTTTTGACAGATCCTCCAGATCTGTTCCTTCTGCCTCAGTAACTAGCAATGTTTGAAATAATGGCTACTCCATCAGGCAAGGTTTTGAAGTGAGGAGGCATGGAGACTTGAGGCATTAATAAGAAATAAAGCTTTGTGTTAAAGGCCGTTAAGTGTTGGGATGTTTATTACTATAGCATTGCCTTGCCTATCGAGATGCAATAAAACCTGCACTGTAATGTATTTGGCCATTACAATCTGTGTGCACTATTTATTTCATTTCCAAATTTTTACCCTTTCACTGTTTCAATAAATATCACTGTACATGTATTTTTGTACAAGTGAATTGCTGGGCCAAACACCTAAACTTTGTTGGAAAGTGCTAAGTTTGTCTCTAAAGACTTTATGTTCTCACCAATGATATTCAAGGGTGTTTACCATAGATATTGTGACTGTCTTTCCTAGACAAAGAAGTCTTTCATTTTAATTTCTACTTCATGGATTATTAATGAGACTTAGTGTTCATTGGACATTTGGATTTCTCTTGTGAATTTTGTTTGTACCATTTTATTTTTTCCATTAGATTGGTTTCCTTTTCTTATTTAAAATTAAAGAAATTCTTTGCAAGTAAGGGTTTTGACCCTGGTTTTTATATATTTTTAAAATCCTAGTGAAGGCACTGTCTCTACAGAAAACAAAAATAGCCAGGCATGGTGGCATGTGCCTGTAATCCCAGCTACGCAGGAAGTTGAGGCAGAAAGATGGCTTGATCCCAGGATTTTGAGACTGCAATGAGCTAAGATTGTATCATTGCACTCCAGGATGCCATGGGTGACAGAGCAAGACCTTGTCTCTGGAGAAAAAAAAAAGAAAAGAAAAAGAAAAGGAATTCTTTCTACAATGTAGGTCAGTGGAAATTTTTTTCCAGAATATTTTATCATATAAAACTTGAAATTTTTTATGTAGTTATATGTAACAATCTTTTTTTTTTTTTTTTTTTTTTGAGACGCAGTCTCTCTCTGTCGCCCAGGCTGGAGTGCAGGCGTGCGATCTTGGCTCACTGCAAGCTCCGCCTCCTGGGTTCATGCCATTCTCCTGCCTCAACCTCCCGAGTAGCTGGGACTACAGGCGCCCGCCACCATGCCTGGCTAATTTTTGTATCTTTTTCTTGGGCATTTCATGTCAAGTTTCAGAGGGCAACTTGTGAAAGGTTTTTATATTTTTGTTCATACATCAGAAGCTCAACACTGGCTGCACATTAGGATCATCTGAGGCGTTTTAAAAGTACAGATATTCTGGTCATATCTCTGGATATTCTGATTTAATTGGTCTAAGGGGACTCCAGCATCTGCATTTTTAAAAGCACTACCACCCCACTCTCCCCAGGTGACTCTCTGTACAGCCAAACTGAGAATCACAAGTCTAGATTATTTGAGGCATTTAAAATCTACCACATGTGTTTTAAAGACCACTAAAATCACCTTATATGGCATAATTTGAAAAATCACTTCCCTGCAGTTTAACTGTATCTTCTAAAAAGAACCAAAGCTAAGAAATTTAATATCTTATTCAGGAACATAAGTTTTCCCATGCTTAGCACCTTCAAACCCCAATAAGTCAATTATAACAACAGAAAAACAGAATTCTCCCAGGCTTATAAGAGCATAGAATAGGCCACTTCCATTTGATCATCTCAAAATGTTACTTTTTGGAAGAAGAAAAGCACACTTTACCGGCATTGCCCACATATAAATCCAGTATAAAAAACTTGAAGAAGAATCACCTTCATAAATATTTTCAAGCAAAAGAAGTGAGGGTGCATTTTTATGCCAGGTAGATCCCTGGGTGTCTATCTGTCCTGGATTATTGGTTTATAAAAATTCTACATCACATTTCATGGGTAAAAAAAGGTTTGTTGGAAATATGTGTGTAAGCCAGTGGTCAAGAAGAGAATAGAAGACAAAGGTCCCCATGATCTTCCCATAATATCTCAGAGAGGCATGCTGTAATACCATGAGGGCACTGCTGGATCTGCAGTGTGGGTTTCTGTTCCAGGAACAAAATCCCTGTTTTGTAGAGTGAAAATGTGGGAAAGGTCTTGTCAATGAAGTAACAAACAGATTGTTTGATGTCAGCCAGCCAGAATTTGAGATAGCAGTTTAAAGCTGTTCTGTGCAAAGACCAGCTGCTCAACATATTTTAACCAGTGGATGTTTCAGTCTTCCTGAACTAGAAGAATTCTCCAGGGCTTTGGGAAGCTGATGAGAGGTACATCCCTGACTGCTGGGACTGCTCAGATCTCAGCTGGGTTTTGGTACAGGCAACCCAGAGTGATTGACAGGGTTATTTGCAGATATTTACACTCCTTTTACATTTACTCAGAATTAAATATATATATATATATATATATATATATATATAAAAAATATGTAAAGGCAGAATTAGAAACAGATATGAACAAAAACAGGATCATGCAAAGCAGAAATATTGAATACTAAGTGTTAATTGATTCATTAGGTCATAAGATTTTTAAATATCATAATGGCATTGTTGCTATTGTTAGAAAGAAAACGCATGCAGAAATATAAATGTCTAAACTATAAAAGGTAGTATATTATTAAAATAAATTTATCTTATAAATTTAAACATTAACTTATAATTTCTACCAAGGTGAATAATGAAGCTATTTTGCTAAACCTAAAATTGAAAAAGAAGATTTTGGTTGACTGTAGCAGTCATATCAATCTAAGCAACCTTTGTTTTTCCATAGATATTTGAGTTGTATAAAATCAAATTAATACTAATTCATACAGTTAAAGAGGTGAAAATGAGTAAAGTTTTTCAATGGCTTATATAGTAATCTGAAGAAAACGTCTTTTATTAGAGGGCTATGCAAAAAGATGCTATACTTGGGGATCAGGACAAATAATGTTAATAAGTAGCATAAATTATCATAATGCATTTCTAAAATTGGTTAAAATCTAATATAAAACAGAACTGTATGTACACATTACTTATCCTGTAATTAAAAATAATTTAAAATCAAATATACCAAACACTACTCTTAATGAACAGTAGTTTATTATTACAATACATGATATTATTTTTTATTTGTAATAAATCAAAATAGTTATTAAGAGATTCATTTCCACAAACTGACATTTAATAATGCTTATTGGGAGACCAGAACAAGATGGCCAACAGCACAGAGCCAGGCAGTGCTGCTCCCACAGAAAGAGACCAAAATTTCAAGTAAACCAACATAACCTGAATAGATCTTCAGAGAGAAAACACCGAGGGTGGATGGAGATGCAACACAGACACAGGCTAAAGAAGCTGGGAGCCCTGTGTGGCATACCCTAATACTGAGGTTAGTTCCTGGCTCCAAATGGCTCTTGGGGAATGAATGAGTGAAGAGACTGTGGGACTGCCCACTCGTGCCATGGACCCCTGGGATCCTAGCAACAGAGGACCCCATATCCCCCATGGACATTTGCATGTTAGGGAGATCTGCCGCATATGAAGGTAGGCAGAGATAGGGCTTCAGCCAGTGTGGAGCCAGGGGCCTTTGTTCACTGGGCAGCTCCAGTGGAGTCTGGCCATTGGAACCCATCCCCCTAGAGCTCCCCACATTCCTCCAAGAAGTTCTAGACCCAGCTGACTGCTGGGCCAGGAGAAAGCTGAACTGGTTTCCCCACAAGACTGGGGCATGTTTGTTCTACAGGTCCTCCTGCCCATCAGCCCCTCCTTCAGGTCCCCTGCCTGGCTCCCCACAGAAACGTGTGCACAGCACAGTCTCTACTGCCCAGCCTGGGTGATTTGATCCACCTTAGTATATTTCTAGCACCCTGGGAGAACTTCAGATCTCTCAGCACACCAGGAATCCAAGAGTCTAGAGGATAGAGTCTAGAGTTGGTCCCCGTGCCCCAGGGCTTCAGCACACAGCTTTGGAGTGCCAAGCCAAGATCAATGGCCAGCACCCAATCTGGGGTGGAGCCCATATCTCAGAGCACTGAGAGGGGTGAGATGCTTGTGTCTGTGGGCTAGCACAGGAGATGTGTGTGCCTCCCTTCAGGGAACCAGATTGAAAAGAGTGTAGCCTATCTCCCTGTCTACATAATAATCAACTAACCACACAATGACACTATCAAAATCTCACATACCAATACTACTCTTGAATGTAAATTGGCTAAACGCCCCATTAAAAAGACACAGAATGGCAAGCTGAATAAAAAGAGACAAGATCCAACTTTCTGCTATCTTCAAGAGACCCATCCCACATGTAACAACACCTACAGACTCAAGGTAAAGGGAGGGAGAAAGATCTACCATTCAAATGGAAAACAACAAACAGAGCAGTTGTTACTCCTGTATCATCAGATAAAGTAGACTTTAAACCAATAAAAAATGAGAAGGACAAAGAAGATATTACATAATGATTCAAAGAAGATATTACATAATGATCCAATAAAAAGACCTATTATAAATATATATGCACCCAACATTAGTACACCCAGATTCATAAAACAAGTTCTTCTTAATCTATTAAAGGACGTAGAGAGCCACACAATAACTGTGGGAAAAAGTTAACACCCCACTGACAGCTTAGACAGATCAAGGCAGAAAACTAAGAAAGAAACTCTGGACTTAATCTGACCAATTTGACCTGACAGACATCTAAAGAACATTCCACTCAACAACACAAAATGTACATTCTTCTAATCTGAACCCTGATTATATTCTAAAATTGACCACATGCTTGGTCATAAAGCAAGTCTCAATAAATTTAAAAAAAATCAAAGTCATACCAAGCACATTCTGAGATGATAGTGCAATAAAAATAGAAATTGATATCAAGAAGATCTCTCAAAACTACACAAAAACATGGAAATTAAACAACTTGCTCCTAATAACTCCTAGGTGAACATCAAAATTAAGGAGAGATCAAATTATTCTTTGAAATTAGCACAAATAGAAACACAACTTGCCAAAATCTCTGAGATGCAGCTAAAGCAGTGTTGAGAGGAAAGTTTATAGCCCTAAATGCCTTCATCAATAAATTAGAAAAGTCTCAAATTAACAATCTAACCTTACATCAAAAGGAACTAGAAGAACAAGAAAAGACCAACTCCAAAGCTAGCAGAAAAGAAATAACTAAAATTAGAAAAGAACTGAATGAAATTGAGATGCAAAAATCCATGCAAAAGATCAATGAAATCAAGAATGTGTTATTTGAAAGAATAAACACGATTGAGAGACTACTAGTTTGATTAAAAAAAGAGATCCACATAAGAACAATCAGAAATGATAAAGTTGATATTACAACTGATCCCACAGAAATACAAAGGTCCTCTGAGACTACAATGAACAATTTGATGTACACAGATAAGAAAATCTAGAGAAAATACATAAATTCTTAGAAACACACAATGCTGCAAGAATGAATCAGGAAGAGATTGAAACCCTGAATAGACCAATGCTGAGTTTTGAAATTGAATCAATAATAAAAAAGTGACCACTCAAAAAAAAAATCTCTGGACCATAGGGATTCACAAGCAAATTCTACCAGACGTGCAAAGAACTGGTACCAATCCTACTGAAACTATTCCAAAATATTGAGTAGAAGGTGTTCCTCCTTAACTCATTCTATGAAGCCAACATCAGCCTAATATCAAAATCTGGCAGAGACACAATGAAAAAAGAAAACTTCAGGCCAATATTCCTGATGGACATAGATCTAAAAGTCTTTACAAAATACTAGCAAACCAAATCCAGTGGCACATCAAAAAGTTAATTCACCGTGATTAAGTAGGCTTCATTTAAGGGATGCAAAGTTAGTTCAACATATGAAAATTATAAATATGACTCACCATATACACAGAATTAAAAATAAAAACCATATGATCATCTCAAAAGACTCAAAAAAGCTTTTGATAAAATCCAGCATTTCTTCATGATAAAAACCCTCAAAAGAGTCAGCATTGAAGGATTATACTTCAAAATAATAAGAGCCATCTATGATAAATGCACAGCTAACATAAAACCGAATGAACAAAAGCTGGAACTATTCCCTGTGAGAACTGGAATAATAAAAGGATGCCCACTCTCACCACCCCTTATTCAATATAGTACTGGAGGTCCTAGCCAGAGTAACCAGGCAACAGAAAGAAAGAAATAAAGGGCATCCACATAGGAAAATAATAAGTCAAATTATCTTTTTTACTGATGATATGACTTTATACTTAGAAAACCCTAAAGACTGACAAAAAGCTCCTAAAACTGATAAACATCTTTAGTAAAGTTTCAGGATGCAAAATCAATGTACAAAAATCAGTGACATCTTTATACCAAATGACATCCCTGCTGAGAGTCAAATCAATAACACAATTCTCTTTACAATAGTCATAAAGAAAATGAAATTCCTAAGAATACAGCCAACCTAGGGGGAAAAATATCTCTACAAGGAAAACTACTGAAAGAAATCAGAGATGACATAAATAAACAGAAAAGCATTCTATGCTCATGGGTTGAAATAATGAATATGATTAAAATCTATGGTTTCAATGCTATTCCTATCAAACCAACGTTAGTTTTTTTACAGAATTAGTCAAAACTATTCTAAAATTTGTATGAGACCAAAAAGGATCTGAATAGTAAAAGTAATCCTAAGCAAAAAGAACAAAGCCAGAGGCATTACACTACCTAACTTTAAACTATACTATCAGGCTACAGTCATAAAAACAGCATGGTACTGGTACAAATATAGACACATAGACTAATGGAACAGAATAAAAATCTCAGAAATTAACCTGTACACCTACAACCATCTGATCTTCAACAAAGCAGAGAAAAACAAGCAATGGAGAAAGGACTCCCTATTCAATAGATGGTGCTAGGATAATTGGCTAGCCACATGCAGAAAAAAAAAACTAGACCCCTACCTTTCACCATGTACAAAAATTAACTCAAGATCTGTCAGCGATTTAAATGTAAGGTCTTGAATTATAAAAACCTAGAAGAAAACCTAGCTAATACCCTTCTAAATGTTGGCATTAGGAAAGAATATTTGGCTAAGTCTCCAAAAGCAATTGCAACAAAATCAAAAATTGACTAGTGAGATATAGTTAAACAAAGAACTTTTGCACAGCAAAATAAACTATCAACAGAGTAAACAGATAATCTACAGAATGGGAGAAAATATTTGCGAACTACATATCTGACAAAGGTCTCATATCCAGAATCTATAATTAACTTAAGGAAATCAGAAAACAATTTTTTTTTTCGAGTCCTAGTCTCACTCTGTCACCCAGGCTGGAGTGCAATGGAGTGATCTAGGCTCACTGCATCCTCCGCCTCCTGGGTTCAAGCGATTCTGTCACCTCTGCCTCCCAAGTAGCTGGGACTACAGGCATGCACTCCCACGCCTGGCAAATTTTTGTATTTTAGTAGAGGCAGGGTTTCACCATGTTGGCCAGGCTGGTCTCGAACTCCTGACCTCAAGTGATCCACCCGCCTCGATCTCCCAAAGTGCTGGGATTATAGGCGTGAGCCACCACGCCCGACCAAAAATAAAAAATAAGAATTTGTAATGAGATTATTACCTCACTAAAATTTGGGCAAAGGACATGAATAGCCACTTCTCAAAAGAAGACATATGAATGACTAACAAACACATGAAAAATTTCTCAGCTTCCTTCACTAATCATCAGAGAAATGCAAATCAAAACCACAGTAAGATACCATCTCACACCAGTCAGGATAGCTATTATTAAAAAGTCAACAAATAACAGATGCTGGCAAGGTTACAGAGAAAAGGGAACACTTATATACTGTTTGTGGAAATGTAAATTAGTTCAGCCAATTTGAAGTATGGAGATTTCTCAAAGAACTTAAAACAGAGCCATCATATAACCCAGCAATGCCATTTACTGGTATGCATCCAAAGGAGAATAAATAATACTACCAAAAAGACACATGCACTCACATACTCATCCCTGTACTATTTACTAGAGAAAGACAGGGAATCACCCTAGAAGCCCATCATTTTTGGATTGGATAAAGAAGCTGTGGTACGTAAACTGCACGGAATACTATGCAGCTATAAGAAGAAATTTTAAAAATCACATCATTTGCTGCAACATGGATGCAGCTGGAGGCCATAATCTTAAGTAAATTAACACAGAAACAAAACCCAAATACTTATGTTTCACCTATAAGCGGAAGCTAAACATTGAGCAAACATGAATATAAACATGGGAACAATAGATACTGTGGACTACTAGTGTGGGAAGAAACAAGTGGACGTGGATTGAAAAACTACTTATTAAGTACTGTGCTCACTACCTGGATTATGGGAGCTCTATCCTGAACCTCTGCATCATGCAATATATCCATGTAACAAACCTGCACACACACTGGTTGTATAAGTGGTACATTGGTAGTGCCAATTCCTTAGAATGTTTTATAGAATACTGTAGAAACTTAACTTACTTTTAGAAGTATAATCCTAAAATTTTTGTAAAATTATTGACTTAATGACTAGAAATTATTTGGGACAAATAATAGGAATAATTTTTATTTATTCAGGAAATTATTTCACTGAGCTGTTGACAAGAATTTTGAAAAGGGAAAATTATTTTTGAGTTAACTTACAAAAAATAAGTTCTACAAAAAAAAATTCTAGAAGCTTTGACACATAGATTGTTTATTTTGCCATTCATTTAATATTTAATCCTTAAACTAAAATTATTTTCACAGTTAATTATAACGTTATGTACAGAGTTATTCTGAATTGTATATATTAAATGTTACTATTCTAGGCATCTTGGAAGTAGTAACCCTTGATTAATAGCAGTAGGAGTTAAAAAATATGGACTATAGGACATTTTTTAATCAATACAATGATTTGAAATAGACCAGCTTATTCCCTTGAAGACAAGCATACTCCAGCATGCTTTATTGTCTTTTACAAGTTAATTTTGCATCTAAATCAGAAATTTTTAAATACACACAATATGGATAATATACATACTATGTTTTAAGTTGTTGTGATGTAAGAATAAAATTATGAATGTAAAAACTTAAAGACTGTGCCTGGACTTAGTAAATATTGTCACCAGAGTCCAGATCAGAGTCACCAAAACCCCAGGAAAGAATGAAGAAATCATGAATATTCAAACTTGCACATCCCTCAGATATCCTCAAATGAAATGGCAGAAAGAGTTTATGGAAAAGCAGTGGTCCTCACCATCAAGTCCCTGTGTTTCTGCCTCTTAAGACTCTTCAAATAGTCTCTCTTAAGACTCTTCAAATAGTAGGATCTTCATGAGCCTGACCTCTGACCTTTACATCAAATTCTTCCCTTCCTATGCTTAGGCATGAATATAAATATCTACCTCCTTTTCCCCCTTAGCTTAGTAAAAACAGGGAGAAATTTTCAAAAAACTTTAAAAAGACTTTACTGAGAAAATAAGGCAAAGAAAAGAGAGCTAACAAAAAGATTACACACCAAAAAAAAATTACAATCCTTTTTAAATTCTAATGAAAGAAGGTTAGCAATATCCACAAGCCTGAGTTTCATTCATTCCCCTTACCTGTCTCATGGTCATTGCTAAGAACATTTTCTTTTCATATGTGTGAATAGTTTTTTCTGCTCATTTTATTTTCATGTTACATATTCTCCTGGAGAGAGCCAATGTATATGAATTAGACTGATAGCAATTTTCAAGGTGCTACAGGCAGCCACATGTTCCTTGCTATCTACATTCAGAGAGTTTCTATTAACTATCTTAGACAGAAATCCAACAATAGGACCTTTCACAAATTAGTGTGCAAATTATTGCATAAATCATGTGTCAGTAATCGTGTGTAAAAATGACAACAGTGAATTGTTTGTTGTTATAGAATGAACAATATTTTATATTCTAAGTGTGTACATTTACTACTATAGTCTTACCCATTCTACTGATTACAATTTGTATTTCTAAATCTGTATCAAAATCTGAAAATGTTATTTCTTACCTGGGCCTTAATAAAAACATTTACTATTTACATTGAGAGTGTTTTAATATAATGAAACATCCTATTGCCCAAGTTCAGCAAAATAATGGAAATAAAATTACTGTATTGTTATTTAAGGGGCATATGAAAAAAATCCAATAATAAAAATAAAAAATATTTTTATATGCTATTCCAGGTAAAATTTCCTCTCAACATAATTTCAAGACAGAGTTAAAGATATAAAATTAATAATTCCAGAAAACATAGTGAAGATAATGAATCAGAAATAGTAAATATAATTTTCAAGTCTCAAGGAATAGTTAGTGGAAGGAATATGTAGTATAATTTATTGTGCTTCATAATGTGGGAGAACTTTTAAAATTGTCTTTAAATGAAATGATGATAGTAATTTGGAGGCGATGAAAAAGAGTGCTTTATAATGAAAGCAAAATATTTCATTTATTATATTTGTATGAAATACAAATATTCTGAAAACATTACCAAAGAAAAATGCAAATACTTTGAAAATTTGCCACACCTGAGCTTTTATGGATTTACAAGCTATGTCATTTGCATCACACCTCAAGTCTTCATTTAAATCTCTTTTAAGAGCTAAGACCAAGGTTCCCCTTTGCCTACTCACAATACTTTTCATTCCTTCCTCAAAATTCCTTTCAACACAGCGTATTAGAAATGGATAACACGGCTGGGCGCTGTGACTCACGCCTGTAATCCCAGCACTTTGGGAGGCTGAGGCAGGCAGATCACGAGGTCAAGAGATTGAGACCATCCTGGCCAACATGGTGAAACTCCGTCTCTACTTAAAAAAATACAAAAGTTAGCCGGGCGTGGTGGCACACGCCTGTAGTCCCAGCTACTCGGGAGGCTGAGGCAAGAGAATCGCTTGAACCTGGGAGGCGGAGGTTGCAGTGAGCCGAGATTGCACCACTGCACTCCAGCCTGGCGACAGAATGAGATTCCGCCACACACACACCCACACAAATAAATAAAAACAAAAATAAATGGATAACAGCTCCAAAAGACTCTTTTCCTAGTAATCTCTGCTTATTTTACTTCCATTGCCTCAGACACCACCATTTTTCCTTAGGATGAGAATTTAAAGTGGTTACTCTGAATCTGTTTTATTTTTCATGTGTAAAGTTTGAGACAAAGCAAATCTTGCAGCTTGTGTTGTAATTAGTGTAAGAAAGTAATACAAGCAGCAGGATGTTGGTTGTTATCATGCTAAAATCATTCCTATGGGATATTTTGAGGGGAAGGCACAGATGTTACAGAGAAGAAAATGCCAAAAAAAAAGTAGTTATTATATACATCTTTATTGGAGAGGAAGACGAAGGGTGCTCCCCCAATCACTGAAATGATACTGCTACAAACATGGACGGACAAGCTGCCTTGTTCAAGAGTAACATACTGAAAAACTTTTAATTATTTAGTCAATACAATATTGCTCACATGGTGGTTTTTTAAAATGGCTCAAATTATCTTTCTAAAATGTTTTAAAGTAGCAATAAGATGTTTTAATTTTAGTTTGACAATCAATATTGTGAAGAGACCACCAAACAGGCCTTGTGTGAGCAATAAAGCTGTTTATTTCACCTGGGTGCCGGTGGGCTGAGTCCGAAAAGAGAGTCAGCGAAGGGAGATAGGGGTGGGGCCGTTTTATAGGATTTGGGTAGGTAAAGGAAAAAGGGGGGTTGTTCTCTGGTGGGCAGGAGTGGGGGTCACAAGGTGCTCAGTAGGGGAGCTTTTGAGCCAGGATGAGCCAGGAGAAGGAATTTCACAAGATAATGTCATCAGTTAAGGCAGGAACAGACCATTTACACTTATTTTGTGGGGGAATGTCATCAGTTAAGGCAGGGCAGGGCATTTTCACTTCTTTTGTGATTCTTCAGTTACTTCAGGCCATCTGGGCGTATAAGTGCAAGTCACAGGGGATGCGATGGCTTGGCTTGGGCTCAGAGGTCTGACATTCCTGCCTTCTTATATTAATAAGAAAAACGAAACAAAATAGTGTTGAAGTGTTGGGGCAGCGAAAATTTTTGGGGGGTGGTATGGAGAGAGAGAATGGGCGATGTTTCTCAGGCCTGCTTTGAGCGGGATTAGGGGCGGCGTGGGAACCTAGAGTGGTAGAGATTAAGCTGAAGGAAGATTTTGTGGTAAGGGGTGATATTGTGGGGTTGTTAGAGAAACATTTGTCATGTAGAATTATTGGTGATGGCCTGGATATGGTTTTGTATGGATTGAAAAACTAAATGGAATAAGAGAAGGAGAAATACAGGTATTAAAGGACTAAGAATTGGGAGGACTTAGGACATCTAATTAGAGAGTGCTTAAAGAGGTTCAGCATAGCCTTGCCACCAAAGATTATTTATTTCCTTTAAGAGTTAAGAGTGGCGGTTTGGGGATAGCACCAGGAGATATCAGCTGTGATGGCTTGGAGAAACAGTGTAAACTGGCAGTGTAAACAAGAGCAGGGCATGTATGAGTAGTTGAGAACGGTGAATAGGAGTATGACTAGACAGAAAATAGTAGGGATGACAAGTTTTTTGGAGCACAGTCTAAGTTGGTCTGGTGTCTGGGATGAGACTGGGGCCTAATAAAAAGGAGCATCTATACAGGAGCTCAAATGGGCTGTAACCTGTAGCATTCTGAGGACAGGCCTGACTTCTGAGAAGGGAAAGTGGTAAAAGTATTGTCCAGTCCTTTTTAAGTTGGTGGCTGAGATTGGTGAGGTGTGTTTTTAAAAGACCTTTAGTCCGTTCTACTTTTCCTGAAGACTGAGGACTGTAAGGTATATAAAGGTTTCACTGAATACTAACAGCCTGAAAAAGTGCTTGGCTGATTTGACTAATAAAGGCTGGTCTGTTATCAGACTGTATAGAGGTGGGAAGGCTAAAATGAGGAATTGTGTCTGACAGAAAGGAAGAAATGACTGTGGTGGCCTTCTCAGACCCTGTAGGAAAGGCCCCTACCTATCCAGTGAAAGTGTCTACCTAGACTAAGAGGTATTTTAGTTATCTGACTTGGAGCATATTGAGTAAAGCTAATTTGCCAGTCCTGGGTGGGGGCAAATCCCTGAGCTTGATGTGTAGGGAAAGGAGGGGACCTGAATAATCCCTGAGAAGTAATAGAATAGCAGATGGAACACTGAGAAGTTATTTCCTTGAGGATAGATTTCCACTATGGAAAGGAAATGAGAGGTTTTAAGAGGCGCGCTAGTGGCTTGTACTATAGCATAGCCTGCCTTTGCTGGTGTGTGGCGATTAGGCCTGGCGGAACTGCCATCAATAAACTAAGTGTGATCAGGGTGAGGAACAGGAAAGAAGGAAATATGGGGAAATGGGGTGAACGTCAGGTGGATCAGAGCGAGGCAGTCATGAGGGTCAGGTGTGGTATCTGGAATAATGTGGGAGGCCGGATTGAAGTCTGGGCCAGGAACAATGGTAATTGTGGGAGACTTAACAAAGAGTGAGTATAGCTGAAGGAGCCGGGGAGCAGAAAGTATATGCATCAGGTGTGAGGAAGAAAATAGATTTTGGAAGTTATGAGAGATGGAGTGAGTTGAGCATAGTTTGTGATTTTTAGGGCCTCTAAAAGTATTAAGGTGGCAGCAGCCACTGCACGGAGACATGATGGCCAGCCTAAAACAGTAAGGTCAAGTTGTTTGGACAAAGGCTACAGGACGCGATCCCGGTCCTTGTGTAAGAATCCCGACTGCACAGCCCAGCACTTCGGCTGTGTGTAATGAAAAGGGTTGCGATGAGTCAGGGAGAGCTAGGGTGAGGGCAGTCTCTAAAGCTGTCTTCAAGGAACGGAATGAGGCGTGGGGAAAGGATTTAGGATCTATGGGGTCAGCTAGGTTTCCTTTTCTGAGTTTATGTAATGGTTTTGTTAAGATGGCAAAACCAGGTATCCAAAGGCAAAAGTATCCAACCATGCCCAGGAAGGAAAGGAGTTGTTGTTTTGTAGAATGGATTGAGGCTTGGGAGATTAGTGGGACACGATCAGCAGGGAGAGCACATGTGTTTTTGCGAGAATTATGCCGAGATAGGTAACAGGTGAGGAAGAAATTTGGGCTTGACTGAAGTAATGGGGCTATCTGTGAAGCTTTGCGGCAGTACAGCCCAGGTAATTTGCTGACCCTGATGTCAGGGTCAGTCCAAGTGAAAGCGAAGAGAGACTGGGATGAAGGGTGCAAAGGAATAGCAAAGAAAGCATGTTTGAGATCTAGAACAGAATAATGGATTATGGAGGGAAGTATTGAGGATATGAGAGTATATGGGTTTGGCACCACAGGGTGGATAGGCAAAACAATTTGGTTGATAAGGCGCAGATCCTGAACTAACCTGTAAGTCTTGTCTGGTTTTAGGACAGGTAAAATGGGGGAATTGTAAGGAGAGTTTATAGGCTTTAAAAGGCCATGCTGTAACAGGTGAGTGAAAACAGACTTTAATCATTTTAAACTGTGGGATGGGATATTGGCATTGAGCGAGGTAAGGGTGATTAGATTTTAATGAGATGGTAAGGGGTGCATGATCGGTCACCAAGGAGGGAGTAGAGGTATCTTATACTTGTGTGTTAAGGTGGGGGGATACAAGAGGAGGACGCAAAGGAGGCTTTGGATTGGGAAGAAGGGCGGTAATGTGATGCAGCTGTAGTCCAGGAATAGTCAGGGAAGCAGATAATTTAGTTAAAGTGTCTCAGCCTAATAAGGGGACTGGGCAGGTGGGGATAACTAAAAAGGAGTGCTTAAAAGAGTACTGTCTAAGTTGGCACCAGAGTTGGGGAGTTTTAAGAGGTTTAGAAGCCTGGCTGTCAATACCCACAACAGTTACGGAGGCAAGGGAAACAGGCCCTTGAAAAGAAGGTAATGTGGAGTGGGTAGCCTCCATATTGATTAAGAAGGGGATGGACTTACCCTTCACTGTGAGAGTTACCTAAAGCTCAGTGTCCATGATGGTCTACGGGGCTTCTGAGGCGATCGGGCAGCATCAGTCTTCAGCCGCTAAGCCGAGAAGATCTGGGAAGGAGTCAGTCAGAGAGCCCTGGGGCAGAGTTCCAGGGGCTCTGGGAGTGGCTGCCAGGTGAGTTGAACGGTCCGATTTCCAGTGGGGTCCCGCACATATGGGACACTGCTTAGGAGGAATCCCGGGCTGCAGGGGTTCCTTGGCCTGGTGGTCAGATTTCTGGCACTTGTAGCAAGCTCCTGGGGGGAGGTGGTTCTGGAGGAATGCCTGGCCACTGCGGTTTAGGCATTTGGAAGTTCTTGTGCGCTGGAGATGTGGCTGGGGTTTGTCTCACAGTTGAGGCAAAGAATTGCAACTCAGAAATATGTTGTTACTTGGCTGCCTTTACTCTATTATTGTACACTTTGAAGGCGAGGTTAATTAAGTCCTGTTGTGGGGTTTGAGGGCCGGAATTTAATTTTTGGAGTTTTATTTAATGTCAGGAGCAGATTGGGTAATAAAATGTATATTGAGAATAAGACGGCCGTTTGACCTTTTAGGGTCTAGGGCTGTAAAGCGTCTCAGGGTTGCTGCCGAACAAGCCATGAACAGGGCTGGGTTTTTATATTTGATGAAAAAGAGCCTAAACGCTATCTGATTTGGGGTAAAGAAAAAGGAGCATTAACCTTGACTATGCCTTTAGCTCCAGCCACCTTTTTAAGAGTAAATTGCTGGGCAGGTGGGGGAGGGCTAGTCATGGAACGAAACTGTAAGCCGGACCGGGTGTGAGGAGGGGAGGTGATAAAAAGGATTATAGGGTGGAGGAGCAGAGGCTGAGGAAGAATTGGGACTTAGCTCGGCCTGGTGAGGAGGGAAGAGGTCAGATAGGTCTGTAGAAAAGGAAGATTAGAAAGACTCAGTGACGCTTGGGGTTGGGACTGAGGGGGACAGGTGGGAGGGAAAGAAGGAAGATTTGGGACGAGTTGCATTGGGAACAGAGACTACGGAGGGCCCGATGTGTAAAAGAATGCCTGGACGTCAGGCACCTCAAACCATTTGCCCATTTTACGACAAGAATTATTTAGATCTTGTAGGATGGAAAAATTGAAAGTGCTGTTTTCTGGCTATTTGGAACTACTGTCAAGTTTGTATTGGGGTCAAGTGGCATTGCAGAAGAAAATAAGACGCTTAGATTTTAGGTCAGGTGACAGTTGAAGAGGTATTAAGTTCTTAAGAACACAGGCTAAGGGAGAAGAAGGAGGAATGGAAGGTGGAAGCTTGTCCATAGTGAAGGAGGCAAGCCCAGAAAAAACAGAGTAGAGACAGGGAGAAGGGGTGGGGGGTTCTTGTCCTCCAGAAAAGCAGAGAAGGGGTTGGGGCACAGAAATAAGGGATCGGGGCACAGAGATAAGAGGTCCGGGCATGGAAATAAGGGACCAGGGCACAGAGATAAGAGGTTGGGGTTCCTGCCCCTCCCGCAGAAAAGTGGGACTTGCCGCTAAGGGTGAAGGACCCAGGCAGGCATCCCTGCATGGTCTGACACCTCTGAAACCTGGGTGAATAATCAGAGAGGTGTCCCTGCAATGATTAAACACCAAGGGAAGGCTGCCTTCCCTAGTCCGTGACCAGCGCCGGAGTTTTGGGTCCACGGATAAAACGTGTCTCCTTTGTCTCTACCAGAAAATGAAAGGAATTGAAATTAAGAGAAGGGAGAGATTGAAGTGTGGCGACAAGATTGAAAGGAGAAAGAGGTTGAGGGATAGTGAGGGAGGTTGGAGAAGAGAGTAAAAAGAGGCTGCTTACTGGATTTGAAATTGGTGAAACGTTTCTTGGGCTGGTCGGTCTGAGGACCTGAGGTCGTAGGTGGATCTTTCTCTTGGAGCAAAGAGCAGGAGGACAGGGGATTGATCTCCCAAGGGAGGTCCCTGGATCTGAGTCACGGCACCAAATTTCACTCGTGTCCATGTGAAGAGACCACCCAACAGGCTTTGTGTGAGCAATAAAGCTGTTTATTTCACCTGGGTGCAGGCGGGCTGAATCCAAAAAGAGAGTCAGTGAAGGGAGATAGGGGCGGGGCCGTTTTATAGGATTTGGGTAGGTAAAGGAAAAAGGGGGGTTGTTCTCTGGCGGGCAGGAGTGGGGGTCACAAGGTGCTCAGTAGGGGAGATTTTGAGCCAGGATGAGCCAGGAGAAGGAATTTCACAAGATAATGTCATCAGTTAAGGCAGGAACAGGCCATTTTCACTTCTTTTGTGGTGGAATGTCATCAGTTAAGGCAAGGACTGGCCATTTACACTTCTTTTGTGGTGGAATGTCATCAGTTAAGGTGGGGCAGGGCATTTTCACTTCTTTTGTGATTCTTCAGTTACTTCAGGCCATCTGGGCATATACGTGCAAGTCACAGGGGGTGCGATGGCTTGGCTTGGGCTCAGAGGCCTGACAAATATGAATTTATATATGACATTGTATTAATTTTTGACATTCTTACAATATTAATGGTTTTAATTAACTCTAATAGGAAATACTTAGATAAATCTAGTAAACTATACACCTTTCTAAAAATAATTATCGCTATTTCATAAATTAGTTTATTCTTACTATTTGGAAACACCAACACTACCTACAGCGCCCATCACACAAACAGCATTTTTTTAAAAAACAATCTGACTCTTTTATTCAACTATTATTTAAAGCTTGTAGGAGCACTAAACAAATGATTCAGTATAATACTCTAGTTTAGGATGCTGGTAAAAATAGTACATCCCCTTTTAAACACTTTAATAAATATGGGTTCTGAAATGCAGTTAAATTGATGGCTCTTCTGCTCATGTTGGATCCTCTGGTTTTGTAATTTCATGATGTGGATTTACAAACTATGTCATTCGCATCACACCTCAATTCTTCATTTAAATCTCTTTTAAGAGCTAAGACCCAGATTCCTCTTTGCCTACTCACAACACTTCATTCCTTCCTCAAAATTCCTTTGCAATGCAGTATATTAGAAATGGGTAATAGCTTCAAAAGCCTCTTTACCTAGTATTCTCTGCTTATTTTACTTCCATTGCCTCAGACACCACCATTTTTCCTTAGGATGAGAATGTAAACTGGTTAGTCTGAATCTGTTTTATTTTTCATGTGTAAAGTTTGAGACAAAACAAATCTGTAACCAGTGAGACATCTGGTCCTCACCATCTCATTAATTTACTTATTTGTTCATTCAGGGTATACAGTATAGTGATTTCAGAATTGTCAACATTTACCTCTTTGGGAAACAAAGTTATCAACTAAAGTACAGTACTTATCTGTGGTTGTTTTATTCTTGAAGACGTAATTTATTCCCAAAACCACTTAAGTCAGGACCTTTCTCCCCCCATTGAGGTTATTACATACATATGTAATATAGATAGATAGATAGATAGATAGATAGATAGATGATAGATAGACATTAAGTTGGTACAAAAGTAATTGCAGTTTTTGCCATTAATTTGAACAGATATAGCAGTATATATATTTGTCAAATTTCATTTTGGGAAGCTCCAATCTCCACAGTGGTTCTTTTTTTAAACTTACATATTTAATACATTAAGTTTCATTCTTTTTGCTGTAAAGTTCTATGGATTTTCAAGATGTACACTGTCAGATATCCACTATAATAGTATTATTCAGACAAGATTTACCACCTTAAAATATCTTCTGGGCCAGGCGCGGTGGCTCATGCCTGTAATCCCAGCACTTTGGGAGGCCAAAGCGGGAGGATCAAGAGGTCAGGAGATCGAGACCATCCTGGCTAACACCGTGAAACCCCGTCTCTACTAAAAATACAAAAAATTAGCTGGGTGTGGTGGCGGGTGCCTGTAGTCCCAGCTACTCAGGAGGCTGAGGCAGGAGAACGGTGTGAACCCAGGAGGCAGAGCTTGCAGTGAGCCGAGATCATGCCACTGCACTCCAGTCTGGGCGACAGAGTAAGACTCTATCTCAAAAAAAAAAAAAAAAAAAAAAAAATCTGTACTTTCACATATTCAACCCTCCCCTTTGAACCCATAGTATTGACTGGCCTCTTTACCACCTATATATTTTTGCCTTTTCCAGAATGTCATATAAATGGAATCATACAGTAGTCCTCTGTGACTGGTGTCGTGCATTTGATATTATGTATTTATAATTCTTTTATGTATTTGCAATGCTGGTAGTTCATTCCTTTTCATCCTAAATAGTATTCAATTGTATGGATGTCTCAGAGTTTGTTTATCTATTCACCTGTTGATGAATTTCTTAACTGTTTCAGGATTTTGGTGATTATTAACAAAGTTGCCATAACATTCAAATGCAAGTTCATGTGTGGATATACATTTTCAAATCAGTTGGGTAAACACCTAGGAGCAGGATTGGTAGAACAAATGGTATGGTGCTGGTTAGTTTTGTAATAAACTCTTCCCCTGCCAGAGTCATGAAGGGATCTTTCTTGTTAGAAACTCTTGGGTTTCTGCAGATAAGACCCATGCAAGTGTAAGAGTTCCACCTCTGGGAATTTTTTACTCTCATACTGGTCCATGCTCAGCCTCCAGTAGTTTGTCAACACTTGCCATTTAAATTTTCCTACCAGTTTGCAACTCCAGCAACTTCTGCTCCAGGGAAGTCAATTGTGACTCCATCTCTCTAAATGTTCCTGTCTTTCCAGATTTCTGGGTGGTTGTTTGCACTGGGTCAAAGAAAAGTAAATAATTTTCAGTTTGTCCAGTTTCTTTTTTCTTGATGTATGCACAAAAATGAAAGTAATTTATTTTTGGTTTGTCCAGTTTTTTTTCTCGATGTGTGCACAAAATGACAGCTTGCAAGTTCTTTACAAGTTAGAAGAAATACCAGAATTTATTTTTTATTGAACATTTTTTACAATTTTTCTTCTTACTGTGTTTTCTTTCCGTTTTCAAAATTTCAGTTCATCAGATACAGCAGATTACGGTGTCATTCTCTCTCCTTTTATTTTTTTGTTCCACTTTTTGTTATACTTCCTGGGAGAGTCCTCACATTTATTTCCAAAATAAAACTAAACATATTTTTTAAAAAGAGACGAGTTTTTAATTTTCATAAACCTTCTTGTTTTCTAATTTTCTTCTTTATTATATCCTCTTTTGATTATGGTTGTATAATTTATTTTTATAACTCCCTACAATATAAATTATAGGTTATAGAATCTGTCTTTTGCTCTCTGTTCTACATCTGTTCTCCCCTGCACTGAATTCTGATTTTATTTTCATTTGTCTCATTTTATTTCATGTCTAATTTTCTTTGATATCTGTTCAAAATTATAAGTAAAGCTTTAAAAATATGATTGATTCTTCCATTTGTGTGAGTGGTGCTTCAGTTTGATCAGTTTGAAGGAATCTCTATCTGCCTGTATGTGGAGCATATGGGGTTAATTTACCTGGGGTGGAGATAATATTCAAGATGAAAGAGATGTTAGAACAGGAATGTTAGGGCTAGCCTTTCTGGAAAGAAACAGAGAAGGCTGCTGAAAAGTTCTTCATTTAGAAAATAGGCTTTCATTGAATCTCCTTTCTTAAGTTGTATGCCTCACTCTGCTATCTTCCTTTGTGGTCTTAAATTCAGAGTTTTCTTGTTTGTTTATTCTGGAAACCAAACCCTTTTTCATTTCAGCCATTCAAAATTTGATTAAAATTTGTTATTCTGTCTTTTCCTTGGGGTAAATCTTTTTTTTTCCTTCTATAACTAAATTTTAGTTAGTATTTATTAGACAGAAGACAAACACATGTTGTTAATTTGTTTGCCACACTCAATATTTTGATCTTTTATTGATAAATATTTATGGATAATGTCTTATATTGTTTTCCTACATGGATGTAATAATTCCTGCACTTGGCAAGTTATTAATAATAGCTTGGTAAATAATGTGATTCTTGAAAAATAAAATCAGAAATTAAAAAGTTTCAGTTTCTATAGGATATAAAATTTAAGTATACATATTATAAGTAACTCTGCATTTGACTGGTATTACATATATAAGTAACTGCAATTGAATGGTATTACATATATTACATATATATATACACACACATATATATATGCAAAGTTATTTATTTTTTAATCCATTTTTCCCATAGCTTTAGGTTTACCACTTCTAAAGAAGTATGAAGTTGTATTCTCAATTCATTCGGATAGTCTTTCAATTTTAATAGAAAAATATAAGCCATTTATAATGATTGTCATAAATATTATTTTGGTTGTCAACCCCTACTTTACATTTTGTATTTTTAACTCTTTTAATTAACATGAAGTATATATTACAGATTCTTGAAATAGTTTAAAGGCATAAATACCATCTATTTATTTATTGTTACTATTAATTGCCTTTAAGTTAAAAAATACATTAAATAAGTATCAGGAATAAAAAAGTGTTTATTTCATATTTCACATGTAAGATATGGTAAAGATTATAAATTGATATGCTTCTGCTTCTTTTTTCCCACAGGTTTTTTTTTGTTTTATATGTGTACTTGCAAATTTTAGACCCAGATTAGAAACATCATCTTTAATGTTACATGCTTTGATTTTATAAATTATTTTGATGTTTGTATTTTTAATGTTTATAACAATTTCTGGACATTTTTAAAGCATTTTGACTGTTAAATATGTCTTTTTTAAATTCTCTAACATTCAATTTTTTATAAGTTAAATTTTTTATCTGTATGTAATCATTGTACATATTTTGGGGGCACATGTGATATTTTGATACATGCATTGACATCGTTATTTCTTGAGTTAATCATTTTGCTTTATGTATTTATTGGTCAGCTAAATTATTGCTTAGTTCCTTATATCTCCAGAAAGGGTAAGCTTGTGATATACTTCTGTTCATAAATCTTAGGATATCTGAATATTTTTTCATAACTGAATTACCACCTAGTTAAATCCATTGCTATTGTTCCCAAAGCTTTATAGCTACCCCTTCAATATTTATTATCGTGGAGGAATCTGAGGCTAGTTTGACGTCCATCTTGTCTTTATACCAAGAAAAATCATCTTTGGTCTTTTCTGTCTATACCAAGAGTAATATTGAATGTTGAGTTTTATACCAATGATTACATTGCCTGCTTTATTGCTTCTGTGAATTATTGCTTCTGGGCAAATATAACTTTGTGATTTTAATTTTATAACAACCTATTCTTATCCAGTCAACTGTTAAAAATCATCTCAGTTCATTATAACTTCATAACATTTTGACTGTCTTGTTTTGTCATTCATATTTTTAAATTTCCTAAGAACACAAGGTAAATTTATTTATAAAATTTAACTTTCTTTTCAATAGTAAATCTTTATCAAAAATATATTTTGTCTGTGCACCTTTAAAGGACTATTATATAGTCAATTACATTGTAATCTATTTAATGGGCCCACGTAAGAGTTGCTTATGAACTGCTCATTGAATAAGTGGCAGTCTAAACAGTCTTTGGTGATTATTTACCCCTCGTTCTCACTAACTAATGATAAAGCTGCTGTTCATATCCTCCTTTCAGAACTAGGTTTCAGTGTTTAATGACACAAAAACTTCTTTTAAAAATTATGATGTCAAGTAGTTATTTATCTAATGGGCCTTTACTAAACTGAGAACAAATGGATTGCTTTCTTTCTCTAATAATCTGATATATCATGGAATATTTTTCTTCAGATGTACCTGAGATCTTTTTTTAATCAGCTTCCAGCTGCCTATAAATTCTATAATAGTCAAGGCAAGAGTAAAATGATCAACTCTTTCACCATCAACAAATGGCAGTAGCAAGTATTGTGTTTTATAAGTTTAATAAGTATACTTATAAAAATAATTCAGAACTTTATAATTCTCAACAATAATATTTATGAAAATGTTTTAGTACTTGATTTGTTTATAGGTTGAAACATTTCCAAAGTCTGTAGATTTTAGCATAGCAGGAAAATGAAATAAGTATAAAATTGTTAAAATTAACTGCTTCCAAGACTTCCCCGTATTTTCAAGTATCTAGTTTATTTCCAGTTATTCAATGTACCAATAACTATCAAATTCAAACCACAGTCACAGTATAATTTTGAAAATTATAAAGTTCCAAATAACTATGAAATACAAAAATCTTAATGATGGAATTAAAATGAAAATAAATTGCCCTGATCACCTCTGGCAGAGTTCTTCATGCATTTCTGACATTTGTTTTCCTTCCCTTAAATAATGAATAGTCTAGGTCTTTAAAGTAGGAGTGCTCACTAAGAATGGGTGAAAATCCCATTTGCTTTCTAATTGGCCTCTGTGTTTTACAATAGAATTTAATTTGCTCTTTTATTAATAGTAATTCCTTTTGATGTCTAACAGAGTGGTGCTTAATATTTTTAATTTCTCCATACAATTTTACATTTTATCTATTTTTCTACCGGTCATTTGATGAGAAGTTGGGGGATGTCATATTGGTTAATGCTGGCTAGCTACCACCTTAACGTTAAAGTTTGAAGAAAACTTTAAATGGTAATACATGGTTCTAAACCCATTGAAGTTTACAAGTAATTTGGATATACAAAATATCAATAATACTCTTGCCAGATGGCTGATAAATTATTACAGTAAGGCAATGACTATACAAGAAAAGTGAGATTTGTTTTCCTGAATGTACCTTTGCTCTTCTTCATTTAATACGTGCATTTCGTTATGACTAGAACTTTTAGTTTTCCTGAAAATTTTCTAGACGTAAAGATTTTAGCTGCTCTAAATATGAAGGTGGAGGAATGATTCTTACTGCTTGTTTTGCTTCAAAGAAACTGCCAGTTCTGTGACAACTAACACACATTCAGTGCCTCTGTTTGATACTCATTTATATTGTTGCTCCTTAACCTGAACATGCATTCACTTGCCCTGCAGAAATGCCTGAATGTTCATAAATTGCCTTACTTTTTATCTCCATCTTTCTGTACAACAGAGAAATCTGGATGAGTTGGAAAGACCAGGATACCAAAGGAATTATGATGATTTGGTTTTATAATAGCCAGAGGCATATAGGCCACAAATGGGAAAATGGCATGGGTACAGGAGCGATGAGGTAAGAATCAGGGCAAACAAAGCCCTAGCATATTAGATCTGTGGTGTTAGTTCTAAGAATCAGCAGAGGCAAGTTGTTCCCTTTAGTCTTTCACTTAACTATTTATTTTTTCAATCCACCAAGAGATGGATTCTGAGCATTACCCTGGACATCCTTAATCTGGAGTCCCTGCATTGATGCTGACCCTGGGCCTTCTGCTCGCTTGGGTTATCTGCTACTTTTGCACCTAGAATGAGTCAAGCCTACATCAAGACGAGGTGTTCTGGCTCCTGGTAAATTATTTATAGCTCTCAGAGTTCCTGGGTACCCTTGTAGAGGTCCCTCTGAAGAACACAATGGAAGTGTAGTTTAGGGGAGATGCATGGTGAAATCAGGACCGTTTCTTCCAGTGCTTACTAATAATTTGTCAGGACTATTGGAGAGACAATAATGGAGAAATTTCTCCAAATGATCATGTCAAAAACTTAATGAAACTGTTTCGAGATGAATGGCAACTAACAAAATGTGCCCAGGACTCAAAGCATCGGAATGCTGTTCTCTATTTGTAAAATCCCATATTTTTGTAGTTGAAACACGTTTCTTCTTTTCTAACCTTTAAAACAGACGCTTGATCAAGGGAATAGATCTTTATTTTGCTAATAATCAGTTGACAACATGTTACTTTGGAGAGATTATCACTTTTTGCCAAAGTCTACACCATCTGTTCCACACTCTAATTACCAATAAAAGAAAGGACCTAATTCACAATTGCATGATAAAAAAGTTAAATGTGATTTAAATGTATTTGTTTGTTTTTTATTTAAAGAAGTTTCAATGACGCATCTGTTACTCATTTTTCAATATTTTGACACAGATCATAAGAAAATACTGGAATAAGGATATAGCAAACAAATATGCAAACTTTCTAGAGGGACAATTTCTATCAGTATATAGACCCTAAAACCTGCATTATTAATTAGCCATTAAGCTAGTGATTGAATAAATGAGTTTATTATAGAATGATTGGGTTTTTAAAAATAGTATTTAGTTTTAAAAATTCACATCGCCTGGGAAATTATATTGGTAAATTTATAAACTACTATATCTAAACAAGAATCAATCACTTTAAATCAGCAAAAACAATGTATATGCAGCCTATTAGTTTCTGTTAAGTCAGTATGATTGGAGGTGGGAAATGGTTGGGAACTTCCACAGGGATTCTCGGCCAAAAAAAAAAAAGTGACATATAATTGGAAGATGAGAGAGAAATATCAATATATGTCTTCCTTTCTTGAATATACTGATATTACTAGCTGAACAATACTATCAAAATGCACATTTGTAAAATGAAACTGGAAGTTGGGTTATTTTTACCTACCCAGCACCAATACTATCAGTGTTTTGTTTTCCCTCTTGTGGAACTGCTTTTTCCTCTACGGTCTATGGCTTTTTTTATGGGATTGGTGGCCATACCTATCAAAATGTTCAGTCTGCTCACAATTAACTAGATATGCTATTAAAATTAGATAAATGGCAGCAGACCCTGAACCTTCTTCTAGAAACATTGGGAAAAAGAACCTCTCCCTACTGGTTTTGCTTATCTGTGAATATGTGAGTTTGGAGCCTTCTGGGGCCATCTTTGTATGATGAGGAAAACAGAGTCAAGTGGTCAAGAAAATCAAATTTCTGATGCCATTTAAACTTTTGGACTAAACTGTGCTTGAGACTAAATTTCCCCTGGACTTATTAATTATATAATTCAGTGGTTTTATTAATTATGCCGATTTTATTTTAGTCCTTTATCTTCCAACTGAATGAGTTTTTGTTAATCTTAAATTTAGTGAGAACACATCAATTCAGTATTCAAGTGTTTTTCAGATGTTCATATAAAAAATATATACTGACAGCCCTGTATCCACCATCAATTTTATGACATTTGCATCAAATATATTTTAAAACACAAACAGAAACTAAATATTACAGGTAAAAATTGAACTCCCCCTCTCCAATATCACTTCTACTTCTACCCAAAAGTCATCATCCCCACTAGAACCTCATGTTAATTATTAATAATTAATTAAACTAGTGTTAATAATTAAACTAGTGTTAATTATTTCCATGTATGGTTTTATACTTTAATCACAAATCTAATAACATTTCATATGTGCATTATTTATATAATTAAACTCTATTAAATTGCATCATTTTTGTTTTGGTCCTTCTACAATTTAGCTTTTGAACATTTTTTGCTCTTCATCATTTTGGAAACTTGCCTACATCTTAGTTTATTTCTTTTAAATTGCCATACAGGTGTCCATTTTCTACATATACCACAAAGTAACCGTCTTCTTGTAGATGGACATTTGGATGATTTCTAACTTTTCACTACAATAACACAAGTGCATTGTAATTCTTGAATCTGTAAATTGGACATATGTATATTCAGAAATAACATATCAGACATAGCTAAAATACTCCTAATTTTTTTAGACAATTATTTTGGAAGTTTATGAGTTATCTAATGAACAGATTGTTTTTGTTCTTACTTTTTAAAAACTGTTGCTTGTAATTGCACTTTTCAAAGAATAAATGTCAAGATTCAGATTTATATTAGAACTCTCCTAGCTTTTTCTTCTTAAAATTGAGTTAAAATATAACTTTCATTAAAATTAATTTTGTTGAATACTCCCCAAGTGAAAACTAAATCTAGAAGTATCATTAAAATCATGGGATGAGTAGACACATATATAATTGGAAATCCTGATATGAAGAGCTTATAATTTTATGACTTAAGAACATATAATTTTATGAAAAGTTTTATAAATCTTATTAAAATTCATATGATTATGATATAAAGAAAAATACAGGCAGCTCCCATTGTGTAAATAATGCACATTTAAAAATTCAAGGCCAAAGAGAAGAAAATGATGTGTGATTATTGGAAAGTTTACGAAAGAGCACAGGACCAGAACCAGATATTTGGCTGCTGCTCTTCCCTCTTTCATGGACAAGCTAAATGTTCAAGGACAAGTAAGTTCATGACATAAAGAAATTTTTCAAAATTAAAAAAAATTAGACATTTAAAAATGTTTGTGATTGGAATTCAGGGTTAACTTCTTTAGATCTAGAATTCTTCATCTGTAAAATGAAATTGATACCTTAGGTGACATTTTTTCTGAGTGTAGGATCCCAAGTGAACGTTACTAAAGCCAAAGAGGTTACTCTACAAAGACCCTAAAAGAGTAGAAGGAAAATATTAGAATATGATTAGGGGAATGGTTTGGCAATTCATTACAGTAGAAGAGGTTTAATGCACTCAGAAAATTCAGTAGTTTATGGCTGAAATTTTACCAAGAAAAGAAGCAAAGAAGATAGATTTTAGGAAGAAATGCTCACCTACTTGAGCCTCCCTATTTTCCTGGATCCTGGCTCAGTAATTCTCACTACAGTGTTAGTTTTCTTCTGCTTTGAAGAAGTGCTAGCAGATTCAGTGTCAGCTAGCACTTAAGAAGGATCATCTTTCTGGCTTGTAGATGATCACCTTATTGCTATATCCTCACATGGCAGAGAAAGAAGTCTCCGGTCTCTCTGTTTTTATAAGGGCACTAATCACATCAGGAGGGCTCCACTCTCATGAGCTCATCTAAACCTAATTACCGTCAAAGTCCTCATCTTCAAACACTATCACATCAGGTATTAAAGCAATTCAGCAAAGGAATTGGGGGGACCGCAAATATTCAGTCCATAGCATTGCAGACATTTATATATATTGACTGACATTTATATTTATTGAAACAGCTGGCTTCCTTGGCCTGACCTGGGAAAACCCAAGAAGCCATTATAGCACCTTACCTCCTTAGGGGTCAGCTAAAGCAGGATTTGGGTCTGCATCACAGCTCAACTTCTCCCTCAACTGGGTATTCTTGCATTGTTTTCCTTCATTCCACAGACATTGACCACAAGAGTATGCCTTAATAAGTGTCCTGTGTGCTAAACTCCATCTCAATGTCTGATACCTGAGGAACCAAACTTCTGACAAGGGAAATTAAAGGAAAGAGATATTGAGGAACTTACAGCTTCAAACTACTGAGAAACATCATGCCTCATATACAAGAAGCTCACCATAGCCATGAGAATAAGTAAAATGAAGTTATATCCAGGCATATCACAGGAAAATTAATGAGAATTAAGAACAAAGAGAAGCCTTAAAACTAGCCAGAGAAAAAGGAAGGCTAATTTTAAGGAATAATAGTTAGACAGTTAACTCCACATTAGAAATAGTGTACACCCAGGAAAATGGAGTGATAACAATCAAGAATAAAGAAGATATAAGGATTTTTGTTAGCAAAACAAACAGGAAGAAAAAATAAAGAAACAAAAATCAAATAGAAAAAAACTGAGAGATCATTGGGTCAGAAACCAATGATAAACCTCTGCATATTGTATAAATTAACTAGATTACTTTTACATAATTTATGGATTAGGGAAAAGAAGAAACCATAATAAAGATTAGAAAATATTTAAACTGAAAATGATAAAAAATATTTTACATCAAAACTTCTAGGTATCGGTAAAGCCATGCTTTAAGAATAATCCATAATTATAAAACCTGATGCAAAGAAAGCACCAGGCCAAGATGGATTCATCAATGAATTCTATCAGATATTTAAGGAAGAAATTAAAATAAGTTAACATGAACTCTTCCAGAAAATTGGAAAAGAGGGAACAGTGTTCAACTATTTCTTTAAGTCAACATTGCCTATGCCGAAAATTGAAAAGAATAATACAAGGAGGTTAAATTACAAGCCAAAGTCATGAAAAAACTAGATACAAAAATTCTAAATAAAAACATTAAGAAAGCACATTCACCAGTATATGAATGGGATAAAATATAGAAAAGTTGGGCTGATTGTAGGAATATACAGTTGTCTTAATATTTTGTGAAACCAAATTTACATCTTAGCAAAATGAAGAAAAACTATTAGAAGATACCAGTAGAAGCATTTTGTTATCCATTCTCAGGGAAAAAATCCTTAGCAGAATAAACGCAGAAGGAAAGAACTTTGCCTTTAGTTTTGAAATGAGACAAAGATACCTGCTAGTACCAATAATTTATAATATTTGACTACTTGCCTTTAGAGGAGTGCAATATACAGAAATAAATATTATAAGGATTTTCAGGCAAGAAATAAATGTCAGTATTTTTAGAGAATATAATTATGTTCATAAAACTTTTTAAATAAAATGAAAATCAGTTAATAAGATTATAGTGATTCTGAAAACAGTTGCTAGGTACCAATCAACATATAAAACTCATCTATAGCCTGCAAATCATCAACAAACATAAAGTAAATATATGTACCATCTAAAATGACTCCACAAAAATAAGATATATGTGAATAAATCTAATAAATAATAACTAGGACATTTTCTAAAAAACTGTGAACCATTACTAAAAGAAATGTTAAATAACAAAGTAAATGAAGGGAGATTTCTTGTACATAAACTAGAAAATAATATCATAAAGACGTTGATTTCCAAAGATTGAATCATAGACACCATGATATAATCCCAACAAAAATCACTACAGGTTTTATATGCAGGTATGTGTGTAACTTGAAAGGTAATACAATATATGCAGAAACTCAAAGGGCCAAATATGTGAAGACACTCTTGAAGAAGAAAAAGGATTAATTATATAATATTGATAAATACTGTAGCAGAATAAAGAACTCTGAAAGAGTCTTGCAAACATATGGAAACTTATTTATGACAAGGGAGTTATTGCAGACTAAACAGCACGAGTAATACCATCTATACGTAGTGCTGGCAATTTGATATTTCTATAAAAAAGAATTTTGATCTTTATTGGATACCAAATAGAAGATCATATCAAGTTGGGGGAGGAAGCTGATCTAAATGCAAAAGCAAAGCTACAAAGATTCTATAACATAACATTGGAGATTATTTTTCTGACCTCTAAGTCATGGAATGACTTCTTAAAGTAAAATTTAGAAAACTCTTGCCAGAAATAAAAAAAAGTGGATGAATAAAAATTGAAATTAAGTATGTATTTGCTTTATAAAAATCTATTGAAGAAATGGGGTAATAAGCCAAGAAATGGAAAAACATATTTACAACACATGCATCCATGATATCACTACTACTTTTCTATTACAAAGAACAGAAAAATTGGTAACTGAAGTAATGATTTTTGTTTTATGTTTGTTTGTTTTTTGAGACAGAGGAGTTTAGCTCCTGTCATCCAGTGCAATGGCGCAATCTGGGCTCGCTGCAACCTCTGCCTCCTGAGTTCAAGCAATTCTCCTGCCTCAGCCTCCTAAGTAGCTTGGATTACAGGCAGCTGCCACCATGCCCAGCTAATTTTTGCATTTTTAGTAGAGACGGAGTTTCACCATGTTGGCCAGGCTGGTCTCAAAAAGAAAAGATATCAAAATGTTCAATAAACATATGAAAAGTAGTTCAAAATCATTAGTACAAAGGAAAATGAAAGTTAAAACTTTAATGAGGTAACCTCTATAACACTCACCAGAATGAATGCAATTTAAAAATTCTGAGGAATGTCAAGTGGTGATGAGAATGTATAGCATTGGGAGCTCACATAAACTACTAGTATGTGAGAAAAATTGAGAACTATATACTGCAGTTGAAGCTGCACAGATTTTAAGAACCAAAATCATACACCTAGATATATACCCAACAGTAATTCATGCACATGTGCACTAAGAGATGTGTAACAGAATGTCCCATAACAGCAATACAGGCATAAATTGAATTTTCAATTGACACTAAATGAATAAACAGATTGTGTTTCTTTGTAGAAGTAAAAAAATATTCAGCAGTGAAAGTGAATAATCAAGTATTGCTACAGGAAATAACACAGTTAAATCTCATAAAGCCAATGTTGAACCAAAAAAGCCAGACCAAAAAGACAAATGCTTATATGATTCTAAATATTTAAAGTTCAAAATAAGGAGAAACACAAGTATAGTATTCTTACTACACTATAGTGTAGTAGTTTTGATACCCTATATAGTATTTATATATAGTATTTATATGCACATTTAGTTGGTGTCTAAAGAACAAACTTCCTTTATAAAGAAAAGCCAGGAAGCATCTCCACAGAAGCAAAGATATTGGTTAACTTTGGATGGGAAGGAAGTGGTAAGTGGTTTGGATAGAACAAGATGAAAGTGGATTTTGGAGGGGTGCTGTTTACTATTTTTTGTCTTGGTATGAATAATGATTACTTGGAATTCATTTTGTGATAATGCATTGAATAAAAATACATTTAACAAAAAATACACAAGCTTAAGCCTTAATTCTTGCCAAAATATCCTTTAGGTAATTCACGCTATAGGGTGCCATGAGGCTGGGAATAGAATGAGTATTTCAGATTAGAGCACCTCATGATCTAAAACAAGTTAGTAATGTTTAAATTTGGATACACAGGTATGATTGAAGTGATAGTCTGAATGTTCCTCTCATTTACAACTTGTTAATGACCTGTTGAGAAGCAGCCTGAGGCTATCTTTCACTTTTACTAAGTCAGTCATTAAGAGAGGAAACTGTAAATGACCAGCAGGAAGTAAATTGCCCTCAGTTAAAAATGAAAATGTGTTAACTTCACTTGACTAATAAAATTACTTTTGGCATTAGGCCATAAAATAGAAAACAGCTACAATTCCTACTGGGAAATCTGAAAAAGGAAAAAATATATTATGTACTTTGATGCTTCTGGATTGGGAATATCTAAATTTTGTCTAAAATAATTATATTTCAAAGGGCTAGGAAGTCTTTTATCATTGGCAGATAATAAATATTTTTGAAAAACACAGGAGCTGTAGTAATAGTAAAATAGTACTAATATTTTGAACTCTTTTGGTTAAGCAAATGTTAAAGTAATAAAATTAAATTTTATTCAGGAAAATGAAATTGTGCCTTAATTTATTGGCATCTATTCTTGGGGTTTTTTTTTTTTTTTCCGTTATTTTGTTGTTTGTTTGTTTTTGTTTTTGTCTGGAGACAGGGTCTCTCTCTGTTGCTCAGGCTGGAGTAAAGTGGCGGCAATCATAGCTCACTGGGCCATTTCCTGAGCTCAAGTGATTCTGCTGCCTTAGCCTCCCAAGTAGCTGGGGCCATAGGCACATACCACCATGTCCAGCAAATGTTTTAAATTTTTTTTGTAGAGGTGGGGGTCTTGTTTTATTGCAAGAGCCATCAGTCAGGTTGGTCTTGCACTCCTGGCTATAAGCAATCCTCCTACCTTGATCTCCTAAAGTGCTGAGATTACAGGTATGAGCCACTGTGCCAGCCAGCAACTATTCTTAAGTCAAGGTACTAATATTAAATGTTGTGTTTTCAAATGCACCCATTACAATTATATGCACTACAAATTGATGCAAATGTGCCAGAACTCTTCTTGAACTTTCCTATTTGCTTATCTGCCTTTGAGCCCTGTGTTTCCTCTGTTGGAAAGACACATCCCTCCCTCTCATTTTTCTGCTTTGGTGCATATACCATGGAGTGACCTAGCTCTAATGCCATCTATTCCAGGAATCTTCCATCTCCTTCATTCCTGGATCTCCTCATTTACACTTTTAGCACATAAAGTGTCACAATAGACTAAATTCTTTATTTGTCTATATGTGTTTATATGGCACTAAGTTGTAAAATTATTTAAGGACAGGGACATGTCTTATTTGCCCTTGTATGTTCCTTGGATACTAAGCTGGCTTCTTAGAAGCTTGGGGGATATTTCTTTCTTTCTTTTTTTTTCTTTTTTGAGATGGAGTCTCGCTCTGTGGCCCAGGATGGAGTGCAGTGGCGCGATCTCGGCTCACTACAAGCTCCGCCCCCCTGGGTTCAGGCCATTCTCCTGCCTCAGCCTCCCGAGTAGCTGGGACTACAGGCACCCGCCACCACACCCGGCTAATTTTTTGTATTTTTAGTAGAGACGGGGTTTCACCGTGTTAGCCAGGATGGTCTCGATCTGACCTCGTGATCCGCCCGCCTCGGCCTCCCAAAGTGCTGGGATTACAGGCGTGAGCCACTGCGCCCTGCCGGATATTTCTTTAATTTAATTTAAGATAAAGAAAGACTAAAGACAAGATAGATTGTAAGTTTCATGTTTTCTCCTCTCATGACGAAATTATTTTCAGTTCATGTAGGAGTGCATCCCTATTTAGTGACAAAGTTAGCTATACCAAGTTTTCAGTGGTCCATATTTAAAGATTTATTTGGACAATATTACATCAAGGCCAGTGCTTTAAGGAGCCACATTACACAAGATATATGATAAAACTAGTATTTATTAGTTATCATATGTCCTTACACTTTAATAGCTACCATTTATTAAATACTATGTGCCAGGGAGTCTTATAAGCATTTAGTTGATTTATCTTTTTCCAATCATACCACAGACCTGAGGCTGTACTATTTGATCTCCATATTGTAAATATGGAAATGGAAAGTTCAAGACCCTAATCACTAGCACAAAGTAGCTGAGCTACTAGGGGGCAGGAGTTTGACATTGGTAGAAACCCATTCTGTTACTGATACTTTGGGTAGTGTGAAACCAAAGTCAACACTCTAAAACATTATGATAAAGTCTTCTTACAAATTACATCTTGAAAACCTCCAAAATGACTTTTGCCCAGACATCAGGGTTTCTAAATGGTACTTCCCTTGATAATATCACTAATACAAAGACAAATCACTTGTATTCGAAATATGTGAAGGTAAAAACAAATGTGCTATGAGCAAAATAGATACTGATAGTTCAAGAAAGTATATAACCATTAATGAAATCATAATTAAGACATACAGTGTAATGTGGTGAGTTAAAGTTAATAGTAGCTTGAGTTTTACACTATTTATAAACTTTTGAACAAACTACTTGACAGATAATGTTGATGCTGTAATATTTTAGGTCATAGAGGATTTATGAGTTAATATTTTAAGAGGGTCTTTAAAGAACCTTTGATTTAAGAAAAATATATGAAGTTATTATAGTATGGTTTTCCTATTAAACTGTTTATTTATTTCATTGTGTACTTAGGAGTAGAGGAGTTTCCTTAAAACAACATTAGAAAAGAGCTGGCATAGACTTTGCCTTCAAATGTTTTACTTATTCAGGTTTCCTTAGACAGGTTGATAAGACTTTATGATCTTAACAATGCTATTGTAGCATCACTTCTTTTCATTCCAATTCAGATGACATTGACTGAAGCGTAAATCTTAGTCATTTAATAACTAGGCTGACATGGCTTACCTTTAGTTGCTCTTAAGCAAAATGAGTATACTATAAAGCTAGGTACTCTTTGAAGGGCTGGACATACACAATGTCCACTGCATAGTAATAGCTCAGAAAATGTTGTAGAATGATCCTGTGGTTAAGGAATGAGTTGGGGAAAGTATAATAAATGTGGCATGAAACTGGGATAGATAGAGATCCAATGAAGAATTTGAGAAATCAATTCTGTCCATTCCCCAAGAAATCAGACTTTAAAACAAGTAGCAGTGGCAATGGGTGAATTCCACATTTGTCTTTGCACTTAATCTGGTATGTTCTGAGGTGAAATAGTTGCGTGCATAGTTGGCTATAAGGGTGCCTATTTCTATGGAACATGATAGTCCAGAACTAGGTTCTTTACAAGCAAACCTCAGAGCACAGTATTTTATAAACTATTCTTTTAGCCAGCAGCTTGGTTTAGTTTCAGCAATTTGTGAACCAATTTATACCAACAGAATCTAGATAGATCCTACATCCTCATAAATTGTTCACATGGAGACTATTCTATTCAAACCAGAGCATCAATTACTGCCTTAGAAATATAGCAGAAATGATAACACAATCAGTTATGGTTCCTCAATTGTGCAATATTGGCACTACTATTTAGTTGGTGTTCTTTTTGCAAACGGAAAATATGCTTTCACAGACTGCAAAAAATCAGCAGGTGGCCCACCTATTTTCAGCCACATTTTCCCTCATTTGCTGACAACCACATCATGTCCCAAGCCAAATCCTATTTATCAGTTTTCTGAAAATTCCATGGTCTCAGATACTACAAAGACTTTTTACTTGTGCTTCCCTAGAACGACCTTCTCTGTACATGATACAATTTTCACAACTCAAGAAAGATTATTAGATCAAAATGGCACATGGGAAATCTGTCTCAACTTCTCACTAAAATATAATGAAAGCATAGAACAAGATTTTAAAAGGTCACAGATAAAAACTGACAAAGTAAAACCCAAGTGCTAGAAAATTACTGGCACTTTCTCTTATCGTAAGACAGATGAAAAATAGAGTTTTGTTTTGTTTTGTTTTGTTTTAAAGGGATTGGGAGTAGTAAGAAAAGTATGTGACAAAGTCCTGTGAAAGACATACCTGGTTTCACTTCATGAAGTAGAGTTGAGACTAAGAAGAAATAGAGATAGGAAGAAAACAAGGTTGTTGTATAACAACCAACTACCTCCTACCTCCAATCCTCACCCCTTGCCCCATGCTACTCCCTCAGCCACCGTCAACTGAGATGCTTGATTCAGAAACCCTGTGCCCAGCAATACAATGTCCTCTGTCTCCACTTTTTTGGATGCATTGTGTAGTGGGCAGAATACAGCACTCTTCTTTACTCTGCTATTGCAAATTCTAAAGTCACTTCTGTTCAGTCAGAGATTTCAAATCCCTGAGGCAAACAAACAAAAATATGTGAGAAAAAAAAAAGGGGGGCGAAGTAGCATGATTGGAATAGAATTCCCGTTAGAAAATGAGAGTTTTCCGGGATAGGCATAGACATCCCTGCAGGAGACATAACAGGAAATTCCTACCTCAGAGTGGAGGGCAGCAAGGACAAGGGTCGATTCAGAAAGAATGACAGAAAATGTAGTGCTAATATGGAAACGCTTTTGGTCTTATTTTCTTCAGCAATGCTTCTGATTATATTTTTATTATTTGAAATGTTTCTATTAATATATAATAGTTGTACACATTTTGGGGGTGCATGTGGTATTTTAATACCTGAATATAATGTGTAATAATAATCAAATCAAAGTAACTGGGATATGCATCACTAAAATATTTATTTTTTTTGTATTGAAAACATAATTATTTTCTCCTAGGTACTTTATAATATACAATAAATTATTGTTAATTATAATTTCCCAACTGTACTATTAAATTTTATAACTTATTCCTTCCATTTAAATGTACCCATTAACCAACTCTTTCATTCTTCTCCTCCTCTGCTTCCCTACTCAGCCTCTGGTAACCACCTCCATGAGACTCACTGCCTTAGCTCCCACATATGTGTGAGAACATGCAATATTTGTCTTTCTGTGCCTAGCTTATTTCACGTAACATAATGACATTTAGTTCCATCCACATTGGCACAAATGATGGAATTTCATTCTTTTTTATGGCTGAATAGTATTCCATTGTGTATATGTACCACATTATTTCTACCCATTCATCTGTTGATGGACACTTAGGTTGATTTTATGTCTTGGCTATTGTCAGTAATGCTGCAATGAACACGGGAGTGCCGGCAACTCTTCAATATATTAATTTCCTTTATATATATTATATATTTATATACCATATATTACATATATTTATAAATATATGTATATATTTAATATATTTTTATATATATTTAATGTATATATTCATATATTTAATATATTTAATATATATTTATAATATGTTAAATATATTATATATTTAATATATAATTATAATTATATATATAATTATATATAAATATAATATATGATTATATATTATATATAATAATTTATATAATTAATATATATAATTTATAATTATATGTTATATATAATATATAATATATTATATAATATATAATATATAATATATTATATAATATATAATATATAATTATAATATATAATATATAATATATAATTATAATATATTATATAATATATAATATATAATTATAATATATTATCACTAAATATATATAATAATATATATAATAATATTATCACTATAATATTATATATAATATAATATAATATTATATATAATAATATATTGTAGTATAATATATTATATTATATTATAAAATATTATATATATTATATATACATATAATATATAATATATATTATAAATACATATAATATATAATATATATTATAAATTATATATATTTTATATAAATTATTATATATTATATATAATATATATTATATTTATATATATAATTATATATATAATTATAATTATATATAAATATATATTTATATATATATTTAATTCATTGATTCATATTTCCCTGCTGACTGATGATGTTGAGCATTTTGTCATACACCTGTTAGCCATTTGTATGTCTTCTGTGAAAAATGTCTATTCAGTCATTTTTACCATTTTTAAAGCAGATTTTTTTGTTTTTTGTTACTGACTTGCTTGAGTTCCTTGAGTATTCTGGTTATTAATCCCTTGTTGGATGGACAGTTTGTAAATGTTTCTCCCTTTCTGTAGGTTGTCTATTCACTTTGTTGATTGTTTTCTTTGCTATGCATTTCCCTGATAATTAGTGATGTTGAACATTTTTTCATGTACTTGGAGGCCACTTGTATGTCTTCTTGAGAAATGTCTGATCATTTGTCAATTTTTAATTGGGTTATTGTTTTCTCATTATTGAATTGTTTGAGTTTCGAATGTATTTTGGATATCAGATTTATTCCTTGCAAATATTGTCTCCCATTTCATAAGCTGTCTCTTCATTTTTTTTTCCTTTGCTGTGCAGAAGATTTTTAGTTTGATGTAAACCCATTTACCTACTTTGAGTTTGTGTTTGCCAGGGTTTTGGGGGTCATATTCAAAAAATTATTGCCCAGACCAACATCAATAAGGTTTTTCCCTGTACAGTCTCAGGTCTTAAGTTTTTAATCCATTTTGATTTGACTTTTGTACATGGTGTGAGATAAGATTCCAATTTCATTCTTGGTTCTTGGCACTTTTGTTGAAGATTATGTTACCGAAACACCAGGGATTTGGTCTAGGTCCTGTTGCTTGCAGCACAGAAAGCCAATCACTGAGATGGCAAGTATTGACAAGCAAGAAGGCTTTAATCAGGTTCTGCAGCCGAGGAGATGGGAGCTCAGCCTCACATTCATCTCCCTGACTGACTAAAACCAGGGGTTTATACAGCATGGAAGAAATGTGACGATGTGTAAGAAAGTAGGAGCTAGGCAGGGCAAGGAAGCAATCATGATGAATGAGGGATCTGGTGTCTCATTGTCCAGATGCGGTTGTCTGGTGAGTTTCAGTTCTTTGATACTTGTTTTTTTTTTTTTTGAAATGCTTGTAGGTCCCTTCTTGAGGAAGGAACTCAGATAAAAAAAATATTAAATTTCAAGCTGTAAGACCAGAAAGGTCAATTTCTATGTTTATTCGAAAGAACAGTCTATGGGACTATTGGGTTGTTCAATCCCTTGACTGTAAATGTGTGGATTTATTTCTGGATTCTCTATTCTATTCCATTGGTCTATATACGTGTTTCTATATTGGTTCCATGTTGCCTTGGTTCTGTAGCTTTGCAGTATATTTTAAAATCAGATAGTGTGATGTCTACAGCTTTGTTCTTTTAGCTCAAGATTGCTTTAGTCATTTGTGATTCCATATGAATTTTAGGATTATTTATTATATTTATGTGAAAAATGCCATTGGAATTTTGGTAGGGATTGCATTTAATCTGTAGATCACTTGAGTAGTATGGACATTTTAAGAGTATTAATTCTTTCAACCCATGAACATGGGATACCAGTGATATTTTATCAGATATTAATATTGCAATTTCTTTTAAAAACTCTGTTTATATTTTTGCTGTTAACCATAAAAGCTCAATCCTAATCCTCAGGTATTTTTTTCTACATTATATCCCTGGTGGTCCTATCTATTCTCATGCATTTGTATGCCAACCTTATGGCAAATAACTCCCTTATTTATATAAAGTCTGTCTTCTAAATTCCAGATTCACATCTTCAAGTGCCTATTTGACATATCCACTTTGATGTATTACAGACCTCCCAAATGCAAATAATCTGAAGTGGAACTCTTGATTCACTTTCTTACCCAAATCATCCCACTACTTACATGCTTCCCTTTCAGTCTGTCTCCTGTGTATCAGTAAACAGCCTTACTATCTATTGATCCAGCAGAAAACTTTCATTCTTCCCTTTCTGGTGGACCAGACTAGCTATAGGAAGAAAAAAATATCCTCAATATTGTAAAATATTCTCCATAGTGATCTTCCCAAACCAAAGTTACACCAAGGTAATCATCTGTCTATATTCTCTATCATAGTACTGTTTATTCCACTGTATTGATTTTTAAAATTATTTGTGAGTTTTATTTTTCAAAGGGCCTGAGCTTCTTGAGTTCAAGAACTGTGTATTTTAGGTATACTCGTGTCATAGCACAGTGGTTAAAATATTCTAAATATTTAAATTAAGGCAGATTTATTTATTGAATATTTGTTAGTAGTTTACCTTTAAAAATCAGGATCAGGAATCAAAAATTACTTCCAGCTGAATTGCTCCCCAAAGGCGTATATCACGATGTTCGTGTTTCTGAATTTTTGAAATGACCATTTATACAGTATATGAACAGATTAAACCTAACATGGTTTTTAAAGCTACAATATTCATTTCATATTGCTGTATCACAGGGTATTCTATAAACAGTGGGTTCTGTGATGAATTTTTCTTCTATACACTGAATCCTCAATTTCAGTGCATTGTCTTGTTAGTCACATTTTGTCCAAGTTACCATACTCACTGCTTTTTTCCAGCCTCTGCTCTTTACCCAGTTTGAAGCCACGGTAGTCTTGATGGCTTTCTACAGTGATTCTCATTCTCAATCTGGTTATGTTTTGCAATGATCAACTATCCTGATCCCCAGGAAGCTTTGACACTAAAGCCATTGCCCTTGAAAGTCCTAACATAGAGCCAACTCCTGATTTCCCATGCAGGACCTGAAACTAGTAAGTTTTAATCACATACATCATTTTATTTATGTGTCCCTCAGTTTTTCATTTTCTATGCCTTTCCTTGGTAGCAATAGAGCACAGTTATCTATAAGCCTTAGACACTCCACTTAATAATTATTTCCATTTACTTAACCTAGGATTTGAAACACAAATAAAGCTTATTTCTCTTGTTGATTTGATCCTCATTAAGTTTAATTTCTATGAATGTAATTTTATTTTTTCTTTTATCCTAGTCTAATTTGTTCTATTTACCACTGGCATCATTACCTATTGGAACAGAATATATATGGATTTGAACTTAAAAAGAATCCCAGACTAGAAAAAATTTTAAATGAAATTTGAGGTTCATGCTAATCTTGATACAAGATTTAGTGACTGACATGTTTACATAGTTTTAGGAGATTTCTGGGGGAATATGTAAACAAATATTTACCCATATGAAACAGGGAAAAAAGCAATAAAAATGCATTTAAAAATATAATACATGGGGGCCAGGTGTGGTGGCTCATGCCTGTAATCTCAGCACTTTGGGAGGCCGAGGCAGGTGGATCACCTGAGGTAAGAAGTTAGAGAGCAGCCTGGCCAACATGGCAAAAGCCCGTCTCTACAAAAATACAAAAATTAGCTGGATATGGTGGTGTGTGGCTGTAGTCTCAGCTACTCGGGAGCCTGAGGCACAGGAATCACTTTAACCATGGGGTCGGAGGCTGTGGTGAGCTGAGATCACGCCACTGGACTCCAGCCTGGGCGACAGAGCGAGACTCTGTCTCAAAAAACAAACACAAACAACAACAAAAAACAATACATGAAGACAGGCAAAAGAGAAAAATGAACTGTCTTAAAATATAAACTAATATTTATTGTACACTTTCTCTATGCCAAGCACTATCTGGCAAAGAGCAAAGTTTACATGAATTAGCTTATTTAATCTTTACAGAAATGCATAAAGTAGCTACTATCTTTAGTTACACTATACAATTTAGAATTGAGTAAACTGAGACACACAGTATCTTACCTAAAGCCACATAGTTAGGTACCAGAGTAACTTCCTAATGAAAGGAAGTAATGATATTATTACAATTGACCAGACAAATTAAGATTTTTATCATTGTCACAATTATCTAAATATATTTATCATGCTATTTTTGTTTACTTGAAGTAAACAAAGTAATTCTCTAAGTTATTTGCGTTAAAATAGATCAAACCTATAAAATAAGGCAAAGTTAGAAAAATACTATTATTAATAGTTCCAAACAAGGTATCAGACATCCAGATGTTGAAAAATAAGTGGATTTTTTTTTCCCTAATTTCAAATGTGCAGATACTTAGTAACTACTGATATTTGTCATCATGTAGCAAAATATCCAATTAAAACTTTTAATTTAAATCAGATGTTTTATCATTATGTAAGTTTGGTAATAACCTGCACAAGAACAAAAGACCATATTTTTTCCAGGCTGATAATTGTTTATGAACATTCTACCTCAAAAATGAACTGAATACAATAGCAGACATTTCAAAAGTTATCTCAAATAAATTGTGCTAATATCATATGACAGCTACACAACAGTTTTAAAAGTATGACTATTAGAATCAAAACATGATTATCTCTGAAACATGAGTAAAAAAGTTTTTGAAAAAACATATAATTACATTTATATAAATTAAAGCTACACATAGAATACTTCCTGTTACTCAGTAATATATATAACAATTTTGTAAATGTACTATAAACACCTGCCAGATTCCTGATTAAGGTGGCCTGAATGTAAGTAGGGATATTGTATAACTTTCTCTCTAAAAGGAAAATTCCCAGGTTATTTCGTTTCTTTTCTTAAGACAAAATCAATGTGGTGAAACATGTTAAAGTGTTAAGTTTCTGTCAAAAAGCAATTTTTTTAAGTAAAAAATAAAAAATTTCAAATTTTATGTGATAGCAACAAAATTCCATACTTATTAACAGTCACACAATATGATGCCCTACCCTCATCCCCTAGCAACCAATAATCTAATTTCAGTTTCTGGAGATTTGCCTATCCTTAACATTTCATATAAATAGAATCAAATAACATGAGATTTTTCTAGTCTGGCATCTTTCACATTGCATAAGGTTTTTAAGGTTTATCCATGGCATAGCACGTACAGTAACTTCATTGCTTTTTATAGCCAAATAATATTCCACTGTATGGATGTACCACATCATGTTTATTCAATCATCAGTTGATGGGCATTTGGGTTATTTCCACTTTATGTCTGTCATTTATAATGACTCTGTAGACATTCATGTAAAAGATTTTTTTGTGGACACATGTCTTTGATTCTTTGAGGTATATACCTAAGAGTGCAGATGCTGGGTCATATGGTAATATTATGTTTAACATTTTGAGGAACTACAAACTAGTATATTTTCCAAAGCAGCTGCACCATTTTACATGCCCACAAGCAATACCGAGTGTTCCATTTTTTCCTTATCTTGGCAACACGTATTGCTGGGCTTTTTATTACAGCCATCATACTGGATGTTAAGTGCTATTTTATTGTTTGTTTTAATTTGCCTTTCCCAAAGGACAGATAAGATTCTGAGTATCTTTTCATGTGCTTATTGGCCACCGGTATATCTTCTTTGGAGAACTGTCTATTCAAATCTTTGCTCATTCTTCAAATATTTTTTTTTCTCTGTTACTTCTCCTCTGGGGTTCTCATTATGCATATGTTAGTGTGTTTCATAGAGTCCAAAATGTCTCTGAGGCTCTGTTTGTTATTCTTTATTTTTTTCTTTTTATCCTCAGTTGGAAAAATCCCAATTGACTTTGCTCAAGATCACTGACTCTTTCTTCTACCAGTTAAAATTCCCTTTCTAGTGACGTTTGCATTTAAGTTATTGTAATTTTCAACTCCAGGGTTTTGGGGCTTTGTTTTTATTTATAATTTCTTTATTTCTTCATTAACTATTCCCTATGTGGAGACATCATTTGCAACTTTCTCTTAGCTCTTAAGACATGGTTTCCTTTAGTTCTTTAAACCTATTTAAAATAGCTGCTAAAATATTTGTCTGGTAAGTCCAACATCTGATGTTCCAAGGAACAGTTTCTATTGCCACCTTTTTTTTCTCTCTCTCTGTATGGACCATTCTTTCCTGTTTCTTGTGTGTCTCACAAGTTTTTATTCAAAACTGGACATTTTAGTAGTATAATGCTAAAAATTAAAATATTATTTTGTATATATTAATTTATTGTTTTATAGCATGCCAACTCTGGAAATCAGATTTATTACTCCATTTCATACAAGGTTTGTCATTGTTGCCATGTGTTGCTCTTGTTTCTGCTGCCATTTGTTGTTTAGTGACTTTCCTGGATTAAAACTTTAAGGCTTGTGTTTTGGTATGTCCCACCTCTAAAGTCTCTGCTCCATTAGCTTAGTGGTCAACTAGTGATCAGTTAGAGATTGCCTTAAATTCCTTAGGATAGTAACTCGTTCAGCCTTTGTTAAGAAGCTAAGTGCGTATGTTGGGGCAAGCTTTCAAAGCTCCCATGAGGTAGTTTACAATTCTACCTTATCCTTCGCTTCCTGTTTGTGCAGAACCTCAAAGTCAGCCAGAGTTGATAATTTAAGAGCTTAGGTTTGCCATGGTCATGTACAAAGTCTTGTGCAAATGCATAGCTTTATAGATGCCCAGGACTGTCAGAGATTTTCAACCCTATGGACATCTCATTTCCCAATATTTTCTTTTAAGTTTTTTTTGGTAAGTCTCTTGTTAGTTCTGATTAGTAGTACTGCCTCAGACAGTACTGCTGCAATGCTAAATAACTGCTGTTGATTTTTTTTTTCTTTGACCAATACACTGTGGTTAAGGCTGTTCACATAGTTTGTGACCTGATTAAGTTTAATTAAAGAGAAATCCTGAAAATGGAACTCTTCAAAGCTTGGAAGCTCCCAAAAAGAGTGCTTTCTGAAACTGTCAAATAGTGACAGTTCTCTAGGGATGAGACTTCTGGGAACTCCAAGCCCATTCTGTAGGGCTGCCAGACCCAACACCAGGTCGTGGGGGTGATGAAGTCCGGTGGAGTCAAAGGATTGAGAAAAAGACAGTTTGAGAGAGAAAGGTGGGACACCAGAGGGCCATGGCGACTGTGGAGGCTGCAAAGGCCCTGAGCTCCGGGAGCCCACGCTATTTATTGGTAATCCAACAGAGAAACGTGGTGAGAATGTGGCGGTCAAAAGGGCAGGCGCATGCATGATCTACAGCTGTGATGATTTAGCATTTATAAGGAACATGTTCTGCTACTTGAGATAATGGGAAAACAATTGATCTAGGAGCCTAGGAGCACTAGAAGCAAGGAGCCAGCAAGTCTAGACACATTCCAGAGAACATTATGCAAGCCCTGCCTCAGCTTTCTTCCCAACCCTCAGCTTTTTTCCCCAACCCATTCTGCTCCATCCAGTGGCTACTAGGTGGCTGTTTTTCACAGCTACCATGGTTATATGTCTGCTTATTTCCCAGGGTGCCATGGAGCTGGGGAGAGGAGGGTGTGATTTCAGCAAGTTAAAATGCAACGGTACTCATTGCTCTTACTGAAATTCAGCTTTTTTTTTTCTTAGTAAAACTTGACATTGTTGCAATTCTTTAGTTAATCTCTAGTGTTCTGAAAAAGTTGACTTTTGACATTTTTTTTTCCAGTGTTTTTATTGATTTCATGGAGTAGGTTTCCACCATTCTCAAAGGCAAGTCTTGACTCTTATTTTTTACCAGAAAGTAAGCGTAATGTTTCAGTGATCTGTAGGATGTCATGAACAAAGCAAATGATTCATTAACCATTTATCCTGATATTGGATGTGGGTATGCAAAGGGTACCAACGTGGGATCTTCTCCAGTGAACAATAAAATTACAAAACAATCATTTAAATGGAAATGTACATGTTGTTTTTAATTAGCAGCATTAAACATTTTCCCCTTTTATAATGCATAGAGCAAATTTTGAAGGAAACTCAGCAAAAAGACCAGACAGTAACAATATCTCAGGTAGTGTCTAAAGAAATTTTTATACAATAATAGTGATAACTCCATGACTGAAGTAGCTCAGAGAAGTCTGAAGAATATGAGGTATGCAAAATGTATCAGGCCCAGAGAGATATGAGCATGAGACTTTAGTCATCTCCACCCCCCAAATACTGATGCCCAGGGTTAATTGTTTGAAGGCATTTTGTTTTTCTTTCCTTCCCTGTGATTTCCAGGCTAGCTGATAAATTACCTTAAATGTTACAACAAATTGCACAATGTGACCCTCACCCATTATCTTCATGCTCTGGGAATCTGTGATAGTAAAAACAATGCATAGCCAATCTATAGCTTATATCAGGAGTTCCCAACCCTCAGGCTGTGGAACAGTAAGCGTCCATGGCCTGTTAGGAGCAGGGCCACACAGCAGGAGGAGAGCTATAGCCCAGTGAGCATTACTGCCTAAGCTCCACCTCCTGTCAGATCAGCAGTAGCATTAGATTCTCATGGGAGCAGGAACACATTGTGAACTGTACATGCAAGGAATCTGGGTTGTATGCTCCTTATGAGAATCTAATGCCTGATGATCTGAGGTAGAAGAGTTTCATCTCAAAACAATCCCTCGGCCAGGCACACCTGTAATCCCAGCACTTTGGGAGGCTGAGGTGGGTGGATCTCCTGAGGTCAGGAGTTTGAGACCAGCCTGGCCAACATGGTGAAACCCCATCTCTACTAAAAATACAAAAATTAGCTGGGCATGGCAGCACACGCCTGTAATCCCAGCTACTAGGGAGACTGGGGCAGGAGAATTTCTTGAGTCTGGGAGATGGAGATTGCAGTGAGCCGAGATGGCACCACTGCACTCCAGCCTGGGCAAGAAGAGCAAGACTGTGTCTCAAAAAAAAAAAAAAAAAAAAATCTCTCCCACACCCCAATGTGTGAAAAAATTTCTCTTCCACGAAGCTAGCCTCTAATGCCAAAAAGGTTAGGGACCACTGGCTTATGTCACTTTAATGAACCAAGGTAAATTCTTGGTGAATAACTTAAGATCTTCCCCCGTCCCTTTTTTTGTTTGTTTAAAAACCCACCGTCTCTGTTGTTAATCAGAGATTAATCTGAGATAACAATATATCTAGGGCAACTTGAATCTATGTCTCCCAGGTTGCAGTCCTCAAAGTTGGCCCAAATAAACTCTCTACTTATGTTAATTTTGTCTCAGTTTCTTTTCTTTAGGTAGACATGTAAATCAAGTTGATGTGGCTACATAATATAAACAAAACATTATGTGGCTGATAAAGTAAGTGTCCTTGAAAACATTTTAATAAAACTTTTGGTTAGGTCACAAAATCATCAGATTGAAAAGTCACAAAAAGATAAATATTCTTACTCTACTACCATGTAGAACCGCTTATGCATATGTTCATTTATTTATTCATTTGCTTACTTACGTTATGATGACCCCTTCCCCTTGACTGGCTTCCAATTGGCCACATGATAAATTTCAAAACCTTGTGTTGCTATATAAAGTGCTCTTCATCATTTGATCTCCACATACTTCTTCACTCTCATATCTTGTCATTTTTCCCTGTCTGTTTCCCAGAGCCCACAGTCTTCCAAGCAGGTCAGCAGCCCAAATAAATCATGCTTTTGCTTCTGATTTGCATGCTTTTTCTGTTTTTGGAACTACTTTCTGGGTTTCTGTCTTCAGGACTCAGTTTAGATCTGACTTTATAAGCCTCTCCTGAACTTAGAGAAATCTTAGAGCAGAATGGATAAGAGTGAAGATCCTTAAGTCAATGAAACTCCAGCTATTTCAGTTCTTTTTATTAAAAAAAAAAAAAAAAGAAAAAAGAAAAATAAATAATAACAGTACCTCATAGGATTTTTGTGAGAATAATTTGGGATGATATATGTAAAATTTTTAATGAGTACCATAAAAGTGCTAGCTGCTACTTCTACCTCTATCACTATATCAATGCTTTCTAGAATATAAGGGGTGTAGAAAGAATTATGGGAGATGAAGCTGGAATGGAAAATGGTGACAATTCTCACTGGAGTCTGAAGAAGAAAATTAAAGGAAAGCAACATGCTGAAGGTCAGGCCTGGATTCCTCAGACCAGGGATGGGAGGAGCAAGATTTGGGTAGAATATTAGGAAGGATCATCATGGGCCTGAATTTCTGCTGCTGCTGCTAGTTCTCTGCATGCTGACCAAAATTTATGATTATGTTGTCTCTAAAAACATGTATAGTCTCATGTTCATATTACATCCAATTTAGTCTTGTTTGAAAAGAAAGTACAGAAAAGTCTTCTATCAAGGAAAGAAAAATGAGTACACTGGCAGCATTTTTCTACAGTATATTCCTCAGAGACCTAGTCCCCTGAGATGTTCCTTGAGGAAAAATAGTCTGTTGGAAAGTAAGCCTGAGAAACATTGCAAACTATCAAATTATATATATTTTCCTACTTCACAGGGTTATTTCAAGGAACAAAATGTGGTTATTTAGAGATGTCACATCAGCAGGACAAATAGTTTTCTGATCCCCCTTCTCTCTCCCGTTCTATTGCTCTTTACTTTCTATTCTCTCCCTTATATCTCCCTATGATTCATTACTTCATTATTTTGGAAGTTTCCTTAGTCCCCTTGTCCTCTGAATCTGCTTTTCACACTAAATGTGAAAACCCCAGTGCCGGATCAATTCAGTTATTGCCTTTCTTCTTTCTTCAACTGTGACTATGGAGCCCTGCTGAAGAAAAATAACACACATTTAAACATTAGTGCTATGATAAATCCGTGTCCTCCGACCTCAGCTAGACTCCAGGACTGTCCAGTAACTCCTTTTTTCTGGGTAGGGTATTATCCAGTGGCATTTCCAAATCATGTCCACTCTTCTCAAATACTCAACCCCTTCATTATGGATGTTTGTCTCTTTCTTAACAGAAAAGCAGGAATGCCACACAAGATATAACCAGAGTTTTGCAACTATACAATGACTTACAGGTAATTTTAATCCTAACAGAATTTTAATTCATCTGTTCCCCCCACTTTAAACTGATATAGTAGAAAAGATGATGTCACAAATATAAAAAGTAACCTGTGCTACCAACGTCCTCATGTCTGCTTCTTCAGTGATCTAAACCTGCAGATTACCTTTTCTATTTTCTATTTTCATCTTCCTTATTTTTAAAAATAGAATTGATTTTTAAGAGCAATTTTAAATTCACAGCAAAATTAAACAGAAAGTACAGAGATTTTCCCATATATCTCCTTTCTCCACACAAGCACAGCCATCTCCGCTGTCATCGTCACCAGAGTGGTGCATTTGTTACCACTGATGAACCTACATTAACACATCATTATCACCCAATGTCTGTAGTTGACACGAGGGTTCACTCTAGATGTTGTACATTCTATGAATTTTTACCAATGTGTAACAACATGTATCTACCATTAAGGCATCAAACAGTAGTTTCACTGCCCTAAAACTCCTCTGTGCTCTGCCTATTCATCCCTCTACTCCTTAGCCCTTGGCAACCACTCTTTTTACTATCTCTATGGTTTTGCCTTTTCCAGAACGTAACATAGTTGGAATCATACAGTATGTAGCCTTTACAGATTGGCTTCTTTCACTTAGTAAATGTATTTCAGATTCTTCCATTTTATTTATTTATTTATCTATTTATTTATTTAGGTATCCCTGGGTGGGCACAAACCTCCATTTCTTTTCATGGCTTGACAATACATTTGTTTTCGGTGCCATCCTCTTTATTTTCACTGTCTTATTTCTTCCTAGAGAAGTCAATAGTCCTTTGTTTAAGTACTTTCAAATCTCATCAATATTTAAAACAGACAAAAAAAAAATCACAAAACAAAATGTCCCTACAAAAACTCTTCTTCAGAGATTATTCTCTTCCCCTTCTCTTAATAATCTAACTTCTTGAATGTTTGCAGTCACTTTCTATTTCATTCCACACATACACTGAAATCTAACTTTCACTCACATACATCTACAGTTTCTGTTCTGAGTTTGAACAACAACAACAACAAGAAGTTTTCTTAGACTTCCATGAAAACGAACTTTTGGCTTTCCTTCTACTCTTTTTTCTTCTCCTTGATTTACTTTTTTAAAAAAATTATGGTCGTCTTATTGACTAAATCTTCAAATAGATAGATTTCATTATACACTCTTCTTGGACAATCTTATCTGCATTAATATCTGTTTTATATATATTATATATACAGATACCATATATATATATATATCTGTATCTCATATATACAGATAGTTCTTGCTTTGCCTGGTGCCGTGTTAACTGAAACAGGTGCATATTGGAACCATGTCTTTGTTTTGTGCGGTTTACCATAAAACCATGCAAAGTAAGGACACATTTCCTACATGTACAATATTTAGTTAATAAGATACCATGAAAAATGAGGACTATCTTCATTAATTATATACTCCATCTTTATTCTGATCCCTACACCTGAATACATAGTTTTCTACCAGTTATCTCCACTGGTTTTCCAAAGGTCTTTTTCAAATTTATATGTCCAAATATAACTTTTTCAGCCTCCATCGCCAGTCCTCCTGGCCATATTCTCTATCACAAGTAATTAGTTAATCAACAGAAAATTATTAGTGTATATTATTCCCAGGCACTATGCTAGATACTACTGATATAATGGTGATGGTATTTTAACAACATGTTCCATTCCCTCACACAGTTTACAATCTAGAAGGGAAAGCAACCATAAAAAAACTATAAAAATGAATAAATTATCCATTGTCCTTTTAAAGAGACTATAACTTGGAAGAGAAGATAAATCTGGAAGATTTCTCAGAGGAGGTGATAAATAAGCTGAGGTAATGAAGGTAAATGAAAGTTAGGTATAAATCAGGAGAAGTGTATATAAGGATAGGAAACCACACATGGAAAAGCTCAGAGGAAGGAAGAAAGAAACATGGGCATTTCCAGGAATTGATATTACTCTATTGTGATGAGTATAATGAAAGCCAGAGGAAGACTAGCATAGAAAAAAAATCTGGAGAAATGAATAGGGAATGGTTTAACAGGGTTTTTTTTCCCAAGTCAGTATCAGTAGATCATTCTCATTCCTCCCTATCTCTCACTCTATGATAAGCATTCTATTACCAAATATCATCTCTATCTCCTTGATAGTAGTCCAACTTATTGATATATTTTCTCATTCCCATTTCTTCACTCATATTTCCAACCAGTATTATCTCTACTGCATTACTCTTTTATTATCTGGCATCTCATTCCCTCATCTCTGTTTTTTCCCATATCTTAAACTCTAGCTATACATTGTCCTGTGATGGATGAATGGATAAATTAACTCTGGTACACCCATAAAATGAGTATTACTCAGCAATTAAAAGAAACAAAATACATGTAACTGATTAATTTTTAACACTTACAGGAGGCACTGTTCCATGTATAAACTCTTTTAATCCTCAGTGTTATAATGTTTTCTGACTACTGTTTTTATGTCCATTTTACAAATAAAGGCATTGAAGTATAGAAACCCTATTGCATGTTCTTAGAATAGCTTATCATGTTAAAAGGTCCTGTGTATGCTATTTCTTTATCATGAAACTTCCACTTTCCTGTCCTCTTTCTCATCATGAGTAAAGCTAAAACTTTACAGAATGTTAAAACTTCAGTCTTACTCATTCTGTAGGGGTCTCTTTATCAAGGGAGGTTTTCCTTACCTTTGAAGCTTAATTTTATCTCTTTTTCACATACCCCATACTACACTATACAGTATTATAATAACCTACTGCATGTCCTTTTTCTTCTCTGGACTATAAGCTTGTTGTAACCATGTATGTAATTGTGATGCCATAATTTTTTAAATGAATCAATTAATGGATGAATCAAATGACATATTAAATGCAAAAGTGCTTTGAAAATGATAAATGATCAGAAATGTAACATATTGTTTATAAATATTAAGGGTACCAACAGTAGAGAAATTATGTTTAATTGTATGTCATTCAGTTGACAATTGCCTATTATTTCCAAGACATTATATTATGTAAAGGGAGTAAATAAAGATGAATAGGAAATTACTCCTGCCCTCAAGGAACTTACATTAAAAATAATAATATTAATTTACCATAAAATAGCTTTCTGAAATGAATGCATTTTCAAGTTACATACCTTGAAAAATAATGGCCTAAAAGTAATATATTCAATACCATCTATATTGTTTTACTATCCTTCTATTTATAAAATATTGAGAATTATAAAACAAAACATTTTTACGTAAGCATTATATAGACTTCTGTAATAGGTAAGAGGCATGGTTTGTTGGGTTACCTGAATTTGTTTAAGTTCCTGGCTCAATGGATTAACATGGATATTATATAGAACTTCATATGTTCATTCATTCATTAACTCATTATTCCATTTATTTAACATTTGTGCATATAATATAAATATTGTGTAAAAAATACTTGATTAAGGCCTGGGCATACAATTTTAATGCAACCATAAACAACAAACAAGAAAAATTCCTTGTTCATTTAATGTGGGAATGGCTACAGGGATAGGTATTGTAAGAAAACCCCAAGAGACTCAGGAAATGATACGGGGGAAATGTAGGGGGAAAAGAAGCATCTTTTGAAAGTTCTTCCTACAAGCATCATTGGTGCAGCTTAAAATTATTTTTACTTCAGAGAACAGTGGGCTAGAAAGACAACAGCCATTGTGTACTCTGGATTGCTGAAAATTTGAGAAGCAAATCTGCCACAATTCAAGAGATTTTCTGGATGCCTCCAAGATTTAATGTAAATCCTAGTGAAAGAAGGTTCTCTTTTCTTAATGATGTGTTGCTTTAATTGTTCATTATGATCTTGGTGGGAAAGGAAAACAGTACATGCAAACAAGTCTTGGGAAACATGGAAGGTGCAACATGAAAGTAAGTGTCTTCTAAGGAATGATGTAACCCACCACCTTGTGTTGGTTTGAAAGGAAAATATTTGAATCTGATAAGCCAGGTAGAGCAGTTTAAGTCAATCCTATAAAATTTAACATCTCACAGTTCAAAAAACTAGTCAGTAAATTGTGAACATTTTACTTCTCTAGAAAAATTGACTATGACTCATTGGACTAGCATATTAACAAAAGAGATTTAATGAAAGCAGAGTTAAATGTTCTATTATCAGGGGAAACCACTCCCAATATTTCAACATAGGTTCTTTCTATTTTCCTATAAGTGTCAGCTGGCTGAGAAATAAAGAGAAAGAATACAAAGAGAGGAATTTTACAGCTGGGCATCTGGGGGTGACATCACATATCGGTAGAACCATCATGACCACCTGAGCCTTAAAGCCAGCAAGTTTTATTACGGATTTCAAAAGGAGAGGGGGTGTAAGAACAGGGAGTAGGTCACAAGATCACATGCTTCAAAGGGCAAAAAGGAGAACAAAGATCACAGGCTTCTGAGGAAACAGGACAAGGGCAAAATCACAAACTCTTGATAAGGGTCCAACAAAGATCACAAGGCAAAGGGCAAAAGCAGAATTACTGATAAGGGTCTCTGTTCAATGGTGCACATATTGTCTTGATAAACATCTTAAACAACAGAAAACAGGGTTCGAGAGCAGAGAACCGGTCTGACTTCAAATTTACCAGGGTGGGGTTTTTACGCATCCTAGTAAGCCTGAGGGTACTGCAGGAGACCAGGGCATATTTCAGTCCTTATTTCAACCGCAGAAGATAGACACTCCCAAAGTGGCCGTTTATAGACCTCCCCACAGGAACACATTCCTTCCCCAGGGTATTAATTATTAATATTCGTTGCTAGGAAAAGAATTTAGCGATATCTTCCCTACTTGCACGTCTGTTTATAGGCTCTCTCCAAGAAGAAACATATGGCTCCATTTTGCCTGACCTTGCAGGCAGTCAGACCTTATGGTTGTTTTCCCTTGTTCCCTGAAAATTGCTGTTAATCTGTTCTTTTTCGAGGTGTACTGATATCATATTGTTCAAACACACATGTTTTACATCAATTTGTACAGTAAACACAATTGTAACAGTGGTCCTGAGGTGACGTAGATCCTCAGCTTAAGAAGATAACAGGATTAAGAGATTAAAGGAAGACAGGCATAAGAAATTATGAAAGTATTATTTAGGAACTGGTAAATGTCCATGAAATCTTCACAATTTATGTTCCTCTGCCTTGGGTCCAGCCGGTCCCTCCGTTTGGGGTCCCTGACTTTCCACAACATTCTGTCTTCCAACAGTCCTATTTTTTCTCACTCAGGCTTATTATGAACATGTTATCTGCAGTGAAAATTATATGTAAAAGGTATGATAAATTGTGGAGCTATTTTATATTGACTTCTTAAATAGATTAGTGGAAGCCATTTCTTAATTGTGTTTGGATAAAAACACATCTTTTGCCTTATGCTTGACTTGGTTATATGCATTCAAATTTGACGTTGGTTTTCTTATCTTAGATTTTGTTTTTATAGAGGAAACTAGGTGAAAGAAACCTATAAAAATGAATAATTAACTTAGATATTACATGTAAAACATAACTCATAATGCCCACATTATTGTCAATGATGATAGTATGACTTATACAGCTTAAAGGCATGGTTCTTATCTGTGGGGAGAAAATAAGAAATACTATTTTTTGTTATTGTATTGTGATAAAATTATAATAGTATGGAAATCTGAAATATAGATTGTTGAGTCCTGACAAATGCACATACCTGTGCAAGCATCACTCCAATAAAGGTATAGACTTCTATCACCCTAGAAAGTTCCCCTATGCCCTTTTCCAGTCAGTCACCCTAGCCCACCTCCCCATAGGCAACCACTGTACTTTTAAAAAAATTTTTCATATCCTTTACAAGAGAGAGCTATTATGATTAGTAATTATTTCATGAGTACTTAGGAAATAATTGAGATACTCAAAAAAATTTAAAGTTGAATAGAAATTATTACTACTCTTTTAAAAATGTTATCTAAACAAGGGACCCCTACATTTTTTTAAAAAAAGAAATATTTGGGATAGAAGAATAATCCGATGCTACATTAGAAGACAGAATAGCCATTTTTGTTTTCTTTTTCAATTTTATTCAATTAAAATATCTGCTAATTAAATATCAAAACAAAGTTTGTTTTTGCAAAAGTGATATGAGTAGTAATGGGGTTTTACAATGAAAACATTTGCCTCCATCCTAGGTGGGAATTCGTAAAGGATGAAACCCTCCAATAAGAAGGAGCTTTCCTCAACAGACCAAGGTACATATTGGGTAGAATGAAAGATTTTTAAAAATTGAGTGTTGAATATGTAAGTATCTTCCCCAAAGAGAACTTGAGGTCCAGAAACAGAAATAATGTGTTATGCAATTTTTAGTGTTCTGCAGACTTTGAGGCTTAGGAAATATCTGCTTATCAAAAAGTTTGTTGCCTGAATATTTACCTTAAACACTAATTGGTGTGAACTTTTTCTGATGCCATGATGCCTAAACAAATACTATGAACAGAAGAAGAAAGAGTCCTTATTTTGAATTTCTACAGTTAGATGAATCAAGGAGATTGTGTGTGCTGGAATTAGATGGTGTGCATTGTCAAAATAAAAGACTGCATATTTAAATGCAAGCAGGAACCAGACTAATAGTATGTAGGTATGGAAATGGCCTTCTGGGAACCAGTGAGTACATGATTATCTAAATGGAGCACTCTCTAATCAGCTCCAGTTCATTGTAGCCATGAATAAATTATTATGAAGACCCACTTATAGACTGGAATTCAAATTTTTTACTGAAATAGAGTAAACCTCCCAAATAATAAAGATTGATAGCCAATTCATTTTTTAGTACCAAAGATAACTCTCTGGGCTCCAAAAATATTCATATGGAAAGTCATATTGGAACCCTTAGATTGCCAGCTGGAGGTACTATTCCAGATCAATAGAAAATATTCACAACAATATTCTACTCCTTAAGAAAAAATATTTAAAAAAATAGAAAGCTCACCAGGAACTATATAACTCAAAGATACTAATTAGTGAATCTAGGAATGGAACCAAGATCGATTGCAGTTAAGGCTCATTCCTTTCATATTAGAACATGCTAGATAACAACATGGAAACCTAGATAAGAAACAGTTTTAACTAGAAGAAGGGGTAGACAGCATGAAATTCTGTAAAGGCATCAAGTTAGAAGGGCTGAAGAATGTCTGTTGAAATTGGCCAATTTGAAGTCCTGCTTAACCAGAGCCAAGTTACAACAAATTCCACTTACGTGGAATGTGACATACAAATCCCTTCAACGACTCTCAGTGAAAGTTGTAATTAAAATGATACTGACTCCATCTCAACAATCACAGCTGCTTGCTGTTTTGATAAAGTATAACCATTTATAGGCTTCATGGTAGGATGTGAAAGGCAAGAAAAATATGACCAAGGTTAATAACAGAGGTTAACCTAGGAAATGCATCTGGGACATGTATTATAACGTGTAATCCATTTTCTCTAACAAAGCCACTTCAGTGAAGGCTATTTGGTTAGATTTTGACAGGAAACAAAGGGTTTGAATGAAGAAATTTTAAAGATAGGCCTCCTTACAGAATTATATGCAGGGTTAAGAAAAAATAAAAAACAAATACCAACAAAAACAAGAGCACTGTATCCATAGCTAACAACAATCTGAAGTCCTTACTACATCTATGGTTGAATGGGCAAGAAGAGTAAACCATATCATCAGAGCACTTGAGATTGAAACCATGGAGAAGAGGGCATCTGCTGGGGGTGGGAGTTATTTAGAAATTCAACAAATACTTAAGGAAGGTGCCACAGCAAGGAAGAAGTAGAGCAGTAATACTCTAAATTTCTCTTCTGTTTTCTCTTTTCTCCTACCCTCTGATGTTCTGTGGTGCTCTACATTGGCAAAATCACATGGCAAGCCAGTCAGCAGGGGGTCCAGGTGAAGCAGATTCCAAGGTCTGCCTCTCATGACCCAAAACAGGGCAGGGAAAGGTGGAAAGCAGATACCTGGGGCCGAAAGAATGTAACCAGTATAAGGAATTAGTATTTTCCTTCTAAACATGAGAGGAAAAATAGAAATCACTAGTACAGTTATGCATTTCTCTAACTCATTACATAATGCCTCTGTGTTTTATTTTAGACAAAAAGGATGTGTAATATTTGGAATTGTGTTCAACACATTGAAGTAGGTATATGTGATACTCAAATATGAGATGCACTATTTTCAATTTACTAAATATTTACTGTTTGACTTGCTATTACGAGATTTGTTCTGAGATGATTGGATATACTTGTTTACAATCAAAGGCAGAACAAAGAATAGGCTTGAAGTGCAAGATGAAGAATTTATTATTAGCACTAGTAAGACTATGACATTGTATTAAATATTTATCTGTGTGAGCTGACTTAGATTAGTAAAACTACAGACAGAGATGAAAAATCAGGTTTCTTCACACCTAGGTTGTAATTTTTTCTAACGGATGTTCATCTAAAAATAGAAAGGCTAGAATTTAGTAATTCCTGCTCACAGGTCCAAAGAAATTTAATCTATTCATAATGTCAATTTATGAGAACAAATGTCATGGAAATAATTGCTTTAAGAATTTTTCCCCCATAAACATAAGCAAATAACAGGCTATCAGCATCTGTAATGTATACTTGCATGTGCCAGTATAGAATCACTCTGTGGGATTTGTTTATGAGCTTCAATGTCAAAACTACACTCAATAGAGGCGATTTCTAGAAAAAATTTAAATAGCAGGTTCTTATTTACCATATTTTACCATATATGACTGCACTACAAATAAAAGACTAGACATTTTTTCCCACAAGTCATCTGAAAAATGCCATACAAATAAACCCTTTTCTCCCACCTGAAGAGTGTATTAGATTCCTGGGGTTATACAAAATACCACAAACTGGGTGGCTGAAAACAACAGAAATTTCTAGGCTTACAATTCTGGTAACTGGAAGTCTGAAACAAGACTTCAGGGCCATCTTCTAGCTGAAATCTCTAGGGAGATCCTTCCTTCCTTGCCTCTTCCTATCCTTTATTGGCTTGCCAGCATATAGTCAAAGAGGGAAAGCTTCTCCTTTACCCTCTGAAGGTTTGCTGAAAATGAACTGACAAAAGGCAGCTTAATTGGAGAAAAGGACATACAAAATTTATCTAATGGCATAAACACTAGGGAATTGCAGAAGAATGATTACCCAATAACTCAATGAGGTCCAGATGCTTATATACCCTACTTTATCTGGGATGGTGAGATGGGGGTTGTAGGATTAAGTCATTTTAGGTGAAAGTAATGAGCACAAACGCAATGACCTGGGACTGTTTATCTGAGCTCTGGGGTAAGTGTTGGTAAGGCGAGGGGTGGAACTTCACTATAAGCAAATGTCGTATTACGCAGATAAAGTCTCCCAGATAATCTCCTGAAGTTATTCACAAAAGAATAGACAAAAATTCTCTCTGAGTGTGAGGAAAATGCCCAGTCTGTTCTCTTCTCTGGTGGTTAATCTTCACTGATTATTTGATAAGATCACTAAGGAGGGAGGGGGTCTTAACACAATTGTATTTCTTTTGGGGAGAAGTTATTTTAGTCAGATAAGGAAATTCCAGTAAAGTCTCTCCCAGCGCTTTGGGGGGAAAAAAAAAGAATTGGCAATTTGTAGGTGGCAGGAATGGGTGAGGAATGGTTGGGGGGGTGGGGAGGTAGGAGTAGAGGGTGTTAGGGAGCCAGAGAGACACTTTGGTTCTGAAGCTGGTTTCTGAAGCCTTTTAATTTTCTATAATTAAAAGCACTCAGCATTCCAAAGCCTGATATTTTGGAGTATTGTTTTGTGCACCCCAACACCAGGAATCTTTGGATTTCCTTGCCTTGCAACTGCACAACTCCAGTACTTGCCTTCCTCATCACGTGGCCTTCTCCTTGTGTGTCTCTTGTCACATGGTTATTTTCTTCTAAGAACACAAGGCAAATTGAATTAGAGATCCACCCTACTCCATCATGGCCTAATTTTAACTTAACTAATTATATTTGCAAGAGCCCTGTCTTAGTCCATTTTGTGCTGCCATAACAAAGTACTTGAGACCGGGTAATTTACTAAAAGCCAAAATTTATTTCCTCACCATACTGGAGGCTGGGAATTCTAAGATTAAAACGCTTACATCTGGCCATTGTCTTCTTGCTCATCATCACAATGACAGAAGACATGACATGGCAAAAGGACAAAGAGAAAGAGAGTAAGACAGGGTGAACCCACTCCCTCAATAATGGCATTAGTGCATTCATGAAGAAGCCTCATGACCTTAACACCTCTTACAAGTTCCACCTCCCAATACCATCACAATGGAAATAATTCAATTTTAACATGAGTTTTGGAGGAGACAAACATTAAATCAATAGCAGACATTATTACCAAATAAGGTCAGATTCTAAGGTATAGGGATTAGGACTTCAAAATATCTTTTAGGGGGACACATTTCAATCCACAACAAAGAGTAAGGAATGAAATTTTAAGCACATGTCTAGAAATGGACACTGAATAAGTTCTTATAAAATAGTTCTATCATCATTCTATTTTTTTTAACAAAAACCACTTCTAATGTTTGTTCGAATAACTTTTGATAGTTGATTCAAAAGTAGCCATTTGAAATATAAACTAAATAGTATTTTAATGCATTCAGTAATCAAAAGCTACTTTAATTTTCTATCACCATCCCATTTTATTGGCAAGTTGTCTTGGTATTAGAAATACTTAGAGTTTTAGGAGGATTAATTGGGATAAATCAAGATAGGATAATATTGGAGGAAGAAGATTAGTTTTAGTGTGTTGCTATAATTCAGGCTATAAGAAATAGGGCCTAATTTAGACTTAAAAAAAGGAATAGAAAGGAGGTGACATGATATGGTGTGGAATATTCTGGCGTTAATATGTTAGTTCTATTAAAAGATTGTGCATTAGCTAAAAATCTTTGAAAAAATCAAGTTTCATTTTTGATAGAAAAGTAAAAAGGAACTTTATTAGATAGGCAGTTCAAACATCTAGGAAAATACTTATTCATCCTTTCACCCATTTATTGGATGAATAGTTATTGATGATTTCTGCAGGCCAGACAGGATAAAACTATGGCTATGAATAAAACAAGCCTACTTGGATTAAACATTTTTATAGAGTAAGATGAACAAGAAACCTATGATATATTTGTGGCAAAGAATGTAAAACATATGCAGGATAAGGGGAATGAGAGTGCTTAGGTTGGGAGTAAGAGGATTGCTCTTTTACAAAGAAGGGAATGGCTTTTCTGATCAAGTGACTTGAGAAGAAAACTGAAGGAAGGGAGTGAGCCTGCCATAAGGATACCTGGGGAGAATGCTAGCAGGAAATGGGAAATTAGCAAGGCCCTGGAGGGAAAGCAGGTTCAAGGGACAGCAAGGAGGCCACTGTGTTTGGAACACAGTAAGCAAGACAGGAGTGCCCTTGAATGACACTGGAAGCATAAACAGGCCTTGTAGAGCACTGTAAGGACACTGACTTTGAATTTGCCTCAATTAAGCAGCAGTTTTTAAGAGGTGCAGATGCTGTTGTCACCTTAGAGAGGAAACACTGCAGGTCGTTGAAATAATCATGGGAACAGAAGCTTCAGCCAGCACCTCCACCGCTACTGTTTCTGAAAGCTCAATTACTCTGCCACCCTTAATCAATTCTAAATGTCATGTTTTCATTCACTTTATTCTCTCTAAATTTAAGTCTCTGATGGCTGTGTCTGATTGTGAGAGTTTAGGTCACAAGCCCTTGAAAGGCTATGGTAAAAGTTTCAGGCTTTCACCTTGAGGTGGGTCTCAAAGAGCAGAAATCCCCAAATATGGAAAGCATGGTCAAAGCATAACAAATGTCCTGTACATATTGAAGGTTGAGGGAAAAGGAAAACTCAGAGTTAACCCTGAGTATTTGAGTCAAAGAGTTTAGGACGTTAGTTGTAACTTGAGCAAAAGTGTTGGAAGAAGAGTGTGTTTGTGGAAAATGAGATGAATTTAATTTAGAATAAGGAAAATTTAAGGCAACATAGACCAAGTAGAATTACGCACCTAAGAAGTGACAATGAATATGGACAGAAGGATGAAACTGAGGTTTGATGAAAACATAGATTTTGAAGCCAAATTCATAGATTTACACATTGTCCATGGCCAATATATATTCTTTTTGGAAATTAAGCACTGACAATTTAACAATTGGTGAATGGAAGTACTCACTACATTTGTTGCTGTCAATGGTGGGGTGGGAGTAGCAAGAGAATATGATGGATCTGAATACACTAAGGTGAAAAAAGAAGAAATTGAGAGCAAGAGTGATATAGTATGACACAGAAATTAAACATTCAAAAGGAAGAAGAGATAGTAAAAGGAAGAAGAGATAGTTAAAAAGGGGATTAGATAAAAAAGCATTGTGTTTTATTTTTGGTTCAAAAAGAAAGATGTCTTCTTCTGCAAAGTAGGTATACAAACATATTTTTTTCAATAAGAAAACATTTTAAATTTTTTTAAATTTAAAATTAAAATTTGTTTAAAAATTATTTTATAAAGAAGAAAATTGTTTAAAAGGAAGAAACAAATTTCAACTGGAGATATGGGAATTTCAGAAAATATACAACCTTATTTATTTGTATTATACAATCATACATACTACTTGTTATAAAATGCAAATTACATAGAAATGTTTAAAACATTGCAAAAAGGAAAATGCCTTCATCAAAAACTTTTTTTTATCCTATCCTAACCCTTTCCCGAAGGCTAAGTACATTGTTAAAAGTTCACTATGCATTTGTAAGGGCGTGCATATTTGTATATACGTGTATGTACATTTACATAGTCACATGAGAAACTTGCATATTAGAATCAATGGGTTTGTGACTAATATAAATATTAAGAAATATTAAAACAACACACACTATTTTTTCAAACTTTATTAGCCCTGTTAAGAGTATGTCAGGTTGCAATAAGAAATTAATTCCCAAATTTGAATAGATTAATAAAACAGATTTATTTCTCACTTAGGTAATAGTATAATGCAAGTGAGTCAGGAACTCTATTACATAAATAAAGTCATTCAGCACCTCCGACTGACAAAGATTCCACTTTTTGTAGTTGTATCACTTAAAACATGTAGCCTCTTTTCTAGGCTTCAGCCAGGAAGTAGCACGCTTTACTTCCCTTTACAGCACACATTGGGCAGAACTGGTCATATTTTCTTGCCTTACTACAATGGTACAGAGATATGTTGGAAAGCACATTTGTAGTCACCAAGCAGTAAACAACTCTCACATGCTGACTCACAAGCACATCATACTACTTGTCACGTGTGTCCGTGTGAAGAGACCACCAAACAGGCTTTGTGTGAGCAATAAACTGTTTTAATCACCCGGGTGCAGGCGGTCTGAGTCCGAAAAGAGTGTTAGAGAAGGGATATAGGGCTGGGGCTGTTTTATAGGATTTGGGTGGGTAGTAGAAAATTACAGTCAAAGGGGGTTGTTCTCTAATGGGGAGGGGCAGGGGTCACAAGGTGCTCAGTTGGGGAGCTTCTGAGCCAAGAGAAGGAATTTCACAAGGTTAATTGCTCAGTTAAGGTGGGGCAGAAACAAATCACAGTGGTGGAATGTCATCAGTTAGGGCAGAAACTAGCCATTTTCACTTCTTTTGTGATTCTTCACTTGCTTCAGGCCATCTGGATGTATACGTGCAGGTCACAGGGCATATGATGGCTTAGCTTGGGCTCAGAGGCCTGACATTCCTGTCTTCTTATATTAATAAGAAAAATAACATAAAATAGTGTTGAAGTGTTGGGGCAGCAAAAATTTTTTTGTGGTGGTATGGAGGGATAATGGGCGATGTTTCTCAGGGCTACTTCGAGCAGGATTAGGGAACCTAGAGTGGGAGAGATTAAGCTGAAGGAAGATTTTGTGGTAAGGGATAATATTGTGGGGTTGTTAGAAGGAGCATTTGTCATATAGAATGATTGGTGATGGCCTGGATACGGTTTTGGATGAATTGAGAAACTAAATGGAAGACACAGGGTCTGGATAAGGGAAGGAGAAAAACAGATATTAGAGGACTAAGAATTGGGAGTACCAAGGACAACCAATTAGAGAGTGCCTAAGAGGGTTCAGCATAATTACTTGCTTGGTTGGCAAGTTTAGCTCTATCCTTGAGTTTTTTTATGTTGTCATACACCAGGCAAGATTTATTTAGGTAAAAACAACACTTTTCATTTAAAAATATACACAGTCCTTTTTTTTTTTTTTTTTTTTTTGCAGTGAGTAAGTTGAGGCCTCGGTGATTTTGGAGGAAGAGAAATGCAAAGCCAGCAATTGTTTGTTAAAGAAGGATTAGAAACAGCTAGGAGAGACTGAGAGAGATTGATAGTGTGGTGGAGATAGCTGGGGAGAAGTAGAGGGTGGCATAAGAACGGGAATGAGAAAAAGAATGTGTATAAAAGTAAAGAATAGGACTTCATCAGGGTGAAAGTACTGGAGTGTACCCTGTCAGCAAAGATTATCTACTTTAAGAGAGACTTAAGGGTGGAGGTTTGAGGTAAAACCAAGAGATGTCAGTTATGATGGTTTGAAGGAAAAGTATAAACTGGCAATGTAAACAAGGGCAGGGTATTTATGAGTAGTTGAGAATGGTGAATAGGAGCATGACTAGACAGAAGATAGTAGGGATGACAAGTTTTTGGGGTGCAGTTCAAGTTGGGGCAGTGTCAGGAATGAGACTGGGGCCTAATAAAATGGAGTGTCCATACAGGAGCTTAAATGGGCTGTACCCTGTAGCACCCCAAGGACAGACCTGAATTCTGAGAAGGGCAAGGGGTAAAAGTATTGTCCAGTCCTTTTTAAGTTGGAGGCTGAGCTTGGTGAGGTGTGTTTTTAAAAGACCATTAGTCTGTTTTACCTTTCCTGAAGACTGAGGATGGTAAGTGGTATGAGGGTTCCACTGAATACCAACAGCCTGAGAAACTGCTTGGGTGATTTGACTAATAAAGGCTGGTCCGTTATCGGACTGTATAGAGGTGGGAAGGCCAAATCGAGGAATTATATCTGACAGAAGGGAAGAAATGATTGTGGTGGCCTTCTCAGACCCTGTGGGAAAGGCCTCTAATCATCCAGTGAAAGCGTCCACCCAGACCAAGAACTATTTTAGTTTCCTGACTCCAGGCATGTGAGTAAAGTCAATTTGCCAGTCCTGGGCAGGGGTGAATCCCCAAGCTTGATGTGTAGGGAAGGGAGGTGGCCTGAGAAATTCCTGAGGAGTAGTAGAATAGCAGATGGAACACTGAGAAGTGATTTTTTGAGGATAGATTTTTATGATGGAGAGGGAAAGAGAGGTTTTAAGAGGCAGGCTAGCGGCTTGTAACTTGCATGGAAGAGGTTATGAAATGATGACAGAATAGAATGGGCCTGTGAGGCTAGAAGGAGATATTTTCCTTGGTCCAAGAACTATTTGCCTTGTGTTGGAAGAGATTGATAGGTGGAAGTTTCAGTTGGGGAGTAGGTGGGAGTGACTGATGAGAAGGAGAAAAACTGGCTGTGAGAGACAGAAGTTGGAATGCTAGCTGCTTCTTTAGCTACTTTATCAGCATAAGTGTTGCCCTGAGCAATGGGATCTGATGCCTTCTTGATGGCCTTTGCAATGAATGACTCCAGCTTCCTTTGGAAGTAAAGCGGCCTTGAGAAGAGTTTTTATTAAAGAGGCATTAAGGATGGAGGACTTTTGCGAAGTGAAGAAACCTCTTTTTGCCCATTTAACAGAATGGTGGTGCAGGATATGGAAGGCATATTTAGAGTCAGTATAAATATTGACACGTAGTCCTTTTGCAAGAGTGAGGGCTCGAGTTAAGGCAATGAGTTCGGCTTGCTGAGAGGTAGTGGAGGGGGGCAGAAAGTATATGCATCAGGTGTGAGGAAGAAAATAGATTTTGGAAGTTATAAGAACTGTAGAGAGTGAGTTGAGCATAGTTTGTGATTTTGAGGGCCTCTAAAAGTATTAAAGCAGCAGCAGCTGCTGCATACAGACATGAGGGCTAGGCTAAAACAGTAAGATCAAGTTGTTTGGACAGAAAGGCTACAGGGTGTGGTCCTGGCTCTTGTGTAAGAACTCCGACTGCACAGCCCTGCACTTCAGCTTTGTGTAATGAAAAGGGAGTGATGAGTTAGGGAGAGCTAGTGTGGGAGCTGTTTTTTAAGGAATGGAAAGGGGAGTGGGGAAAGGATTTAGGATTTATGGGGTCAGCTAGGTTTATCTAGAACAGAATAATGGGTTGTAGAGGGAGGTATTGAGAATAGGAGAGTATATGGGTTTGGCACCATGGGGTGGATAGGAAAAATAATTTGGTTGATAAGGTGCAGATCCTGAACTAACCTGTAAGGCTTGTCCGTTTTTAGGACAGGTAAAATGGGGGAATTGTAAGGAGAGTTTATAGGCTTTAAAAGGCCATGCTGTAACAGGTCAGTGATAACAAGCTTTAATCCTTTTAAAGCATACTGTGGGATGGGATATTGGCATTGAGCAGGGTAAGGGTGATTAGGTTTTAATGGGATGGTAAGGGGTGCATGATTCGTCATCAAGGAGGGAGTAGAGGTGTCCCATACTTGTGGGTTAAGGTGGGGAGATACAAGGGGAGGATGTGAAGGAGGCTTTGAACTGGGGAAAAGGGCAGCAATGAGGTATGGCTGTAGCCTAGGAATAGTCAGGAAAACAGATAATTTTGTTAAAATATCTCAGCCTAATAAGGGGACTGGGCAGGTGGGGATAACTAAAAAGGAGTGCATAAAAGAATATTGTCCAAGTTGGCACCAGATTTGGGGAATTTTAAGAGGTTTAGAAGACTGGCCGTCAATACCCACAACAGTTATGGAGGCAAGAGAAACAAGCCCTTGAAGGTAATGTGGAGTGGGTAGCCTCCATATTGATTAAGAAGGGGTTGGACTTATCCTCCGCAGTAAGAGTTACCAGAAGCATCTGTGATGGTCCAGGAGGCTTCCGAGGTGATCACGCAGTGTCAGTCTTCAGCCGCTAAGCTGAGAAGATCTGGGAAGAAGTCAGTCAGAGCCTTGGGCCAGTTGGACAGTTCAATTTCCAGTGGGGTCCTGCACAGATGGGACACGGCTTAGGAGGACTCCCGGGCTGCGGGCATTCCTTGGCCCAGTGGCCAGATTTCTGGCACTTGAAGCAAGATCCTGGGGGAGGAAGTCCTGAAGGAATGCCTGACTGCTGTGGCTTAGGTGTTTTGAAGTTCTTGTGCACTGCAGCTGTGGTTGAGGTTTCTCTCATAGTGGAGGCAAGTAATTGCAACTCTTCTTTATTATTGTACACCTTGAAGGTGAGGTTAAGTCCTGTTGTGGGGTTTGAGAGCTAGAATTTAATTTTTGGAGCTTTATTTAATGTTGGGAGCGGATTGGGTAATAAAATGCATATTGAGAATAAGACTGCCTTCTGACCCTTCAGGGTCTAGGGCTATAAAGCGTCTAAGGGTTGTTGTCAAATGGGCCATAAACTGGGCTGGGTTTTTATATCTGATGAAAAAGAGCCTAAATGCTAACTGATTTGGGAGAGGTTGGTTAAAGAAAAAGAAGCATTAACTTTGACTATGCCTTTAGCTCCAGCCACCTCTTTAAGAGAAAATTGTTGGGCAGGTGGGGGAGGGCTAGTAACAGAATGGAACTGTAAGCTGGACTGGGTTTGGGGAGGGGAGGTGATAGAAGGATTATAGGGTGGAGGAGCAAAAGCTGAGGAAGAATTGGAGCCTGATTCAGCCTGGCGGGGAGCGACCTGAGGAGCAGTCTGGGGATGAGGGGAGAGGTCAGATGGGTCTGTAGAAAAGGAAGATTGAAAAGACACAGTGACGCTTGGGGTTGGGTTGGGACTGAGGGGAAAGGTGGGAGGGAAAGAAGGATGATTTGGGATGAGTCACATTGGGAACAGAGACTAGGGAGGGATCAATGTGTAAAAGAATGGCTGGATGTCAGACACCTCAGACCGTTTTCCCATTTTACAAGAATTATCTAGATCTTGTAGGATGGAAAAATCGAAAGTGCCTTTTTCTGGCTATTTGGAACCATTGTCGAGTTTGTATGGGGGTTAAGCGGCATTGCAGAAGAAAATAAGGCATTTAGGTTATAGGTCAGGTGTGAGTTGAAGACGTTTTAAGTTCTTAAGAATACTGGATAAGGGAGAAGAAGGAGGAATGGAGGGTGGAAAGTTGCCTATAGTGAAGGAGGCAAGCCCAGAGAAAAGAGAGGGTAGAGACATGGAGAAAAGGGGTGGGGGGTGCTTGCCCCCCAGGAAAGTGGTGCTTGCCACTAAGGGTGAAGGATCAAGGGAGGTGTCCCCGCAGTGATCAGACACTTCTGCAATGTGGGTGAATAATCTAGCAGGCATCCCTGCAGTGATTAAACACCAAGGGAAGACTGTCTTCCCGAGTGTGTGACCGGCGCCAGAGTTTTGGGTTCACAGATAAAATGCGTCTCCTCTGTCTCTACCAGAAAAGGAAAGGAGCTGAAATTAAGAGAAGGGAGAGATTGAAGGATGGCACCAAGATTGAAAAGAGAAAGAGGTTGAGGGATAGTGAGGGAGGTTGGAGAAGAGAGTAAAAAGAGGCCGCTTACCAGATTTAAAATTGGTGAGATATTCCTTGGGCTGATTGGTCTGAGGGCCAGAGGTCGTAGGTGGATCTTTCTCACAGAGCAAAGAGCAGGAGGACACGGGACTGATCTCCCAAGTGCGGTCCCCCAATTCAAGTCACAGCACCAAATGTCACACATGTCCATGTGAAGAGACCACCAAACAGGCTTTGTATGAGCAAAAAAGCTTTTTAAATACTTGGGTGCAGGCGAGCAAGTCCAAAAAGAGAGTCAGCAAAGGGAGACAGGTATGGGGCCATTTTATAGGATTTGGGTGGGTAGTGGAAAATTACAGTCAAAGGGGGTTGTTCTCTTGTGGGGAGGGGCAGGGGTCACAAGGTGCTTAGTGGGGGAGCTTCTGAGTCAGGAGAAGGAATTTCACAAGGTTAATTGCTCAGTTAAGGTGGGGCAGAAACAAATCACAATGGTGGAATGTCATCAGTTAAGGTGGGGCAGAAACAAATCACAATGGTGGAATGTCATCAGTTAAGGCAGACACCAGCCATTATCACTTCTTTTGCGATTCTTCAGTTGCTTCAGGCCATCTGGATGTGTACGTGCAGGTCACAGGGGATATGATGGTTTAGCTTGGGCTCAGAGGCCTGACACTACTGACGTAATATTGAGGTTCCAGAATAAAGACAGAGTAATAATAGAGAGTTTATTATCACAATGTTGGTAGGTAAATATAAACCTCCTATGACCACATAATTCATGATTTCAAGTAATTAGCTTTTATCAAAAATATTTTTAAAAACATAGTTTCTTATTCTAAACATATATTGTCTTAATTTGTTTTATGCTGCTATTAACAGAATACCTGAGACTGGGTAATTTATAAGGAACAGGGATTTATTCCTTACAGTTCTGGAGGCTGGAAAGTCCAAGGTCCTGGGGCCTGTATCTGGTGAGGGCCTTCTTACTGTATCATCCTATAGCAGGAGGTTGAAGGGCAAGAAAACATATGCTAGAAACGCAGATTAAGTGAAAGAGAGAGACAGAGAGAGAAGGGAAAGGGGGCAAAATTATACTTTTATCAGGAACCCACTTTCATGATAACTAACCCACATCTGCAACAATGGCATTAATCCACTAGAGCCCTCATGACCTAATCACCTTTTGAAGGTCTCACCTCTCAGCATTGCTTCATTCAGAATTGAGTTTCCAACAGGTGAACTTTAGGGGACACATTCAAATCATAGCACCAGCAGTTAAATCATTTCTCTACCAACCAAGCACACATAAAATAACCCCCTTTATGAATACTTAAATTCCATAGGAAATAACGTTAAACTTTTAAAGAGTGGCTATCTCATACTCCTAAGTAAAGAATAGTTAGAATACTTAAAATCAAACTTTTAATACTTTGGAAAGATCTTGGCCCTTGTTATTACACAGACATTGATATAAATTTACTTTTATACAAAATTGATATAGATTCAACCTAAAATTTATTGTGTCCCATACAAATATTCACTAAACTTTTTTTGTATCTTTTAGGGCAATGCTATAACCACTTCAACATACATTAACACATTTAGCCCTATTAGCAACTTGATGGTTAGGTGCTGTCATTGTTCCCACATTTAGTAAGTTACTTGTAAGAAGCAGATGAGTGCTTAATTTTTCTTACCAGTGACATCAACAGTTTTGCATTTGTTCAATATTTTTTATTAAATCGGTAACTGAGATTTGTGGCTTCTGTGCTTACCTTTCTCATTCCAATAATGTTTGAATTAAATAATATGGGCTTCTAATTTTCATTGGCATAAATAGGGTGACAAAAATTGTACTAATAGTTATCTTTTGGTATTCACAGGGGAATTGGTTCCAGGACATGCTCACATACAAAATTCATGGATGTAGAAGTCCTTGATATAAAATAGTATAGTAAATATTTGCATATAACCTATGTATATCCTCCTGTATACTTTAAATCCTTTCTAGATTATGTATAATCTAATGCAATATAAATACCATATAAATAGTTGTTATACTATACTGTTTTTATTTGTATTATTTCTTATTATTGTATTGATATTTTATATCAGTTTTTATTTATTTATTTGTTTATTTTTTGCAACAGGGTCTTACTCTGTCGCCTAGGCTGGAGTGCACTGGTATCACCACAGCTCACTGCAGCTTTGACCTCCCCAGCTGGGGTGATCCTCCCACCTCACCCTTCCAGGTAACTGGGACTACAGACACACAATACCATGCCTAGCTATTTTTTTATTTTTAATTATTTGTGGATACAAGGTTTTGCCATGTTGCCCAGGCTGGTCTCAAACTCCTGGGCTCAAGGGATCTACCTGCATCAGCCTCCTAAAGTGCTAGGGATTATAGGCATGAGCCACTGTGCCTGGCATTTATATTAGTGTTTTTTTTTAAATTTTTTTTAAATTATTATACTTTAAGTTTTAGGGTACATGTGCACAATGTGCAGGTTAGTTGCATATGTATACATGTGACATGCTGGTGCGTGCACCCACTAACTCGTCATCTAGCATTAGGTATATCTCCCAATGCTATACCTCCCCCCTCTGCCCACCCCACAACAGTCCCCAGAGTGTGATGTTCCCCTTCCTGTGTCCATGTGTTCTCACTGTTCAATTCCCACCTATGAGTGAGAATATGAGGTGTTTGGTTTTTTGTTCTTGCGATAGTTTACTGAGAATGATGATTTCCATTTTCATCCATGTCCCTACAAAGGACATGAACTCATCATTTTTTATGGCTGTATAGTATTCCATGGTGTATATGTGCCACATTTTCTTAATCCACTCTATCATTGTTGGACATTTGGGTTGGTTCCAAGTCTGTGCTATTGTGAATAGTGCCACAATAAACATACGTGTGCATGTGTCTTTATAGCAGCATGATTTATAGTCCTTTGGGTATATACCCAGTAATGGAATGGCTGGGTCAAATGGCATTTCTAGTTCTAGGTCCCTGAGGAATCGCCACACTGACTTCCACAAGGGTTGAACTAGTTTACAGTCCCACCAACAGTGTAAAAGTGTTCCTATTTCTCCACAACCTCTCCAGCACCTGTTGTTTCCTGACTTTTTAATGATTGCCATTCTAACTGGTGTGAGATGATATCTCATTGTGGTTTTGATTTGCATTTCTCTGATGGCCAGTGAAGGTGAGCATTTTTTCATGTGATTTTTGGCTGCATAAATGTCTTCTTTTGAGAAGTGTCTGTTCATGTCCTTCGCCCACTTTTTGATGGGGTTGTTTGTTTTTTTCTTGTAAATTTGTTTGAGTTCATTGTAGATTCTGGATATTAGCCCTTTGTCAGATGAGTAGGTTGCGAAAATTTTCTCCCATTTTGTGGGTTGCCTGTTCACTCTGATGGTAGTTTCTTTTGCTGTGCAGAAGCTCTTTAGTTTAATTAGATCCCATTTGTCAATTTTGGCTTTTGTTGCCATTGCTTTTGGTGTTTTAGACATGAAGTCCTTGCCTGTGCCTATGTCCTGAATGGTAATGCCTAGGTTTTCTTGTAGGGTTTTTATGGTTTTAGGTCTAACGTTTAAGTCTTTAATCCATCTTGAACTGATTTTTGTATAAGGTGTAAGGAAGGGATCCAGTTTCAGCTTTCTACATATGGCTAGCCAGTTTTCCCAGCACCATTTATTAAATAGGGAATCCTTTCCCCATTGCTTTTGTCAGGTTTGCCAAAGATCAGATATTTGTAGATATGCGGTGTTATTTCTGAGTGCTCTGTTCTGTTCCATTGATCTATATCTCTCTTTTGGTACCAGTACCATGCTGTTTTGGTTACTGTAGCCTTGTAGTATAGTTTGAAGTCAGGTAGCATGATGCCTCCAGCTTTGTTCTTTTGGCTTAGGATTGACTTGGTGATGTGGGCTCTTTTTTGGTTCCATATGAATTTTAAAGTAGTTTTTTCCAATTCTGTGAAGAAAGACATTGGTAGCTTGATGGGGATGGCATTGGATCTATAAATTACCTTGGGCAGTATGGCCATTTTCATGATATTGATTCTTCCTACCCATGAGCATGGAATGTTCTTCCATTTGTTTGTATCCTCTTTTATTTCATTGAGCAGTGGTTTGTAGTTCTCCTTGAAGAGGTCCTTCACGCGCCTTGTAAGGTGGATTCCTAGGTATTTTATTCTCTTTGAAGCAATTGTGAATGGGAGTTCTCTCATGATTTGGCTCTCTGTTTGTCTGTTATTGGTGTATAAGAATGCTTGTGATTTTTGTACATTGATTTTGTATCCTGAGACTTTGCTGAAGTTGCTTATCAGCTTAAGGAGATTTTGGGCTGAGACGATGGGGTTTTCTAGATATACAATCATGTCATCTGCAAACAGGGACAATTTGACTTCCTCTTTCCCTAATTGAATACTCTTTATTTCCTTCTCCTGCCTAATTGCCCTGGCCAGAACTTCCAACACTATGTTGAATAGGAGTGGTGAGAGAGGGCATCCCTGTCTTGTGCCAGTTTTCAAATGGAATGCTTCCAGTTTTTGCCCATTCAGTATGATATTGGCTGGGGGTTTGTCATAGATAGCTCTTATTATTTTGAGATACGTCCCATCAGTAGCTAATTTATTGAGAGTTTTTAGCATGAAGGGTTGTTGAATTTTGTCAAAGGTCTTTTCTGCATCTATTGAGATAATCATGTGGTTTTTGTCTTTGGTTCTGTTTATATGCTGGATTACATTTATTGATTTGCGTATATTGAACCAGCTTTGCATCCCAGGGATGAAGCCCACTTGATCATGGTGGGTAAGCTTTTTGATGTGTTGCTGGAATCGTTTTGCCAGTATTTTATTGAGGATTTTTGCATCAATGTTCATCAAGGCTAAAATTCTCTTTTTTGGTTGTGTCTCTGCCCAGCTTTGGTATCAGGATGATGCTGGCCTCATAAAATGAGTTAGGGAGGATTCCCTCTTTTTCTATTGATTGGAATAGTTTCAGAAGGAATGGTACCAGTTCCTCCTTGTACCTCTGGTAGAATTCGGCTGTGAATCCATCTGGTCCTGGACTCTTTTTGGTTGGTAAGCTATTGATTATTGCCACAATTTCAGCTCCTGTTATTGGTCTATTCAGAGATTCAACTTCTTCCTGGTTTAGTCTTGGGAAAGTGTATGTGTCGAGGAATTTATCCATTTCTTCTAGATTTTCTAGTTTATTTGCGTAGAGGTGTTTGTAGTATTCTCTGATGGTAGTTTGTATTTCTATGGGATCAGTGGTGATATCCCCTTTATCATTTTAGTGTTTTTTTAAAAAATATTTTCAATTTGCAGTTGATTGAATCTAAGGATGTTGAAACCATGGATATGGAGGGCCAAGCATGCTACCATTTTAGCCTCTTAATCTTTGATTATTGAATAGAGCTTGCTTAGCCAGTGCTCTATTGATAAGCAGTGGAGTATTTCCCCCCAATTTTTCTACTGAAAAAAAAATGTTCCTTGAATAGCTCAATTAAAGCACATGTATATTTCTTTCCCAAAATCTCCTCCAAAAAATGCTGAGGTTACACCTTCTCCCTACAGTGTTTGTGTGTGCCTTCTTTTCTTTATATATCAAATCATTGTCATCTGATAAAAAAGTAGTATATGCAATTTTTCTCATGTGAGTGGGTGTCAGTATCCCATATGCACCTTTACCTAGATTGCTTCTCATCTTTTTTGCATACATTTATATGCAGTTGTGTGTTATTTTCTTATTAATACAAAAGTCCTTTTTCTATGTGAGATGCTAAATAATCACACCTCCAAAGATGTTAATATCCTAGTCCTCAGAATCTGCTAATATGTTTCCTTCCATAGCAAAAGGGACTTCGCAGGTATTATTAAATTAAATATCCTGGGGAGATTATCCTGGATAATCTGGATGACTCAGTGTAATTCAAAGTGTTCATTAGAAAGATGCAAGAAGACAACAGTCACAGCAGGAGATGTGATGACAGAAGCAGAAGGAGAGAAGGTGATGCGATAATGGAGGCAGAGTAAGGCAATTACTAGAAGGGTACTGCCACCCAAGGAGTGTGGGCAGTCTTTAAGAAGCTGGAAAAGGTGAAGAACAGATTTACCCCTTACAATCTCCAGAAGGAATGCAGCCCAGCTGACCTTGATTTTCTCCTGTAAGATTCATGTAGTATATAAAAGTAAGTTCTTACCGCTTCCAGAAGTGTAAGATAATTCATTTGTGGTGTTTTAAGCCACTGTGTTTGCGGTATTTTATTATAGCAGCAATAGGGAATATGCAAAATGCTAAGGCAATTAGTCATTTGTCAATTGATACGTGTAATTGCTTTTCTTTTTTAAAAATTTTTTATTTTTATTAATAAGAATTTTCTTCACGTTCCGGGATACATGTGCAGAATGTGCAGGTTTGTTACATAGGTATACACGTGCCATGGTGGTTTGCTGCACCTATCAAGCCATCTTCTAGGTTTTAAGCCCCACATGCATCGAGTGTTCATCCTAATGCTCTCCCTCCCCTTATCTCCCATCCCTGACAGGCCTTCATGTGTGATGTTCCCCTCCCAGTGTCCATGTGGTCTCATTGTTCAACTCGCACTTATGAGTGAGAACATGCAGTGTCTGGTTTTCTGTTCCTGTATTAATTTGCTGATAATGATGGCTTCCAGCTTCATCCATGTCCCTGCAAAGGACATGATCTCATTCTTTTTTATGGCTGCATAGTATTCCATGTTGTATACGTGCCACATTTAAATGCCTATCAATCACAGACTGTGTATTTGCTTTTCTAACTCTGCCCTTTAGTCTTTGTTTCTATTTTTTGCCATAGTATATTTTAAGAATTTTATTTGTGTGTCATGTGTCACTTAATAACAGGAATACATCCTGAGAAATGTGTAAATGGATAATTTTACCTTTGTGTAAACCTGTATAACATGTTACTGTACTGAATACTATAGACAATACTAACACACTGTAAGTATTTGTGTATCTAAATGTAGAAAATTTAGTAAAAATACAATACTATAACCTTATGAGAACATCATTATATGTGATCACAGTGACATCACTGACCAAAGTGTCCTTATGTATTTCATGACTGTACTTAAGAATTCCCTTTTGCCCTACTGATTTGAGGTCCTATATTTACTAAAATCCCAAAGGTTTTGATGTTTATATCAGGGCAAGCTCTGAACTATATTTCATTAATTGATCAGCCAATATGTGGTCCAGTATCAGACTATTTTCATAAGCATAGTTTAATAATATATTTTAATAGCTTATGGCACATTCTACTCTCATTGCATTTCTTTTCCAGAGTTTTGCTGATTCTTTTCCCATGTGTGTTTTCCACAAGAACTTCTGTATAATTTTAAACTACATAATCATCATTATCACACCCTAAGAACTACAGAAACCAACAAACAATCTCTCTGATGATATTTGAGATAGTATTAACTGGATAGATTATTTTAGACAGGATATAACATATTTATAATATTGAAGAAAAATGAATTCAAAGGAAGCATATCTGATATTAAGATTTACTATAAAAGTTACAATAACTGAGGTAATGTGGTATTTGAGAAAAGACAGACACACAGATCAATAGAATAGAATAGCAAATCCAGAAATACAACCATAAAAATACTGCCAATTTCTGGCAAACAGGCAATGGGAATCCAAAGGAGAAGAGACAGTTATTTCAAGAAATGAAGTTGAACAATTGGACATTGACATAATGAAAAAAAGAACCTGCCCTAAATATTGCAATTTACTTGATATTAACTCAAAATGGAGCATAAGTCTAAATGTAAATCTATAATAATTTTGGAAGAAATATAGAAGAAAATTTTCATGACCTGAGGTTAGTTGTAGAGTTCTTAGACATATTCTGTAAGATAAAAATTGCTTTATAATGATAAATTGGACTTTATTAAAATTAAAAAGTTTTTTTTTTTTTTTTGATTTTCGCTCTTGTAACCCAGCCTGGAGTGCAATGGCATGACATTGGCTCACTGCAACTTCCGCCTCCCGGGTTCAAGTGATTCTCCAGCCTCAGCCTCTCAAGTAGCTGGGATTAGAGGTGCACACCAACACGACCGGCTAATTTTTGTATTTTTCAGTAGAGGCAGGGTTTCACCATGTGGGCCAGGCTGGTCTCGAACTCCTAAACTCAGGTGATCCACCCGCCTCAGCCTCCCAAAGTGCTGGGATTACAGGCATGAACCACTGCACCTGGCCTAAAATTAAAAAGTTTGTATGTCCAAACACATTTCTTCTAAAGGAGCAAATAGGTTGTAGACTTGGAGAAAGCATATGCAAACTACATATCTTACATGGCTTGTGGCCATAATATATAAAGATGTATTTTTAAACTCTCAGAACCCAACAGCAAGAAAACAAACAATTCAATTTAAAAATAGGCAACAGATTGAAAAGATATTTTTTAAAGGAGGATATGTGGATTAAAAATAAGTACATGAAAATATGTACAACATAATTAACCATTTGGAAAATTCAAATCAGAGTCACAATGATATTCTACTATGTACATATTAGGATAGCAAAATTTAAAATCAAAATTAGACATGGCTATAGTACTGACAAAGACAATTTTTGCAAGGATGTGGAACAATCGGCATTCTCATACATTGGTGGTGAGAATGCGGAATAGCATAGCCACTTACAAAAATTTTTAATTTTGTTATATGCTACTTAAACTTTTAACCTAACAAGCATCATTTCCCAAAAAGATCAGAAGATCCCAAGTGTTGGTGATGTCTTTTATAACTCTGATTACTTCAGAAATGTATTTCTTGAACCCAGCTGACACTCAGAAATGATTGCTTAGAAACGGGGTGTGGTGGCTCATACATGTAATCTCCACACTTTCTGGGGCTGAGATGGGAGACTCACTTGAGCCCAGGAGTTTGAGAAGTCTGGGCAACATAGGGAGACCCTGTTTCTACAAAAAACAAAACTATTAGCCAGATCTAGTGGCACACACTTGTAGTCCCAGCTACTTGGGAGGCTGAGGTGGGAGGACTGCTTGAGCCCGGGAGGTAGAGGCTGCAATGAGTGGCCACTGAGCTCCAGCCTGGGAAACAGTAAGACTTTTTCAAAAAAAAAAAAAAAAAAAAAGGATAACCTGTCTCAAAAGCCAAAAAAAAAAAAAAAAAAAATCAAAAGCAAAAAAAGAACGATTTCTTTGAAAGATGATAATTATACTTTTTTTGTTGGATTTAGATTGATGACAATTAAGATTTCATTAAAATTAAATGAAATGACTAATTTCTCTTCAACCTGAATAAGTATGTAAGAGTGCAAAGGAGATGTGAAAATATGCCCCCAAACCAGGATAAATCAGCCTTTTTTCCCTAATTTTTCATTTTTCGATGTTAAGAAAAAGAATACATTGAAAATCACAATTTGTCCTATTTTATATCTGAAATATTCAGAGAAGAGTAATAATGGCTTTTGTGTCAAGCAGGTAGGTGATTGATTTGGTTGCTTAATTCACTAGGTACCATATCACTTGGGACAAAGAAGAAAACAGCAGACTAACTGATTATGTTTGTCACTTCTAAGTCAGTAGATTCCTGGGGAGGCCTCTGGAGAAAAGCTGCCCAAGTGATGAATGGGGATTTGCACCCTCTGAATCGTATCCATGGATTTTAGTATTCTAGCCATCTTAATTATTTTCTTTCTATTTTTTGTTCATTTATAAATCTCTCAGAAAGAGGTAAAGAGACACTCTCCTTGGTGAACATTTAAAAACATCAAGGAAACTAACATAAAGCAGATACTACTAATTTTTTATTAAGTTGCTGAAAATAAAAGGAACATGTGAAAGGTTTATAGCTTCTTCATCAAGCTACAAGGAAGCGTATCGAACTGTAGGCATGATAGTGGCTTGGAATTAATGTATTCAGCACAATTTTAATAAAACTAAAGGAGAGAAATGAAAATTTGAAAATACTGGTTTCTACTTCTCAAAATATTTCCCCATATTTCAGAGAAATTAGTTAGGAAAGAATCCTTATCATCAGTGTTGAAAAGGAGTTCTGCATCTTATAATCAGTTCCATTGTGTTCAGGAGTTACTGTAGACTAAGCTTTTTCAACAACAGGAAAAATTTATCTTAAGTAAAAAAAAAAAAAAAAAAAAGAACTTCCTGATGAACACTTGGAAAACATTAGAATTACAGAAATTCTGACATCCAATTAGGTTGTAAATCCAAACCAGCTTATGTATGTATCAAATACAAAGAAATTGGTCTTAAACAAGATGCGCACTGAGCCTGCATCAGTAGTGATCACTGAAGGTTGACCTTAAATGAATTGTTGAGGTTTGAAAGATCAGCACATTTTGGTAATCTGTTTATATTTTTTGGGACAAGAATTTGTACTGCCAAATAAGAAATTTCTGGTGCCTGAAAAAATTAAATAAACCCATTATAGCCTATCTCTTCTACTGTTTGCAACTACAACTCTGAATAAAATACAAAAGGCACTTGTTAAGGACTCCAAAAAGTTAAAAATGGCAGGCACGTTAGTGAGAGCAACCAAAACTTGAAGAATAACCTATAACCAGGTTGAGTTTCTTTTTTTTAATCTCTCTCTTTTTTTTTTTTTTTTGTCTCTCAACTTGTTCTGAAGATACTACCAGTTCCAAATATCAAATTTGGAACTGCATAGCAGGGGTGAGCAGAGAAAATCTGAGATAAGCTGTCCCAAGAATGGGGATAAGGAGCCCCAGGAAGCCGTCACCAGGAGTAGGGGGTAGGATCACTATGGTTGTTGTTGATGCTGTTGTTGTTGCTCTCTTTTGGTCCTGTGTCAAGGGCCACCCCAATCATACAGCTGCAATGTGGCGGTGATAGCTGATCTAAAATCCTGAAGGAAAAACCTATCTTTTTGACAAGAAGAACTAAGAAAAGGGAACCATAAACTCCAAAGAGTGACAGGGTGGGGACCCCATTATTTTTCTTTCTTTTTTCTGTCACTGTGGTGCCCCAGGGTTGACCCAGTTATGCAGAAATGAGCAAGCAATAAAGCCAGGAGCTAATACTCTGCAAGAAGCTCTATGTTTCTATTCAGAAGATAGGCAAAAGGGGTCCCAGGAAGTTACTGAGTACGTGAGACATTCTACAGAGAAGAGAGCTAGAGGAGAGGTTTCCCTGACTCTGTACATGAAATGATACAAGTCCCAGACTCTTTTCTGAAGAACACATGCATGGACTAGACCCAAAGCATAATCTCAAAGGCTGTGAGAGCTGAACTCTAATAAAAACTGAGATCCTAGTCGTACACTAATCCCTGAGAGATACATACATGAGAGACCTGAAGCAGCAGAGCAAAGGCTCTGAAAATTCAGCTTACCAGGACTCACAGAAGTTGAGACAGGATCTGCAGTCTGACCTAATTAGGTCAATTGACCAATAAAACAAAGCATAACAAAATGTACTTTCTCCAGAAGATTTTCACATGGCTCAGAGTACCACAAGATAATATACAAAATGGCTCTGGTACAGTTTAAAATTATTCAAAATACAGAGGGCCAGGAAAATACGAGCTGTTCTCAAGGGAAAAGTTAATCAACAAAAACTCCAAAAGGACTGACATGTTAGAATCATGAAAGACTTTAGAGTAGCTATTATCATCAAGCTTCATGAGATAATGATAATTACATTAAATTAATGAAAAATTAGTATTTCTCAACAAAGAAATAGATATAATAAGAAGAACCAAATGGAAATAATAAAATACTTGAAATTTTGAAAAACATTATTAGAAAAGCACAGTAGCATAATGGCGATGACAGAGGAAAGATTCAAAGAAATTGAAGATAGATTAATAGAAATTATCCACTTTTAGAAGATAAAAAAATACATTGAACAACATGAACCGCAAGGACCTGTGAGACAATATCAAATTTGGATAGATTTATCCATTATATCTTCATATGTTTTTTTCCTCTCCTAATAATCCAATGACACAAAAAGTTAGACCTTTTGACATTGTATTTTGATTTGAGTTTTACAATTAGTTTTATGAATCAACAGGACTTTAAACATTTTGTAAATATAAAACTTCACTTGAAGGGTACTATCATGTTTCATAACCCAAGAAATAAGGCTGAATCATTTTAGCAAATAGAATTTTAATGAATAGGTCATAAGCTTGAATCTTGGAGAAAGAAAATGAGTTGAGTTTCTGAAAGTAGCATCTTAGATATCCAGAATAAGCCCATTCTAAAATGAATAATAAATAAACAAACAAAAGAGGAATCTGGATCAAGTAGGGCAAACATTAAATTCATAGTTAATCTTATGTTGACAGGGGGAATTTTCCAGGGATTGACCAAGAAATGCTTAAAAGCAAAATGTGAACTATACTGAATGAATTTGCAAACGTAGGTTATAATGGAGCTTCCATATTGACAATTAATTATTAACTATTAGTTTCTAACCCAGAGAGAGCAGTAAAGGACAGCATGAACTGGAGAGCTGGACCTGAAAAACCTGCTTAACATTGCTATCCTCAAATAATGAGAAATTAGATTAGAATTTTAAAATCCCATTCATAAACAAGGATAATATAACAAGTATTTTTTTATGTTTCAAACTGAGTTCTCGAGTGGAAAAACAATGTTTACTAAAACCATAACCACAGGCCTGCCTTTATACAGGATTGAGGTCTAAATTTATACTACTTATATTATTATGGAAATGACAAGCTGATAAATGAAAATAAAAACTGGATTAGTTAGTAACTTTTCTGTGCTATCTGGAATAAACAAAATTAAATCTTATTTGGAGAAACCTAACCTTCAATGAATGCCTTATAAGGATTCTGACATGTAAAGCTCCATCAAGCTTTAGTATAATCCCAAATTATAAAGATATATAAAGAAAAATGTCAGGAGGATTGTCAGCATAAATTAATGAGCAAATTTACATGCCAAGACATTTAGAAACTAAAGTAAATAAATTCTTTTTTAAAAAAGCAAACAATTGCATACTTCATTCTAACAAAAACATCTACACCATATTGTACCAATTCTGTAGAACAAGGAAGACAAAACAAAGATCTTAAAACAAACTAGCCCAGTGCTGTCAAATCAGATTAATGGGGATGCTTTGTCCTGACTTTCCACACACCAGAACGATTATTTAATGAATTATTATATGACCAACCTAATAAAAAGGATGCAAACAATCATACTAACTAGTCTTCTTCTGTAAACAGAGCCTTAAAGTTCACTCCTACTGTAAGTGTTGTTCAGAATGTAATGGTTGAAGGACTGGAATATGTAGTTTATCAGGAGATCTATGCCACATATTTCTGCTGTTGGCAGAATCTAATAGAGTAAGAAGATAGAAATTTGTGGAATACTCTGTGGAAAGCTGCCACATAATTAACTTACTTCTATCCGTGTAATTGTGCCAAAGGAGTCTTCAGGACCAGACTCTTGGGATGTGGAGAATGCAAAATAATTATTCAATGTTCAGGATCAGCATGATCTTCTTACTCTGAGATGGGTCCATACACACCTAACCCTTCATCCAAAACTGAATTATTGTCCAGCATTGATCTTCACACTCACTGTTCCTATCAGCTCGTGCTGCCAGAGGCTGTTGTCATTGTCTGTTCATCAAAGCATAAAGACATGCATGGCATCTCCCCGCTTACCAGTTCTGGCACGTTTGGGCTTTCCAGCTGACCACCAAGGAGCCCAGGCTGTTTAGTTTATGTAAGTGTATGTTGGTAAAAAACATAAAAATAATTATGCTGGATCTGAGGTGATATGTTTCTAATATTAGCATCATCAACATCAGACGCCTGCCTATGGGCATGTGGTTGCCTGATTTTCTTAAGATGTTTCAGAAATGACTGATATTTTAGATGAGAAAGTTTTATATTTATTGCACTTGCACATTTAGAAATTTCCTTTTTGGGCTGGTCTGTCTCAAGAGTGTTAAATTAATACCTATTAATGAATTCGAATACTATGACCAGATCAAGTGTACTATATATAACAACAACAACAAAAAGAAAGCAAGTGGTGCATGGAGGAAGGAAAGAAGTAGAAAACAGAGGGAGGGAGAAAGAAAGGGTAAGAGGAAAGAAGCCAGAAAGAAAAGGAGAAAGAACTTCACAAATAAGAATCTCAATTAGACTGAGCACAGAATTTCAACAAAACAAAAATATTCTAAAAGAATTGAGAAAAATAACTGAAAATGTATGATTTTTCTACCAAAGTAAACTACTATTCAAGGAAGATTTAGATATAAAGACATTTTCACATAGCTAAAATTCAGAGGGGTTATTGCTAATCTGAATAAAGGACCTTCTACAGAGAATTCCCAAATAAGGAAATACAAGGCAGAAAGATAACCTGAATTGGAACAAGAAATGACAAACAAATAACCTGAAATATACATGAATAAATATATATACTAATTAAATATATATTTTATATTAATTAGATATATATTTATAAATATAAATAAACATTGAACAGTATAAAATATAATATCTAATTTGAGGAGAAATGTGAAAATTAAATATTTTAAATAATATACAATAGGGTAGGTGGTAATCAGAATCAATTATTAGACTCGACACACTATGCATTATTTCCAAATCAGAAATAAAAAAGGAAAAAAAAAACCTCTGCTAATCAAAAGTAATATACTTAAAAGGAGAAAAGGACAAATAAAAATAACCTGGGTAAATAAAAATCAGATATATGTTATAAAATTATGCCAAATATATAGTGCACATGACACAATCAAGTTAATTAAAATCATCTATTAAATGGCAGTATGTATCAGAGTGTATTTGTTTAAAATCACATGTTTTTACAGATATATACCTAGAACACAATGGGAAGGAGAGATTCAAAGTTTTGAAGAATATATACTGGGTATATAAAAACCAAACTAAAACTTGGTTGGTTCTATTAATATCAAACAAAATTTTCTGTCACCTGAAATATTAATAAATATAATAAAAGACCACTAAATTATGGAATACTCTGACAATGGAACACCATATAGCAGCAGAAATAAATTAATCAGAGCTAGAAGTTGAATAACAATATACATTGCCGAAGGATTAACATAATTATACCATTATATGAATGTATAAAACAGTAAAAATAAATTTTTAATTTTATCTAGATAATGAGGGTGTCTTGAAATAAATGTTTAATGTACTATACTGGGGAGCATCAATAGTAGTTTTAATGATTTCTTTACCTGGGTGGGTACCCAGGTAATTGTTACATTCTTCTCTATGCCTTTTATATATCAGTTACAGATCAGGGAACAATGTAATAATTTAAAGAAACTAATTTAATAGTATTTGGGATTTCTTTGGCTTATATAAGACTTTTTCTGGGAATGATAATATTACTGGCTTTGTGTGATGAAAGAATAAATCATTATTATCATCATAAGGTTGATTTGGAAATAGCATTTTTTCCCCTCAACCACAGCTGGCTGAACCTTGTCTAATTGGTAAATTCCAGGATGTATTGCTGTCCTTTTGAAGAAGTCACATCATTTATTTTCTGTGGACATTAATTTTATTTCCAGTTTTTCTTCTCTAGTAATTGGAGAATCTTGAAGTCTGGCCCATTATTCATCTGGGATTTATAAATCCTTCTACAGCTTGCACTACCTTTCTAAGTTTGAACCTACTTTCGAGGGTATATATCCTTCCTTCCCCCACAACTCTGAAAATATGTAGCTGAAAGAGAGCCAAAATCTTTCTCTCTCAAACTACAAGTCCCAGTTTTATCCATAGTTAAAAGCAGAGAGTTTCTGGTAGCATAGAAACTACAAAAACAGTACATTTTATGTATGTGTATACATATAAATATATGGATACTTACATATGTGCATACATGTATATGTAAATGTATATGTAAAACATACAATTTTTACCCTATATATAGTATATATTATACATAAAATGTATGCATATAAATTTATATGTAACATTTTTTACAGTCATGACCTAAGTTTTGTTTTGTTTTAGATTTTATATCCCCTTGGTGGTGATATTATGGTCTGAGTTTGGGGTCCTAGAAAATATATTTCCTTCCTCCCAAGCTGCTTCTGCCCCAGCTCAGCATCCTTTGAAGATGTTTATCTCAACATCACATTGAGTAATGACTATTGTAGACATATCTGTGTGTGTTTATTTGTCTGTGGGCATGTGTTTCCTTGTTCTTCTTGGCTTTTTTTCATATTAATTGCATTATTTCCTATGGTGAACCTACTGGTACGCCAATTTGTTAGGCCCGTGTACAGGCCCCTGCCTCCAGATGTAGGCATATAACTCAGGATAGACCAGTAAAAGAACCTCATCATCCTCAGTAATTATTTCAATCAGGGTGCGTGACTCAAGCTACTCTGAGTCCTTCTTGTGACTTATACGTGAAGTATCAGAATAGACAGCTTCTCCATCCCAAGGTATTTAAGTTTGTGTGATACATGGGGACACTGACTACCATCTGGCCTGCTAAGAGAAGAGAGCCTGTCCAAGGAGATATCTATCTATCTATCTATCTATCTATCTATCTATCTATCTATATATATATATAGATATAGATATATATAGATATAGATATATAGATATAGATATATATAGATATAGATATATAGATATAGATATATAGATATAGATATAGATATATAGATATATAGATATAGATATAGATATATAGATATATATATGTGTGTGTGTGTGTGTATGTGTGTATATATATATATATATATATATATATATATATATAGTCTACTTGCCACTAGACCATCTCTCTCTTTCTGTCTCATATAGATATATAGATATAGATATAGATGTATAGAAGAGAGAGAAAGAGAGAGAGAGTCTAGTGGCAACATGTAAGGCCTTGGGCCGAGTAAGCAAGCAGAGACAAGTAAGCCTGGATATACAGATAGATTCTGGGCAATGCCATATGTTCCAAGTTCATCTAACCCAGCTGTGCCCCAGGGCTTTCCAATCATTTGAGATTTATTTCCCCCCTAAGCTACTTAAAATTGTAAGCTACTTACAATTCCCCACTAAGCTACTTCCCCACTAAGCTACTTGCTATCAAAGTCTCCAGAATAACACTAGTATTTTTTTGTTTTCTTTCTGAACTTTTAATTAAAGTATATATCATACGTACGAAAACAATTGAACATCACAAGTATTCTGTTTGGTAAGTTTTCACAAAGCAACACTCCCAATAACCAGCACCCAGATTAAGAAACAGAAGACTCCCAGCATTCCTCAAACCTCCTTATTCTCTTTCTAGTCATTGCCCTTTCTAGTAGTAACTACAATGCCCTTTTTAAAAATATTTTATTATAAAAAATTTTCTACATACAAAAATTTTGAAAAAATTTACAGTGGACACTTAAATAACCACCACCTAGATTCTACAATTAACATTTTACTATAGGTACTTTATCACATAATTAGCTATCTACTTATCTTTCTATTCATCCTTTAATCCACCTTACTTTTTTGATGCATTCAAAGTAAGCTGCTGACATCAGGAAGTTTCCTTTCAAGTTTTTTGTCATGCATATTTTTAAGTAGACTGCATATCTTCTGTTTAGGAAAAACATACAATGAAATGCACAGTCCACTCTAGCCAACCCTAGAAGCTCCTCAGAATCAAACATGTTTCTGTTCTGTTTTCATTCATGGTGTTTGAATGGGTTGTCTAAAATTAAAAACATAGAGGGATGGGATACTGGCTACATTTTTTGCTAGATCATCTAAGCATTTAATGTTGCCATTACATGTAATGATCATATTCTCATTTTTTCCTCTTTGAGTAATCCAGGAAATGTCAAGAATACTTATATTCATTATTTCCCAATGAGGTTTAACTCTGTTAGGTATCAAACAGACCTGGGCCTAACAGTTTTAGGCAGTTCTCTATAGAAAATTCTCTCTGGGTATCTAATATCAAATCCGTAGCAGAGGACCAAAATGCTTAGTGATCAGTCTTCATTCTTCTCATGGCTGTTCTTACTGTTAATGTCAATTTACTCCAAAGATGACCAGGAAAGCAACAGGCCTTTTGAGAAATTCAAAATACAGTCCTTAGTTCTTGGTATAATATTTTTAAAGGAATCAGAGAATCAGTATTCCAAACCTTAAATGAGCCTTTGATTTATTGAGTGAATTACTAAATTCAAATTATTCAGGTGTTTATTCTCACCTCAAATTTGGAATAGGTGCAATATGTTTATAACAAGTATGCTTTGTGTTGATAAACACAGTACTTTGAACCAAGAAATAACCTATTTCACTTAGGTCGTCAGTAGGATTGTATCAGATGTTTCTATGCTAACACAGATATTCACATCTCATGCTCAAATGCTTTTCCGGGTGAAGATGCTACTGAAAGTAGGGATGCTATGCTTTTATGTTCTAATAGACCTAGCAGGATTCTTAGAGTATGAAATATGAGTGTGACTTTGCATATTGTGCCATCAAATCTGTGTTCTGGGCACACCACTGTGCCTCCCTCATCACTTCTTTGATTCCCATGACACCCTCTGTCTCTACCCTACGTGGCTGCTTGAGTCTCCAACATTGAACCTCTTCAAGCCCCATGATGTGTGTTTGCTATGACACACTGCAGAATATGCTTATTTATTTATGTTTGTGTTCTTGTTTTGCTTATAAACAGTTCTTATTCAAAATAGTGTTCTTAATGGCACTGTGCTCAGTACTTAGGGGCTAACATGAGACTTTACCAAAAAACTTGGGTATAAAGAAAAATAGTTTTCATGTGAGGAATAAACTGTGAAATTTACTTAAAACTAACAGCCAGGACAATTCAAAGTTGTGATTTAAAAAAATAGACATTTTAAAGAATAGAAAATTTTGATCATAATATTTTTAAATTCATTAATTCTTTTATTCATTCAGCCACTCAGTCTTCCATTTATCAACCAAGAAACACTAATTAAGCACCTTCTATGTGTTCAGTATTTGCTTAGAGTACTGAGAGTACAAAAGTGAAAATGATGCAAAGTCCTTGTCCTCATGGAGCTCACAGAGAAAGAGAAAAGCACTGGTATATAAGGCCCAAGAAGAGAATGCATGTGGTATATTTATGGAGGTTATCAAAAGGCAATGTAATGATAGCATTTCAAGCAATGGAAAATGGAAGGAGATAAAGACAGCAATGGAGAAAGGATTCAACTCTTTCTAGGCCTTATAGGCATAGTGAGAATTTTGATTTGAATATTAAGTATTATAGGAAGCCACTGGGGCAATTTAATCAGGGGAATAGCAAGCTGACCAAGATATTCTTAATGTTGCCTTCAGATTGTCTAAACTTTAGACAGATTTCTTTCTGCCTTTAGGCCTCTGTCCTCCTTTTTCTTTAAGCATTTACTTTCAAAATCCTGTAATTGTAAATTCTTTCTCTCCCCCATTTGAGATGTAAATCTATTTTTTTTCTTTTTTAAATATATTTAGGGGTTACAAGTGCAGGTTTCTTACATGCTTATGTTGCATAGTGGCGAAGTCGGGGCTTTTAGTTTACCCATCACCCTATTTAAAAAGCCTCTTGTCTGTGTCACAACCCAAGAAAGCAATTCTGGAGAACCTAGGAACTCCCTCTGAAATGCAATTAAGGAGGATAGTGCCCTTACCTCTCAGACTCTGTGGGACAGTAGGAGCTTAACTGTAGCAAGGTCCTTAGTCCAAGTTATAAAACTACCTCCTGCCGTGAAGATATGATAAAATTTACTTTTCCTTTAGGTAAAGCCAATTAGTAAGCACAGATGGCTTAAGATCTCCCACCCCAACTCTTAAAAACTCTCCAACTCTTTGTCTTAGTGGAGTTGAACCCAGACTGAGTTCTGATGTCTGTCTCTCTCCTATTGTAGCAGTCACCTTGAATAAAGTCTGCCTTTCCTGTTTAACTTTGTACAGTGCAATTTTTGCTTTGATAAAATAAATGCCCAATTGTAATAGTGAATGCTGAGGAGACAGTCATTGATGCTACGGGAAACTGTAATAGAAAGATTGCACCTGGTCCAGGTGGTCAAAGCGAAGATTCTCACAGGAAGCTAGATGTGAGTGTGATAATTAAGTATAGGTGAGTGTGAGGGTGTGGAGGGAGTGTTCCCTGCAGAATGTAAAGGCCCTGTGATAAAAGGGAACATGGCCATGAAAGAAAAGGAGAGGTCCACTGAGGCTGGAATCAGGAGAAGCAAGGTAAAGTGGGAGCATCGATTAGGGGCCAGTCCATGCAAAATGTTCCAGGCTGCGCTAAATGTCTGATTTATCCCAAAGCAAATGAAGACATCAAAGTGTTTGGGCAGGGGGAAAGGCGGGAATTGAGATGGTTCCATTTATCTTTGGGTAAAATTAAAATACTCTAGTAGCAGTGTGAGGACTGAATAGAGGGATACATTATCTGTGAGGGTTCAGTTAGCAAGCCAGTGTGATAATTTAGGTAAGATAAGATGATAGCTTGATTTGGATACAATAGCCATGAAAGGAGTGAACAGACTTCAGAAATGTATGAGTCAAGTAGACAACTTTGGGATAAATTAGATGGAAGAAAGGAGAGAAGAGGAGCAACCGATAACCTCAGATTTGCATTGAACATAAATAGAGCTAATCACTAAGAAAGAGAATATGCAACAATTTTGGGCAGGAGGAGATGCTGCGGTGGAGGAGGTACAACACACCTCTCCTTACTGCATGTGATAAGTTCCAAGACCCCCACTGGATGCCTGAAACCATAATTAGTAAAGAACCCGATTGTCATAAGTTGGAACACATTTCTGTTCACATCCTCCACCCAGAAATTTAAAGAAGGCTTTTCCATCTTAACTTAGCACTTACTTATCACACACTATGGCTATAACTTTTGCAGTTTGAAATGTGACAGCAAAAACTAGCTTGCATTTCTTTTTCCTTCTTCATGATTTTATGGATAAAGGGTTATTCTTAACATAGATCTTAGCAGCTTCAGCATACAATTATTTTTTCTTTCCTTATTAACTAGAGAAACTTTTCACTTAAAAGAAGCACTTTATGGCTTCTCTTCTGCATTTCCAAGTTGGCAGCATCACTACCCTTGCACTTCAGAACTATAATTAACTAAAATAAGGGTGATTTGAGCACAAGCATTGCAATGCTGAGGTGACAGTCCATCTGATAACCAATAGGGGTACTAAGTGACTAACCAGCAGGCCGAATGAATGGATACATTGGACAAAGGGATGATTCACAGCCCTGGTGAGAAAAGCAGGATGGTGGTGCACATTTTAAAACTTACGAGTTTATTTCTGGAATTTTCTGGTTAATATTGTAGGACCCTAGTTGACCATGGGTATTTGAAACTGTGGAAAGCAAAACCACAGATGAGGAAGGAATAGTATATGTAGAGAGAAAGAATGCAGCAGTAAAAAGGGCATCCGTGAGTCTTAAGCACAAGAAGAGGAGAATCAGAAGGGCATGTGTGGAAAAACTTTGCAGTGACTGACTATGGTCATGGCTGTTTGGCAGGAAAAGCCATGTGGCAAAACCAAATGAAACAAACAAACAAACAAACAAACAAACAAAAGACCCGGAAGGCACAGTATGTTAGTCTTTCATTCTTTCATTTGTTCAACAAAAATGTTTATTGAGTACCAACTGATACCATACTTACTCTCTTTTTGTTCATAATTTTGATTTGTATGTAGTTTTTCTAGAGGCAAAAAATAGGCCTGGCTATAGGACATGAGTTTGCAAGAGTCATTTGGCACTTACATTTTCATTGCAACATAATTAATTTGCATTCCAGTTTCACTTGTCAGTATTCTCAGCTTAGAAAATGTGAGTTTACCCCAGATATATGGAGCCACTCTGCACAGGCTATTAGCCTACTGAGCTCTCTGAGCCTGAAAGGCTTAGATTAGTAAACACTCAGAGTTTTTTATCACTTGAAAATTTATAGAAAAATCCTTCCTCTTGGCCAGATTCACAAAATGTTCACATCCACATTAAGTGTAATGTCTTGAATGGAAAGCCACATCAACCGAGAAATATAAAACTGTGGTGTCTCTATAAATAGTCTCAAGGAAGCATTTTTGGACCATTCCATACTTGAGTTATTTTTTTAAGTGTGAGGCCTAGTTCACCCATCCCATGAATACCATTTAACATTATTCGAATTAACATTCACCCTTTCAGATCTCATACCTACTAACATTTAACAACCTTGTTGATTGGTTAATTCATCTTCCACTAATGCTCCCAGCATGCAGACTTGACAGACTATTACCTTACTTGTTAATGTATTATTTGGTGTTTTAAAGTCAGATGCGATTTGACATAGCATGACCTATAACTAAGTAAACAATTTAAAAGCCATATGCCAACTCACTTTACTATTCTATTGACTTTCAGTTAGTACCTAGTGGCATGTAAAAAGAATTTTTAAAAAATAGCCACTGTACCACACTGAGGCACGATGTGGTGTAAAGAACTTAGGAAATATTTCCGAATAAGGCAAAACATAGATTGAATCAGTTCTTTGTATATCTCTGTAAATCTCCCTTGGTTTCTTACACTGCACAGTTATTACTAAGGTTTGGGCAAAATGTTTGTAAAGTATTTATAAATGACTAGCCTAAAAAGGGCCTCAGGAAATACATGAAAATTAATAATAAGATTATTATTACTGACAATTGCCCTTGTCATTTTTAGCAATAGCACCTTCTGGAGTCTTTTTCAAAAAAATAAACATTTATATGATATTTGGGGCAGATTCAGGTATGCTAGGGCCTGAAGCTTATACAAGTGTGGGTGTTTCCTTGCTTAAAAAAATTCAAATTGCAAAAGTGAAATGGAGGGGGCTCATTCTAACTAAGAAGGCCTGAAGCTTAAGCTTCGTTAGCTTCACAGTAAATAACCCTCTAACAAAAGTGGACTATAGTTTTTTCCCTTAGGAGCAACATAGAACTGTAGTCCAAGGATGTTCATCCCTCCAGAGATGTCCATACTCCTTCCCATATGCTTTTATTTAAATTTGGAAAATGACAAGAAAATAGAGCACATTTGTCACCTAAAGTACCCCTGCCACATATAAAGATATGCCTCCATATGCGTTCTGGGGCTTTGGAGATAGATACTCACTCATAAAGGTTGGGGAGAAATTGCAGCTAAATAAATAAATCAATAGATAAATAAGTAAATAATAATGAGAATTAGAAGTTTAGCCTTGGACAAGTGTTTAGTTTGAGAGAACAGCTTCAAGTGTCAATCCAATTCAATTTAACAAACATTACTTACTTTGAAACAAAGAAACCCAACCAAGATCTGGGAAAGATTCACACAGAAAGTGACTTAATTTTGCCATTAGAAAGTAATTTGAAGCCATCTAATTTCTTTTTCACTGTCTATCTTCATTGCGCAAATGAGGCTTTCCCATCCTCTTGGAGGGATGTCTGTTTAACAGCCTCAAAGTGGTCTCTGAAATGCATCATGATAGAGGATTTTTTTTTTTTTTTTTTTTTTTTTTTTTGAAACAGAGTCTCGCTTTGTCCCCCAGGTTGGAGTGCAGTGGTGCGATCTCGGCCCACTGCAACCTCCGCCTCCCGGGTTCAGGCCATTCTCCTGCCCCAGCCTCCAGAGTAGCTGGGACTACAGGCGCCCACCACCACACCCGGCTAATTTTTTTTTGTATTTTTAGTAGAGACGGGGTTTCACCGTGTTAGCCAGGATGGTATTGATCTCCTGACCTGGTGATCCACCCCCCTCGGCCTCCCAAAGTGCTGGGATTATAGGCGTGAGCCACTGCACCCAGCCGGATCTTTCTTTTTTTTGTATATTGGAGATCTACAGCTCGAAACTGTGAAATATAGGTATATTGAAAAGATAATAAAACATCCAAAGAATTTTTATTTTTATTTATTTATTTTTTTTTTAAAAAAGAAAGCAAAAAAGACAATTCATGAAATGGAGGCTCTGTCCGTACACAAGATTAGGAGACTGAAGTTCAGATGTTCACACTCCTTCAACTCATATATGGCAGACAGCATTTAAACCCAGAGCATGGGCTTTAAACTCTATCCTTCAGTGCAGCTCTGCATCCTCCCTGATTACTTCTCTGCTCCTCTCTCACCCACTGAATATAAATTGTTATGATTTCTTAAATGTATATTGCACAAGATTTTTAGAAAATTATAGTTTGTATGTTAAGATCTTTTTGGAGACACATCTCATTCATATGCAAGGAACTGATTCTGTAAAGTACATGTGAAAAGCAACCTCATTATTTAAAGTCATGTCGTGCAAATTAAAAACCATATATTGAAATTGTTCATTTTGCAAAAGAGGTAAATTATCTGCAAAGTGTTGTGTGTGCTACCCTCCCATAAGAAAAAGTTGACTGTAGAAAAAATAAAAATAAAACTTATGAAACATATTATATCATTTAAATAGTTTAAAGATTATTTGTCACCCTTCACTGATTTAAATGTGACTTTCGACACTTGATCCTGTGACATATTAGTACATGATCTAGTTTATTAGATTATTTGTAAAGCTGTAATCTTAATATTGATGTTTATCTGATGCAATTTTTCATGAGAAAATGAACCAAAGGTCACTATTATGTTCTACTTAGATTCATGATGTGAAATCCTTAATTAGCTTTTACTTTAGCATTATTCTCCTCTCCTTTTTTCTTTTTCACCCAGTCATCTCTTTAACTGATATTTTAATTTTACAAAGAAGGATGCTCTTATTCTTCACTTGACTGTGGACGAAAAGAATCCCTTACTAGAAGTAGGAGAAAATTTTCAAGTCTAAGCTTCAGAAATAGGAGTCATCGGGAGAAGGGGGAAGATGTACAAATGAAGAGAAAAATCTGTTATATGGAACATTTTATTGAATTTTTAAGATTCCTGGAGGAACTAAAAAATGACCTTGAGTACTGGGCATACCCAATAACAAGAAAGAAGAGACATTTTCTAATGAATCAAAGGTCTCTCTAAAACGAAGCCCGCAGGGAACCAGCAAATAGGCAAGTGGAAAAACAGAAGAGAGGCAGCAGGCTACTGTCATCAAACCAGACACTATGAAGAATTGCCTTTGCTTTGGTAACCGTCTCCATGGGGATACGGCTCAAGAATGTACAATCAATTTTGTTTTTCTCCACAAAGTTTGGAAGAGCAGGAAAATAGATGATGGAGGAAATTATGTAAGTAATGTTAGTAAGTTTTGTGGTAGCTGTTTCTGAGAAATACAAAATTTTCCTATAAGAAAAAATTCTAATCAACCCTGAACATGCTTCTGGACAAAGGAACTCAAAAACTCTCCACATTCAGATGAAATGATTTTAAAAGACTCTGTTCTTTGGCTTCCTAAGGCACTTGCGGAACTCAAATGCTGTTATGGATATGTTTCAATTTACTAATCCAGCCATAAGAGCTCACTGGTGGATTTCAATGCAAGAGCGATGGTCCAGACAATTAGTATTGAAGTGTTTGTTTGTTTGTTTTTTCCTGAGACGGAGTCTCACTCTGTCGCCCAGGCTGGAGTGCAGTGGTGCAATCTCGGCTCACTGCAAGCTCTGCCTTCTGGGTTCACGCCATTCTCCTGCCTCAGCCTCCCGAGTAGCTAGGACTACAGGTGCCCACCACCACAGCCAGGCTAATTCTTTTGTGCTTTTACCAGAGATGGGGTTTCACCGTGTTAGCAAGGATGGTCTTGATCTCCTGACCTCGTGATCTGCCTGCCTCGGCCTTGAGCCACCACGCCTGGCTGGAAGTGTTTTTTTTTTTTTTTTTTTTTTTAAATGAATTACCCAATTGAATACCCAAAGCCTCATTATGTTTATTAAATTCTCTGCTTATTCTAGCAGTTAAGAAGCTTTTTATTCTAAGTCATAAATGCGGTATACTAAAAGTCATTATTTTGGATTTCAATTTTTAAAAATAATTTTGAAAGGGGTTATACAGAATTTCGTTTACAGTATCAATAAAGAAAAATGTAGTAAGCAAATAAATAGTAAAATAGGTTGCTAGGGGGCCATCTTAAAATACTTCATGGGGAATAAATTTTCAATCACTCTCAAATAATTTGTCATTGCCCACCTTCTTGCAAAGGCAAACATATGATAATGAAAAATTATCCTTAATTTTCATTTTAAAAATTCTCCAAGATATTCTACCAAAGAAGATTTGGGGCCAGCATCATCCTGGTACCAAAACCTAGCAGACACACAACAAAAAAAGAAAATTTCAGGCCAATATCCCTGATGAACATTGATGTGAAAATCCTCAGTAAAATACTGGCAAACCAAATCCAGCAACACATCAAAAAGCTTATTCAGCACCACCAAGTCTGCTTCATCCCTGGGATGCAAGGCTAGTTCAACATACACAAATCAATCAACATAATCTATCACATAAACAGAACCAATGACAAAAACTACATGATTATCTCAATAGATGCAGAAAAGGCCTTTGCTAAAATTCAACACCCCTTCATGCTAAAAAGTCTCAATAAACTAGGTATTGATGGAATGTATCTCAAAATAATAATAAGAGCTACTTATGACAAACCCACAGCCAATATCATACTGAATGGGCAAAAACTGGAAGCACTCCCTTTGAAAACCAGCACAAGACAAGGATGCCCTCTCTCACCACTCCTATTCAACATGGTATTGGAAGTTCTGGCCAGGGCAATCAGGCAAGAGAAAGAAATAAAGTGTATTCAAATAGGAAGAGAGGAAATCAAATTGTCTCTGTTTGCAGATGACATTACTGTATATTTAGAAAACCCCACTGTCTCAGCCCAAAATCTCCTTAAGCTGATAAGCAACTTCAGCAAATTCTCAGAATGCAAAAATCAGTGTGCAAAAATCACAAGCATTCCTATACATCAATAATAGGCAGACAGAGAGCCTAATCATGAGTGAACTCCTATTCACAATTGCTACAAAGATAATAAAATACCTAAGAATACAACTTACAAGGGATGTGGAGTACCTCTTCAAGGAGAACTACAAACCACTGCTCAAGGAAATAAGAGAGGACACAAGCAAATGGGAAAACATTCCATGCTCATGGATAGGAAGAATCAATATTGTGAAAATTTCCATACTGCCCAAAGTAATTTATAGATTCAATGCTATCCCCATCAAGCTATCATTGACTTTCTTCACAGAATTAGAAAAAACTACTTTAAATTTCATATGGAACCACAAAAGAAAAAAAATACCCATATAGCCAAGACAATCCTAAGCAAAAAGAACAAAGCTGGAGGCATCCCGCTATCTGGCTTCAAACCATACTACAAGGCTACTGTAACCAAAACAGCATGGTACTGGTATTTGACTTCTGATTCTTCATTTACGATAAATGTGAATACTGTAACATTCAGCTGTTAAAAACATCCAATTTTTTTTCCCAAAAATGCCACTATAACATTTTTTCTTTGCCCGTTTGTATGTTGTTGTTTTTTTTTTAAAAACCTGTAATCAGCCTCCACTTACAATTCTTGTTTTTCATTTAGTTCAGCATACCTTTCCCCGACCTTTTTTTTTCTAATACTGCCGTGGAGAAGACTGTTAGTTTTGACCTCTCTTAACCGTTTCTTGGCCTCTTTGTGTCTTTTATCCTGGTGGTTGCCATTATTCCCTGGTGGTGCCTGGGGAGTATTTCATAAGACATTTGTTAATCTCCATTTCTCGCCAAAACCAGTAAACTCATTTCCCAAAGCTTGTCCTTACTGCTAGGATTTTTACACAGGTAAAAATCCAAGTCCCCCAATACATAAACAAGGTTACTATTTACTTCACTTAATCAACTCTATATGTTAATTGGGTTAAAAAATTAGAAGCTTTCAAAATATTCTGATTGATATTTTTAAGTATCAAGGTACTCAAAAACCATGGAACTCATAGTTTCAGTTAGGTAATCCTTGAAATCACCACCAGATTACTATGGATGTGATGGTTTGTTTTCCTAAGAACATGGAGAAAACCTGTTGCTTTTTGTAAGTGGAGCAACTATTTTCACAAATTCTTCCAATAATTCTTCCCCCCATCATTCACTTTGCATGGATTGTCAGGCGTTTTCTACTTGTGAAAGTTTTAAGAAATAGAACACTGAAGGGAGCCAGGCAGAATTGTGTTGTTTTCCTTCAAATTCATGCCACTCTATAACTTCAGTATTACAATTAACTGATTTCATAAGCTGACAGGATAATACTTATCAAAGGAGATTATTGTCCACCTAGCAAAATGAATTTTGAAGTCATTTTCAAGCATCAAATGTTAGCAATGTAAAACTATCAGTGTCTTAACCTCTCTAAGTGTTCTTTCATCTGTAAAATGCAGGTAACACATTTTATTTCACACAATTGTTCTCAGGAAAGTGCATACCACAGTACTTGGAATAGAAATATTTAATGTACGTTGCTTCTCTTCTTTCTCCTTAACACGCATGGGCATGTGCATGTACACACAAACACACTCACACAAGCAGAAAAGTGTCTCTGTCTGTATTTACTTAAAGATGTTTAATGTAGATTTAGTGCCTTTTCTTATATCAATTCATTTTAATATGTACTAATGAGAATTTTACCGTGCTTTCCATGAATTTTGAAGGAACAATACATACACCTATATTGCTATTTTTGCTGATATATTCTTAATGTCAAAAGAGTTCTTCATTTTAATCCATGTTTAAAAGTATGCTTGTGTTTATGTAACCACAGCACCTCAGTGTGTGCAGGTATAGTTGTGTGGCTGTGTGAGGGCAGATGTCATTTCTCTCATACTCCAAGACAGCGTTATCTATTTGTATCTTTTTGACGAACTGAACACACTGTCACACTGTTAATACCTAATACCTGTGAGGGCAGAGACTTTGTCTTGGCACACTGATTGGCTTAATTATCTTGAGTTCATATTGCTAATTTTTATTTTAAGAATAACGCATAATAGGTTCTTAAGAATTATTTATAAAGGTGAAAGGAATATAGGACTGAATGAAGAAAGCAAAATGCCCTATATCTAATATAGGATATGCAGCTTTTGACAATTAGGAATATATTATCACTTAATGAATGGCTCTTAATGTTTAAGGATTTTCAAGCCGGATCTGGGCTTACAACATGCATGTGCATGACACAAACATGCACACACATGCACAGGCACATGAGTGTATACATACACACATGTGCTACTTCACTGTCTCACTAGCCCACTGCTAACTTGAGGGTATAGGTATTTATTTACTTTGAGTCCATTCAGCTGACTTGTTTACTTTTTGTATTGATTGTTACATCTCCGCCTTGCCATAATTTTGACACTTGTGCAGCAATGGCAAAATCAGAGCAGATGAATAGGTTGGACTTCAATTTTCTGGTGATTAACTTTCCTCTGTGCAATTTCAGTTGATATAGACTTTTTTCACTGGTCAGAGAATTGCAAGCTGTTAAAATTGTCACCGTTGTTTAGTTTTTATCTCATCTACCATTTTCTTGGCAATTCAATAAATATATTATTATCATTAATAATAGCATCAGCATATGGAGACTTTGGAAATCAAAGACCTCCAGAGCTTGTGGCTGATCAGATCATGAGGTCACATAAACAGCTGAATCTGAAAATCATTGTTTCCTTGTTTCCTGTATAAAGGATTATAGGCCCATAGGTCCTCTTTGAGTTTTCTCTCTCTAGTAGACCTCTGAAAGTTTACAAGTCTAAATAGCAATTCAGGTGCATTTTCCCAGAATGATTCCTGGTATTTCTGGACCTTTGCTGTTTCTATGCTACCCTCTACTCCTTAGATCCAGCCTGGTCGAGCAGTGCTCAGCCCCTTTAGCCGCTGGACCACTGCAGGTGTTTCTTGTAGTTCTCCAATCTCATGCGATTGGGCCACCTCTTCTCTTGGGCTTTCTCTTCTCACTTCTCCTTAGTCTTTTTTGTCTTCCCCTAATGCCGATTTCTTGGCCATCAGTGCTATGTAGCTACTGTATTTTTTGCCTTTGCTGCTGAACACGCAAGTCACCCTCTTCCAAATAATTTTTCAAGATATTTTAATAAAATGAAAACAAAAACTTGTAACTCCCTTTACCAGTAAAGAGAAACCTGGCTCCTATCATCCTCAATATAATCAATTCATTTGCTTTTACAAATTATACATAAAATGTATTTTCAAAATTATTAACCCATAGCATTAAGGAAATACATATTCTACCTAGAGTTCAGCACATGTTTACATTGTTCTCCACTTTTAGATTGGGTATATATACTCGAAATGAGTGATTTCAAAAAATATTTTGGTTTTTTTTCCCCTCCCATTTCACTATGGTTACATTATCAATTTAAAATCTGTTCAGGTCCACTTGTTTTTGTTTGCATTTCATTATGGATTATTTGGAGGGGAAGAGATTATTTACTTCCTCATCATGTTGACTTTCTTATCTTCTTTAAAGTATGTAGACTGTCCCATGGTTCCCAACACAAAATCTGTAAAACAGTTCAGAATAAAACTTGCCACTCTACCACCAATCGATTCCATCCCATTCATAACACTCTTGTCATTAATTAACTGTACTATTTTCTGCTTTATTCATTCTATTTCTTTTTACATTAGATAAGTGGATGCATGAGTATCTTCTTATTTCCTCCTTTTATTTTTTTACAAAAGTAGGCATAATATGTAAACAGTTTTTTATTTTAAAAAAGTATTTAGCAGTATAACCTGTATAATTTTATAGAGTATATTATTTAGCAGTATATTCCTTATTTCACAGAGCTCTTTCTCAGTCTTTTCCATAGCTTCATAGGACTCTATTGCATCTTTTGTAATTCAGCTCATCTCCCAAGTATGAGCTTTTAGGTCATTCCTATTTTGCGAATATAAATAAACTATAATAAATTATCTTGTGCAAATGTATTTTTTATAGTCAAGGTGAATCTTTAGAGTAAATCTCTAGACAAGATATTTGTGGATCAAAAGATATGTCAAATTCCCCTCCATAAATGGACCGTGTTGCATTTTCACCAACAACACGTAAAAGGTTCCCTTTCCTCCATAGCTTCACTAGCAGAGCATATATTCAATTTTGTTTTTCTTTTATTTTCTTTTTGCTTTTTGTCAATCACGGTGGGAAAACTCTGGAACTCAGCATGATTTTGTTTGTATTCATCTTATTCTGAGTGAAGGTGAGTATAGTTTCATATGTTCAAGGGCAATGTTAATAACTTTTTCTTATAATTGCATGATAATGCCATTTGTCCACTGTTTTTTCCTATAGGACATCTGTGCTTTTCCATTCAATTCTGAAATCCTCATAAACATACCCAGAAAAAACTTATATCAGCTCTTTGCCACCGCTAAGCCCAGTTAGGTTGACACATAAAATTAACCATCACACTTATTTCTTATATCACTTCAATTTTCTAAATTCTTTTAGTATTAGTACATATTAATACCCAATCTAATGACACTGGAAATTAAAAGTTTATTTACACACGTTCAATTCAAGCTAATAAACATAATTCAAATAGTAAATTGCTGAGGAACATATCAAAAAGTCTAAAGAATATAGAAGGAAATGTATCTGGGGAATTTACCCTATACTAGTAACAATCTAGAAATACATTTTATAGCACATCTATATAATTACACTTCACAGCTATTTTATTTTTGGCCAGTGTTCAGGTAATAAAGACTTTTTGCTTTTTATGGATCCAGAAACCCATTTTCAAAATGGAATCGACTCTTTCAAATGAAGAGTTCTTTTAAAATGAAGTAGCAGAAAAGTGTAATAATTTGGAACACAGAAAACAAACTCATAAAGTCTTATTTTATTTAGAAAGCTCTACACATTATTTTCAATGTCTCTTTCTTTCCTATAAATCAAAGAAAATACTTTACAATACTCAATTTGAGGCAATGTACTAAGTGGCCAAGTGTCACAGATAATACTCTACATCATAAACAAAAGTGCACAGTAATTGTCCTTGGAAGTTGGAAGTGAAAATGCATCATAACAAAGTGAAATTCATTATCCTTTCCATAGGCTTGATAATATGAATGTGTCTCAACTGTGTTTAAAGCATAAGTAAAGTACAATTCTACTGGGTTAACATCCTTAAGTTTGACTAAGTGATTTAGGAAATAAAACAGCTTGAGTGTAATTAAGCAATTTGTCTGAATTACACGATGTAATATAACAGTTTTTTTAATTTTTAGCTAATAGTTTGGATATGATAGAAAAACAAGTCTTAGTAAAAAACAAAAATACAACGAGTAAGATAAAAGCAAAAATAAAAAAAGGAAGAATAGAGGATGATATTATCGGATATATATGATGTATTATTCAGATATCACACATAGGTAGTTTCCCTTTTCAATTATTTGAGGAGGCACAATAGTTTAATCCTATGATGCAATCCTAACTGCTACTAATATTATATATTTTCCCTTTTTTATTATCTCACATAATTATTCATGTTTTCCAGTCTTCAAATTTAGTAAGTTCACTATTAAGATTAAAAAATAACTAAAGATAATCATGTTAACATATGGAAGCAAGTACTTGAAAGTGTCCCTACCAAGCCTTGGAAAATGAATATTTCCTTACTTTCCTGAGAGGAGGAAGCCCTTGTCAATAAGCTTCAAACAATGTGATGCTGTTTGAGAAAACTGGTCATTAATATATGCTATAGTTAGTATATTAAATCTCATTCATATAGAGCCACCAAAATGATAGTGCAAGTACTGTAAAAATAACCATTGATGAAACATGTTGTCATAGACTGTGCTTCCGATCACTGGCTTGATGGCATTTTGAAAAGACTTAAGTCATCTGGTGAGAAAATTTCATTGAGGTGTCATTTTCCATAATAATTTGGTACAGAGTTACTGAGGTCATTTTTGTCCTCTGTCTTCAATCCCCTCCTTTTCTTTCTGTGTGTTCTGTTCTCTAATAGAGTACTAGAGACCCCAAAAGATAGGTCACAGGGATTGCAGAGGGAAATTTTTGTTTGATGGTGGACTTTTGATTGAATTTAGAAATGAAATATTAATTAAAATGTGGAGAAAGTTTTCTCTTTACATTGACATTGAAATTTTAAAAACAATTTATTCTGAAGCTACTAGGAATCACATTACATTGTATTACAGGTGTTGCCTTTTATAAAATTGTTAAATTTTGTTTTAATTCTTGTATTATACAGTAAAGTACAACAGATATCATGACTCATTGATATAGCTGGATCCCTCAGTGAGGGGCTCATTAGGTAAGTTAACATACCATATAACCCATAGAATGGATTTTACATGCATTCCTCTGTGAACCAATTATACCTTCTTTTTTATAAAATGTGTGAATATGGAATATGATAACTCACAGTGAATTATTATACATTGTATTCCATATTCTGTTGGCCTCAGGCAAACTAGGTGATTTCAATTTCTGTTTTATTCCTCTCTACACTAATGTGAAAATAATGATACTTCATATGGGTATTGCTGAGGTTTAGTTAAAATTTATGTAGAGTTTTCTATCCAAGCCTATAAAATTATTCATGGGAGTCCTGATTGTTTCTATTACTGATGTGTTATTCCAATAGGTAAAGAGAATTAAGAGATCATAGTTCGCACACAAAACTGAGTTTTTAGGGAAAACAATTTTGAACCTGAAATTAGAAGTCTGCATTTGAATCTTTGTGACCTTGGGCAAGCCATGGAATCCCCCTAAGTATGTTTTGACACTTACCGGCAACCTCAATTTTTCTTTTGTAAAGCTGATAAAATAATATAAACTTCACAGGCTTTCTGTAAATTAAAAATGTGGCAGTGTTTGTGAATTAAATATTTTGAGGAGCTATTAAGAGGTTGGAACAATGGGAGCTCTCAAAAGTGAAGAATATGAAGGAGTCCAATCCAAGAGAGGATGGTGTAATGAGTTGGCAGGGATGCATCTAAATGTTCTCAAGAGAATTTATTCTATAATCAATAATCTATCTCATTCACAAGAAAATGATAAAGGTTGAGAGTGTAGGCTGCTGTCATGACCTACAGGCACTGCCTAAATCCTTGCAACTCAAAGTGCAGTCCTTGGACCAGCATCCTCAGCACTAACTGGAGGCTCGTTAGAAATCTCAGGCCCCATCCTAGACATACTGAGTCAGAATCTGCATTCTAACAAGATGCCCAAGAGACTCATATATACAATAAAGTTTTAGGAGGGCAAGACTTGACCACATGATGCAGCCTGGGAATATCTGCTCTTTACAAAGCCCCTTGCAATTAATAATAACCAAATATATGTAGGAGGATCGAGGCAATGTGACCTGGCAGTGTTTTAGAATTTTATTATCCCTTCACATGTCCTTAGATTCTCCTATTAAATTCCCCAAGCACAAGCCCATCTACTGGCCCTTATACATAGTGATGAGTGTATCTGGATAATAGTCACTTTTAGGATTTGGGTTATTTGCTAAAACAGGGATCTTATATGAGACTTATAACTGGTCCTATTGTCTTTTTTTTTAATCTTATACAGAAAGGATAGGCACCTCCTTCATTGCTTTACAGTTACCCAGAAAAGTCATTTAAAGAGTCCAGAGAGTGGCATTGCAGATCCCTGCTCAACTAGGGCATATTTTCAGAGCATCAGAGGCTTATAAAATACATATCCCAAGACCCCAAACCCTCAAAGATTGATTCTCCAGGAATCTACATTTTAACAATGGACTACACTTTGTCCTTTATAGATAAGTTCACCATGCCCATCTTTATTCAAACTTGTAACTTTGTCTACTGATTGAATAGATAGTTCAATGAACATCCTCTTTCAATCTTTATCAGAAACTGACCTCACTGTATGCATTCGTCAGGGACTACTGTTTAGGGCAGTGTTTCTCACTGAGGTCCACTGACATCAGAAATACCTGGTGCATTTGCTAAATTTCAACTTCCTTAGCCATACCCAAGAAACCAGAATCACTGGATGCATTTTGCATTATTTCTATTTCCCCAGGAATATCTAATACATAGCCAAGTTTGGAACTATTTCTCTAGAATATTAGTTCTTAACTCTAGTTTCATATAAGAATAACTTAAATACCTTTTCAAGTATATTCTTACTGGACCCCAAACCCTGTCCTTCTGATTTATTTGACCTAAGCAGTGGGAATGGGCAGCCATTCATATTAAATATTCTAACCTGTGTTCTAGCTAATAAAGCCTGCAATTGGTGGTCAAAAACTTAGCTTCCTTTCATCAGAAATATTCAGGTCAACATTGGTTCTCTGCTATCCTGGGTAACAGTACATTCTGCACCTGAAACCCTTTTCTGATGTTTCCAACTCCCCCAACCCTTTGCAGGCTAAATAAATTCTAAAATAATTTAGTAATGGCAAATCAGTGAAGAAATGTCCATCTTCAAATTAGAGAAAAAATTCCCAAGTATATTCATTCTTACAACCTTGCTTTTGGATTCATTATCCTTAGTCACTTTTCCTTGGCTTCATATGACTATTAATTGTATTTTATTTTGGAGATATGGCACATATTCCAAGCAGAGGAAAATGCAATCTTCAGCAAAATGTCATAAGTCACTTCTTTTAATTTATAAAGTTCATGGATAGTAGTAGGAAGATGTGAGATTCTTATTCTGTTTTCCTCCTAGTCATTTTAGCAATCATATAATGTAGCTTCTTTGTCAAAAGAAAACAGGTAGAATTTGTCATTATAATTAGACATTATAATTAGTACATTTTGTTGGTTAACTCATATTAAAAATCTGTGTATAAATTACAAAGACTGTAAATAAAGCAAAGGCCCTACTGGAGGTTGACACTAAAGGAAACTCTGTAGTTTATCCTTTTATAAGTTAAAAAGGAAATTGGCTCCTATTTTTTCAAATATAAGTTTTAGTATATTGTGTTGGTTTATAAAGAAAGATGTTCATGTACTTAGCCCCAATAATTTTAAATAATGTGTCAGCCAACAGGGATCTTAAAAATACTCTAGCATTCATTTACTTGTTTACTTGTGAGAAAACAAATTTCCTACCTTTTTTAACCTCTGTAGTTAAAGGCATATTCGAATTAGAATTCAAATATCTTGAATTATAATCAGTATTCTCCCCTCCCCGATACCTCAGTTTGTCTTTGAAATGATAAGTGGAATGAAGTATAGGAATTTGAACATTGAGATTCATACCATGAAATTAGGTTTTTTAAAGGTATGATTGATTTTTAAGGTGCAAAAGATCACTAATGGATGAGCATTTAAACATGTAAATTGGATGTAATAATACTTTTTATTGAAGAGTTAAAAAGGCCTGCGCTTTTAATGTTAATAGTTTTCAAACATCTACTAATAGGTAGGCCAATTAATTTGGAATACTTAGCAGCATTACTTGAATAATGTGGAAGTTGGATGTGCTTTTCTATATTTTTTGCCTTTTTCATTCTGAGAAATTGTCTGTGATAGTTTGCATCTAGTAACTTTTTCTTGCCACATTTTTTAGTGCAGTTTGTAAATAGAACATGAAGACAAGTTCAACTTATAAAATGAAGCCTATGGTCCATACTATACACAAGGTTCGTTAGAACGCAACTGGATAGGGGCTTAGCAAATTACCTAAGCTTTTTTTGTCCTCATTTCCTAATTTGTAAAATGGGGCTTATAATAGCTACTCCATTATGTGTGTTGTTGGGATTTTATTAGCTACTTCCTAAAAGCCCCAAAAGAGGATGGAGCACACAAGAGGTTAGGTTTTTGGGACATGTTAGATTTCCCCTTTCTCCTCCCATTCCTTTTTAAAGAGATAATTTGGGTAATGTTTCAATATTTACATTTTTAAAATCCCTTTCAAATTATCAAGGGCAATTTTCCTGGTAATTGCTTTTGAAATGTTTTCTGAAGAAAAAGAAGAAAGCATCTTGACTAGTCTGGGCAGGGAAGAATTAAATGGTCATTAACATAAAACAATTATACTATAGGATGAGGCAGTTATATTTTATTCCATAAACAATGTTATCAACAATAATAATTTAATCCTGACATTCTATATTTAAATAAATAAAACTTTATTTGAAGTAAATAAAAAATTTCTAAGGAAGGATTAAGTGCTGTCTTATGGACATTGTGATATATTGGACAAGAGAACTGAGAATCTGATTCAGAATACTGGGTGTGAAAGGTGGGATAATATTATGGATGTATGTGGACCAAATGTCATCAAAGCAGATCAAAACTCAAAGAGATGGGAATGTATTCAGAAACATAGTTACTCTAAAGCCAATTATTATACTGTAAAATATAAAAATAATTACCTCATTGATCTTAGCGGATTATTGGTCTACCTTTGTGACATTTGCAGGTTTAACTTTTTTTTTCGTTACTTGTGAGGAACACATTTAGCTAATGAGTAAACCTAGCAACCTGCCCAGCAAAGTGAAATGCCACATAACGTTTTTGCTCTATATGCATTATTTCATATGCAATAGGGGTTGCAATTTTACAATAAAATAAAAATAATATTTTGTATTTTAAAAAGCACACCCAAAAGAAATACAACTGGCATTGATTCTGAGAGTAAAATAAAACCAAGAACTCTAAAAAATGTAACCAGTAAAAAAATTTAACTCTAAAAATCCATGTCTAATGGCAAGTGTTCACTAATTTTGAGATTTGCAACCACAGCCCTTGTTTATGTCAAAAGTATAATATTGGAGAAAGTATGAGGGAGGTTGTTACAATGGCCAAAGTGTCCTTCCCTTCTCCTTTGAGAACATCAGAAAAGGGAGACATAATAGGGCATTAACTCAAGGAGAAGGCATTGTGGCCAACATTGTACAAATCTGGCTGAGTAACAGAGCTTTGTATGTTTGTAGGAATATAGTTCCTAGACAGTGTATGAGCAATTAGTTCCTAGATAATTTTGATTACATTACAAGTCAAATATAGTCCCTTTATTTTGTTTTGAAATTAAGTTTTAAATGCTCTGTCTTGGGAAACAAGGCATATGTTAACAAATAACGATCCTCTTTTTTATGTTGCTTCACATTTGATTGAACTGAATTAGATAGAACAATTTTTTAAATTAATTTAATCCAGGTGGACTTACCCTGAGATTGAGTTTAACTGAGATCAGGATGAGGGAAATATGAGAAGAGAAAATGCATTTTTTTGAATCTGCATTCATGCAAATTCCTACTTGACGATAGCCACATAGATGATCAGTTGTCTTGTGGGATTATATCTGGAAGATCCTCTTAAATAAAAGTAGCTACCAGAAAGCTTCCCTTTGTGTTCCCTGTGTGTTCCCTGTGTAACACACAGGCACACACACAGATTTTTAAGAAAAAACAGAATGATTTCCCAGCTATCGACCCTATAATAAATTTTAGTTAAGGCTGATTGTAATGAACAATGAAACATTTCAAAATGCAGAGGTTTTTTTAAGATGAAAGGGATTTATTTCATTTTAACTTGTGTATTATTAATGGAGTACAAGTGCAATTTTGCTACATTGATATATTGCATTTTGATGACGCCAGGGCCTTCAGTATATTCATCACTGGAGCAACATACATTGTACCCACCAAGCAACCTCTCATTATCCACCCTCCCAACCCCCAACTTCTCCAAGTCCCCATTGTCTATGATTCCATACTCTGCTTCCATGTGTACATGTTATTTAGCTCCCACTTGTTAGTGAGAACATGTAATATTTGTCTTTCTGTGTCTGAGTTGTTTCACTTAAGATAATGGCTACCGGTTCCATCCATGTTGCTGCAAAAGACATGATTTTGTTATTTTTATGGTTCAATAGTATTCCATTGTGTATAGATACCATATTTTCCTCATCCAATTTTCCTTTGATGGATGCTTAAGTCAATTCCATATTTTTGATATTGTGAACAGTGCTATGATACACACAAGTGGAGCTAACTATTTGACGTAAAGATTTCTTTTCTTTGGGTTGATACCCAGTAGTGGGATTGCCAGATCATGTAGTAGCTCTATTTTTAGTTATTTGAGAAATCTCCATACTGTTTTACCAGAGAGTTTACATTCCCACCAACAGTGTATAAGTTCCCTTTTCTCTGTATCCTCTCTAACATCTGTTACTTTTGGTCTTCTCAATAATAGCCATGCAGAGAGATTTTTTATGTTACAGATGTACCCTAGTTTGGCTAGTTATAAAATTTCATGGTATAAATTTGAATATATATTTTATATATATATACGCTAAGAATGACAATGGAAAAGGGTGGATTTTCAGACAAGAAACTTTGTTCAGAATAAACCAAAAATTATTTAGGAATTTTGGTTTCTGATTAAATAATAAAAGCTAAATCTACAACTGGTTTCAAAAACAGATGATAACTAATTTATCATTACTAGCATCATCAAAAATATTGACTAATTGTGTATAAAAGAAAGAGAACAAAGGCAGGAAAACTAAATTCCTCCTTGGACTCTGCTGTAAACATTATCCACATTATTTTCTTTTATGTTCCCTAAGTTCCCTATGTATAAAATTGACCTGCTACAAGCCTTAAAAATTAATGAAATTATTATTTGGGAGTAAGTAAATCCAAATGATTATAAGCTTTTTGAGGGGAAAATCCCATTGGAAAAACATGTTGGTGTTTTGTTTTGTTTTGTTTTACTGCAACAACAAATAGTATAGTGGCTCACTTTCTTTTATAAAAATAATCTATATTATGTTATTTCCAGGATTTATTTTACATTATTTCCAAGAGATTTTACAAATCTTGGAAAACATAGAAAAAAAAAAAAGATTTGCTGCTGCTTTCTTTAGAATTAATATTTAATTGTGTGACAATAGAAGAATGCACTTGATTATTTCACTGTCATTAGAATTTTAGGTAATTTGCACAGTATTTTTATTGCATTCAATGTTTTCACTAATTTTTTTTATTTTTGTTCATCCTTTTCTGCACTGGAAGAGAATTTTAAACATGAAATGACCAGGTTACTCTTTTTAACCATAAGATACTCAGTTAAAAAATGGAAATTTTTGAGAATTTTAATAAATATCAACAGCTGTTTTTGTATTTTTTGGTTTTTTTTAAACTTTATTATTATTATACTTTAAGTTTTAGGGTACATGTGCACAACGTGCAGGTTAGTTACATATGTATACATGGGCCATGTTGGTGTGCTGCACCCATTAACTCGTCATTTAGCATTAGGTATATCTCCTAATGCTATCCCTCCACCCTCCACCTACCCCACAACAATCCCTGGTGTGTGATGTTCCCCTTCTTGTGTCCATGTATTCTCATTGTTCAATTCCCACCTATGAGTGAGAACATGTGGTGTTTGGTTTTTTGTCCTTGTGCGAGTTTGCTGAGAATGATGGTTTCCAGCTTCATCCATGTCCCTACAAAGGACATGAACTCATCCTTTTTTATGGCTGCATAGTATTCCATGGTGTATATGTGCCACATTTTCTTAATCCAGTCTATCATTGTTGGACATTTGGGTTGGTTCCAAGTCTTTGCTATTGTGAATAGTGCCGCAATAAACATATGTGTGCATGTGTCTTTATAGCAGCATGTTTTATAATCCTTTGGGTATATACTCATTAATGGGAAGGCTGGGTCAAAAGGCATTTCTAATTCTAGATCCCTGAGGAATTGCCACACTGACTTCCACAATGGTTGAACTAGTTTACAGTCCCACCAACAGTGTAAAAGTGTTCCTATTTCTCCAAATCCCCTCCAGCACCTGTTGTTTCCTGATTTTTTAATGATTGCCATTCTAACTGGTGTGAGATGGTATCTCATTGTGGTTTTGATTTGCATTTCTCTGATGGCCAGTGATGATGAGCATTTTTTCATATGTTTTTTGGCTGCATAAACGTCTTCTTTTGAGAAGTGTCTGTTCATATCCTTCGCCCACATTTTGATGGGGTTGTTTTTTTCTTGTAAATTTGTTTGAGTTCATTATAGATTCTGGACATTAGCCCTTTGTCAGATGAGTAGATTGCAAAAATTTTCTTCCATTCTGTAGGTTGCCTGTTCACTCTGATGGTAGTTTCTTTTGCTGTGCAGAAGCTCTTTAGTTTAATTAGATCCCATTGGTCAATTTTGGCTTTTGTTGCCATTGCTTTTGGTGTTTTAGACATGAAGTCCTTGCCCATGCCTATGTCCTGAATGGTATTGCCTAGGTTTTCTTCTAGGGTTTTTATGGTTGTAGGTCTAACATGTAAGTCTTTAATCCATCTTGAATTAATTTTTGTATAAGGTGTAAGGAAGGGATCCAGTTTCAGCTTTGTACATATAGCTAGCCAGTTTTCCCAGCACCATTTATTAAATAGGGAATCCTTTCCCCATTGCTTTTGTCAGGTTTGCCAAAGATCAGATAGTTGTAGATATGCGGCATTATTTCTGAGGGCTCTGTTCTGTTCCATTGGTCTATATCTCTCTTTTGGTACCAGTACCATGCTGTTTTGGTTATTGTAGCCTTGTAGTATAGTTTGAAGTCAGGTAGCGTGATGCCTCCAGCTTTGTTCTTTTGGTTTAGGATTGACTTGGCAATGCGGGTTCTTTTTTGGTTCCATATGAACTTTAAAGTAGTTTTTTCCAATTCTGTGAAGAAAGACATTGGTAGCTTGATGGGGATGGCATTGAATCTACAAATTACCTTGGGCAGCATGGCCATTTTCACAATATTGATTCTTCCTACCCATGAGCATGGAATGTTCTTCCATTTGTTTGTATCCTCTTTTATTTCATTGAGCAGTGGTTTGTAGTTCTCCTTGAAGAGGTCCTTCACGTCCCTTGTAAGTTGGATTCCTAGGTATTTTATTCCCTTTGAAGCAATTGTGAATGGGAGTTCACTCATGATTTGGCTCTCTGTTTGTCTGTTATTGGTGTATAAGAATGCTTGTGATTTTTGTACATTGATTTTGTATCCTGAGCCTTTGCTGAATTTGCTTATCAGCTTAAGGAGATTTTGGGCTGAGATGATGGGGTTTTCTAGATATACTATCATGTCATCTGCAAACAGGGACAATATGACTTCTTTTTTTCCTAATTGAATGTCCTTTATTTCCTTCCCCTGCCTGATTGCCCTGGCCAGAAATTCCAACACTATGTTGAATAGGAGTGGTGGGAGAGGGAATCCCTGTCTTGTGCCAGTTTTCAAAGGGAATGCTTCCAGTTTTTGCCCATTCAGTATGATATTGCCTGTGGGTTTGTCATAGATAGCTCTTATTATTTTGAGATATATCCCATCAATACCTAATTTATTGAGAGTTTTTAGCATGAAGCGTTTTTGAATTTTGTCAAAGGTCTTTTCTGCATCTATTGAGATAATCATGTGGTTTTTGTCTTTGGTTCTGTTTATATGCTGGATTACGTTTATTGATTTTCATATGTTGAACCAGCCTTGCATCCCAGGGATGTAGCCCACTTGATCATGGTGGATAAGATTTTTGATGGGTTGCTGGATTCGGTTTGCCAGTATTTTATTGAGGATTTTTGCATGAATGTTTATCAGGGATATTGGTCGAAAAATTCTCTTTCTTTGTTGTGTCTCTGCCAGGCTTTGGTATCAGCATGATGCTGGCCTCATAAAATGAGTTAGGGAGGATTCCCTCTTTTTCTATTGATTGGAATAGTTTCAGAAGGAATGGTACCAGCTCCTCCTTGTACCTCTGGTAGAATTCGGCTGTGAATCCATTTGGTCCTGGACTTTTTTTTGGTTGGTAAGCTATTAATTATTGCCTCAATTTCACAGCTTGTTATTGGTCTATTCAGAGATTCAACTTCTTCCTGGTTTAGTCTTGGGAGGGTGTATGTGTCGAGGAATTTATCCATTTCTTCTAGATTTTCTAGTTTACTTGCATAGAGGTGTTTATAGTATTCTCTGATGGTAGTTCGTATTTCTGTGGGATCGGTGGTGATATCCCCTTTGTCATTTTTTATTGGGTCTATTTGATTCTTCTCTATTTTCTGCTTTATTAGTCTCGCTAGCGGTCTATCAATTTCGTTGATCTTTTCAAAAAACCAGCTTCTGGATTCCTTGATTTTTTTGAAGGGTTTTTTGTGTCTCTATTTCCTTCAGTTCTGTTCTGATCTTAGTTATTTCTTGCCTTCTGCTAGCTTTTGAATGTGTTTGCTCTTGCTTCTCTAGTTCTTTTAATTGTGATGTTGGGTATCAATTTTAGATCTTTCCTGCTTTCTCTTGTGTGCATTTAGTGCTATAAATTTCCCTCTACACACTGCTTTGAATGTGTCCCAGAGATTCTGGTATGTTGTGTCTTTGTTCTCATCGGTTTCAAAGAACATCTTTATTTATGCCTTCATTTCATTATGTACCCAGTAGTCATTCAGGAGCAGGTTGGTCAGTTTCCATGTAGTGGAGCGGTTTTGAGTGAGTTTCTTAATCCTGAGTTCTAGTTTGATTGCACTGTGGTCTGAGAGACAGTTTGTTATAATTTCTGTTCTTTTACATTTGCTGAGGAGTGCTTTACTTCCAACTATGTGGTCAATTTTGGAATAGGTGTGGTGTGGTGCTGAAAAGAATGTATATTCTGTTGATTTGGGGTGGAGAGTTCTGTAGACGTCTGTGAGGTCTGCTTGGTGCAGAGCTGAGTTCAATTCCTGGATATCCTTGTTAACTTTCTGTCTCCTTGATCTGTCTAATATTGACAGTGGGGTATTAAAGTCTCCCATTATTATTTTGTGGGAGTCTAAGTCTCTTTGTAGGTCACCTAGGACTTGCTTTGTGAATCTGGGTGCTCCTGTATTGGGTGCATACATATTTAGGATAGTTAGTTCTTCTTGTTGAATTGATCCCTTTACCATTATGTAATGGCCTTCTTGGTCTCTTTTGATCTTTGTTGGTTTAAAATCTGTTTTATCAGAGACTAGGATTGCAACCCCTGCCTTTTTTTGTTTTCCATTTACTTGGTAGATCTTCCTCCATCCCTTTATTTTGAGTCTATGTGTGTCTCTGCATGTGAGATGGGTTTCCTGAATACAGCACACTGATGTGTCTTGACTCTATCCAATTTGCCAGTCCGTGTCTTCTCATTGGAGCATTTAGCCCATTTACATTTAAGGTTAATATAGTTATGTGTGAATTTGATCCTGTCATTATGATGTTAGCTGGTTATTTTGCTCATTAGTTGATGCAGTTTCTTCTTAGCCTGGATGGTCTTTACAATTTGGCTTGTTTTTGCAGTGGCTAGTACCAGTTGTTCCTTTCCATGTTTAGTGCTTCCTTCAGGAGCTCTTTTAGGGCAGGCCTGGTGGTGACAAAATCTCTCAGCATTTGCTTGTCTGTAAAGGATTTTATTTCTCCTTCACTTACGAAGCTTAGTTTGGCTGGATATGAAAATTCTGGGTTGAAAATTCTTTTGTTTAAGAATGTTGAATATTGGCCCCCACTCTCTTCTGGCTTGTAGAGTTTCTGCCAAGAGTTCAGCTGTTAGTCTGATGGGCTTCCCTTTATGGGTAACCCGACCTTTCTTTCTGGCTGCCCTTATCATTTTTTCCTTCATTTCAACTTTGGTGAATCTGACAATTATGTGTCTTGGAGTTGCTCTTCTCAAGGAGTATCTTTGTGGCGTTCTCTGTATTTCCTGAATTTGAATGTTGGCCTGCCTTGCTAGATTGGGGAAGTTCTCCTGGATGATATCCTGCAGAGTGTTTTCCAACTTGGTTCCATTCTCCCCATCACTTTAAGGTACACCAATCAGACGTAGATTTGGTCTTTTCACATAGTCCCATATTTCTTGGAGACTTTGTTCATTTATTTTTATTCTTTTTTCTCTAAACTTCTCTTCTCACTTCATTTCATTCATTTCGTCTTCCGTTGCTGATACCCTTTCTTCCAGTTGATCGCATCAGCTACTGAGGCTTGTGCATTCGTCAAGTAGTTCTCGTGCCTTGGTTTTCAGCTCCATCAGGTCCTTTAAGGACTTCTCTGCATTGGTTATTCTAGTTAGCCATTCGTCTATTTTTTTTTTTTCAAGGTTTTTAACTTCTTTGCCATGGGTTCGAACTTCCTCCTTTAGCTCAGAGTAGTTTGATCTTCTGAAGACTTCTACTCTCAACTCATCAAAGTGATTCTCCATCCAGCTTTGTTCCATTGCTGGTGAGGAGCTGCGTTCCTTTGGAGGAGGAGAGGTGCTCTGATTTTTAGAGTTTCCAGTTTTTCTGCTCTGTTTTTTTCCCCATCTTTGTGGTTTTATCTACCTTTGGTCTTTGATGATGGTGACATACAGATGGGTTTTTGGTGTGGATGTCCTTTCTGTTTGTTAGTTTTCCTTCTGACAAACAGTCAGGACCCTCAGCTGCAGGTCTGTTGGAGTTTGCTGGAGGTCCACTCCAGACCCTGTTTGCCTGGGTATCAGCAGTGGTGGCTGCAGAACAGCGGATATTGGTGAACCGCAAATGCTGCTGCCTGATCGTTCCTCTGGAATTTTTGTTTCAGAGGAGTACCCAGCCGTTTGAGGTGTCGGTCCGCCCCTACTGGGGGGTGCCTCCCAGTTAGGCTTCTCAGGGGTCAGGGACCCACTTGAGGAGGCAGTCTGCCTGTTCTCAGATCTCAAGCTGCATGCTGGAAGAACCACTACTCTCTTCAAAGCTGTCAGACAGGGACATTTAAGTCTGCAGATGTTACTGCTGCCTTTTGTTTGTCTGTGCCCTGCCCCCAGAGGTGGAGCCTACAGAGGCAGGCAGGTCTCCTTGAGCTGTGATGGGCTCCACCCAGTTTGAGCTTCCTGGCTGCCTTGTTTACCTACTCAAGCCTCGGCAATGGCGGGCACCCCTCCCCCATCCTTGCTGCTGCCTTGCAGTTTGATCTCAGACTGCTGTGCTAGCAATGAGTGAGGCTCCGTGGGCATAGGACCCTCCAATCCAGGTGTGGGATATAATCTCCTGGCGTGCTGTTTGTCAAGCCTGTTGGAAAAGCACAGTATTAGGGTGGGAGTGACCTGATTTTCCAGGTGCCGTCTGTCACCCCTTTCTTTGACTAGGAAAGGGAATTCCCTGACCCCTTGCCCTTCCTGGGTGAGGCGATGCCTCGCCCTGCTTCGGCTGATGCACGGTGCACAGCACCCACTGTCCAGCACTCCCCAGTGAGATGAACCCGGTACCTCAGTTGGAAATGCAGAAATCATCCGTCTTCTGTGTTGCTCAGGCTGGGAGCTGTAGACTGGAGCTGTTCCTATTCGGCCATCTTGGCTCCACCCCCCTCAACAGTTGTTTTAACAAAACATACATACATAAGGTTTATTCATAATGCTTCTATGTCTTGCAGTTCTGGGGAACAGCTGTCTTCATGAAAAGGTTTTCTGAAAATTACACAGGCTGACCTTGTTTTATCCACTGTTATCATCCCATTCCTCCCATTCCTAATAAATTAACAGAACAAATTATCAATAGTAGCAGTTTCAGATGCCATCTCCAGTAAGATCACTACAGAAATTAAGAAAATATAAATAAAATAAAGATAAATAAGAAAGATCCATAAAAAATATTTTTGATACTTTGCTGTAATTCCTTTAATTCCTGTTATAATTTGTACAGTTAATCATTCCTATTTTTGGACAAAATTATTGTTTCCAATTTTAAGATGTTTATTGCAGCAAATTTCCTTTTAACTTTTTTTAAATTTTGAAGGAAATCCTAAATACACCTTAAACCTCTGTCTCCTTGAATAGAAAATAAAAGTACTGTTTTATCTTTTATTGCTATGTCTGTATCATCACCATGAACATGAAGTTATACCCTGCAGCAATATCCTCTATAGTCATTGAGATGTATACATGTCTCACCTTTCACACAAGGGGGCAAGCTCTGTCTAAGGATGTTTGTGTATATGTGTTTGAATTTAAACACTGAAATATCATCTGCATCCTCACACAGATTTCTCCAAAAAATATCATTTTGTTCATGCCAACCTGCATCAAAATATTCATTTTTATTCGTTTACCTAGTAGGAATCTGGGAGTGATTATCTATAAATTTCTGTTCCCAATATTTAAAATCTTTTTATACACAGAAAAAAAGTGGTTTCCTATCCAGTCCTTTTTTACTAAATAAGTGTATAGTTGGTAGTGGTTTCTGTCTATGAACCAATGTATCACTCACTCACGTCTTTGGATAATGCAGGTCATTATTCTTCCTGGTGCCAAACTTAATCAGAAAATCTGAGCTTGGGTTTTCAGAGATGACTTATTACATTAGCTACTGGACATTAACAAGAAAAACAATGCAACTGTAGACTGAAACGTCTGTGATAACTTGATTATCAAATGTATTATGTCAATCCAGGCAAGCAGATGTTATAGCTCTGTGGCTGTTTTATATGAGCTGCTGGAGGAAACACAGAGAATGCTTTTTAAATCAATAAAGCATATGATAGTAATGATAAGGAGCGAATATCCACTCTAATAACTTTTAGATGATATTCTCTTTGGCAATGGTTGTTTTGGGATATCTTTTGAGAGATTTTCTTTTACGTTCAATCCAACTGTGATTCATTCTCATCCAACAAGGAGCTGGATATGATTTTATTCTTTGAAAAACCCCAGGGGCATGACATAGAAGTTTAGGCATTTCACAAATAATTACACACATTTGATAAAACCAATTCTCACTTAGTTTAGTGTTAAGAAGGAAAGAATTGCTCTGGGCACATCTAATGACCTTCCCACTGTAGACAAGGAAGATTTCTCTGTGTGGAGGATGTAATTGGGTAAAAAGATTCAGACTCTTGAACCACCTGAATCTGACCCTGTTTTATAGATTTTAAGCCTGTAGCTGCTTCTTCACAAAGTGTCAGGCTTTCTCAGTTAGGTAGGTAATGTTGTGAAATCATTGCATAGCTACCCTGGAGGTTTTGTTTATTTTTTCTTCTGTTTGTTTTTGAATACTTTTACCCTGTGACTTTTCAAAAGCTCTTTATGACATTGATTTTATAGAAATAGTAATATCTACTTTCTGTGCTATATACATTAGTCAAGCAGTTGCCACATGATTGGCCAGCATAATTGATGAGAAAAAAAGAAATTAAAAACAATTTTCAAATTTCTTGTATTATCATCTTTAAATGCTACTTACAATAGAATGTCAACTTAGGCAGAAAGAAACATGAAATTAGAAAATTTCCATTTGGCAACAACCATAATAATAGTTGTTTAAATAAGAATTATCAGAAGTTACTAAATGTAGAAGATGAACAGCTGATGAGAAACAAGATATTTACTATACTTCCTGACAAGGTACTTATTAATTACGAACACTAAAACAGCAATTCTGCAATGTAGAAACCTGGCAAATACTACCTTAACTAGGTGATTAAAGTTAACTTCACATGTAATATGACAAATATACATCACATCCCTCCTCATGAATGCTTAACCAAAAGTACAGTATCTCTTCTTGGTGTCTCTGAAAAAAATGTATGACTTGAATTAATTAAATTACAAGATGACATCAGAAAAATGTGAATTTATTTTATAAAATAAGGGGCCTGTACTCTTCAAAAATGTCAAGGACATGAAAGGAAAAGAAAGGCTAATGAATTCTTCTGGATTAAAGAAGACTAATGAGAATGCCAACTAAATGCAATATGTCATTCTGGCTTTGGTCCTGGACAAAAAATTTGTTTCTTTTTTTACAAAGAACATTAGTTAGGCAATGAAATTTTAATGAGGAATGTAAATTATAAAATAATGCTTTTTAATATTAATTTCCTGAATTGAATCATTGTATTTTGCTTATTTATGAGAATGTCTGATTTTTAAGGAACTATAAACTGAACTACTTGGGGTGAAAGAATATCCTGTCTACAACTTACTTCCAATGATTCAGAAAATATATATGTATGTACAGACTGAGAAATAGGAAGAATGACAATGCAAATGGGGGAAATGTCAACATTTGGGGAATCTAGTTGAAGTATTTGAGAAATCTGGCTATAATTAATTTTTTAAAAAATCTAAAATGATTTTGAATTTAAGAAACAAATCTATCATCCATTTTCATCTCTGATTTGGAAAAAGAAAAACATAGAACTTGCCACTCCTGTCTTTATAATTAGTAAGTGAAAAATCAACAACTTTTCTTGGACCCACATGAGACCTGAGGTTGTAGATAGAACCAGTTGACACACTAAAACGTGGAGAAACAGGAGAATCGAGAGAAATATAGCCAAGATCTGCTAACCTGGAGCAGAAAGTTCTGGAACCATTAATTAATATTTAAATGAGAATTTTGACAAACTATTGGAGGCTAAGTGTGGATTAGCATGAGAGTGAAGAACTACTTAAGAGGGCCCCCACACTTTCATGGCTTTATCCCCAGGAACCCCATCAGGAGTTATCGCCATGAAGAATGAAGAAAGAATCCAAAATCTACCCTGGCAATGGAAGAGAAAAAGTAATCATTGTGAAATATCCCCAGGGTAGTCTCCATAACATAAGAGGAAAAAAGGCATTACAGGAGATTTATTCTACTTGAGGAAAAGATATTTCTCAGACTCCAGCATTCTCTAGCCTTATTGTCTCAAGCATCAAAAAAGAAACAACAACAACAACAAACACAAGCTGTACCACTAAAATAACTATTGTGAATATCAAAGACCGGGGACACAGAACTACTAAAAGATTGAATTTAACTATAAGGTTATAGAACACTTTCCATCCTTGATACCTCACCACCATCCAAACAATGCTCCAATATAATGAGAATGGATTGCAGCCTAAAAGAGCTGCCAGACACTGACTCTATAAAAAAGAGATTCTAGGAAAGGCCAAAATAAAAATGGCGAAAGAGATAGCTAGAGGCAAAACTAAACATTGGCTTCTAGCCAGATCAACATAAAATCTCACACTAAAAGCCTGTTTACCTCAAATCTTATTACATGGTATTCAACAAAAAATTTACAAGGCATGTTAAAGGCAAGAAAAACCACAGACTGAAGAGACCAAATAAGGACAAGAACCAGACTGATATATGACATAGATGTTAGGATTATCAGACATTGGGTTTAATAACTAACTATGATTAATATGTTTAGGACTTCAGTGAAAAAAGGCAACATGCAAAAACAAGTGTGTGTAAGCAGTGACGGGAACTATAAGAATCAAAAGAAAATGCTAAAAATCGAAAACACTGTAACAGAAGTAAAGAATGCCCCTGATGAGCTCATTAGTAGACTGGACATAGAGAAGGAAAGAATCAGTGAGCCTGAGGAGAGATCATTATAAACTGCCCCAACTGACATGTAAAAAGATTGAAAGAAAAATAAAAACAGAACATCAATAAACAGGGCCAATATCAAAAGTTGTAACACACATGTAATGGGAATACCAGAAGGAGAATAAACATGAAATGGAGTAGAATAAATATTCAAAGCAATATTTACTAAGAATTTGCTGAATTTAATGACAGGCATGAAGCCACAAATTCAGGAGGCTCAGAGAACACCAAAGAGGATAATTACCAAAAAAATACAACTAGTTATATTATAATCAAACTACAGAAAATAGAAGACAAAAAGAAAATCTTTAAAAAAATATAGCAAGAGGTAAAAGAAGTAGTTGCTTACCTGTAAGATTCAAGAGTAAAAATTACAGTAGACTTATCAGAATTCGGGCAGACAAAAAGAAATTAGACTAAATTATTTAAGTTGAGAGAACCAAAAACCAAACCAAAACAAACAACAAACAAAAACACCTAGAGTTTTATATCCAGCAAATTTATCCTTTAGAAATGAAGGAGAAATAAATATCTTCTCAAAGAAAAACTAAAAATTATTTGCTAGCAGACCCGTCCAACAAGAAATATTAAAATAATTTTTTCAGGGAAAATGAAAGTGATATACCTCAGAAACATTGATCTACATTTAAAAAGCAAGAATGTCAGAGAAGGAAAAAGGAAGTCGAAATTATTATCCTTATTTTTTATTTATCTAAAAGATAACTGAAATATTAATAATACTGTTACTAATATGTTGGTGTTTAAGTGGTAAGCACCCAATACATTAAGCACCAATACAGTATGAACATTATTAACAGGAATGTCATAATAGGAGGAAGAAGTTGAGAAAACTTCTTCAGAAGGTACTGTACTACATGTGAAGCAGCATAATATATAATTTGAAGCTAGACACATTAGTTAAAACTGTATTTTGAAAGCTCCAACAGAAGCACTAAACAAACAAAATTTTTTTAAAAATATTTAAATCCTATATTACATTGAATTATATAAAATACTAAATTAAAACCAGAGAAGACAGAAAAAAATTAAAAATGCAACAAATAGAAAATACATTGTTATTAATTCAACTATATTAATAAGCACTTCAAATGTGACTGGTCTAAATACATCAATTGAAAGAAGTAGGTTGTCAGAGTAGGTATAGAAACAGACCCACTATTTCTTATTTATCAGAAGCCAACTTAAAAAAAACTCAGATAGTTTAAAAGTAACAAGGATTCCCCCTTTACCCACTTCTATCCAACATAGTACTGGCAGTCTGTATTAGTCTGTTCTCATGCTGCTAATAAAGACATACTTGATACTGGGTAATTTATAAAGGAAGGAGGTTTAATGCACTCACAATTCCACCTGGCTGGGGAGGCCTCACACTCATGGCAGAAAGCAAATGAGGAGCAAAGTCATGTCTTACATGATGGCAGGCAAGAGAGATTGTGTAGGGGAACTCCCCTTTATAAAACCATCACATCTTGTGAGACTTATTCCCTATCAGGAGAACAGCATGGGAAAGACCCGCCCCCATGGTTCAATTAGCTACCACCAGGTCCCTCCCATAACATGTGGAAATTATGGAAGCTATAATTCAAGATGAAATTTGGGCAGGGACACAGCCAAACCATATCATGATCTTAGCCAGAGCAATTAGACAAGAGAAAAAGAAATAAATGAAATCCAATTTGGAAAAGAGGAAGTCAAATTGTCACTGTTCGCTGATCATATGATCATACAGCTAGAAAACCCAAATAGGTCCTAGACATGATAAATGAATCCAGTAGTCTCAGGATACAAAGTCAATGGACACAAATCAGTAGCACTACTATACACTACCAACAACCAAACTGCGATTCAAATCAAGAACTCAATCCCTTTTAGAACAGCTGTAAAACAAACAAACAAAAAACCCTTAGGAATATACTTAACCAAGGAGGTGAAAGATTTCTACAAGAAAAACTGCAAAACACTGCTGAAGGAAATCATAGATGACACAAACAAATGGAAACACATCTCATGCTCGTGGATGGGTAGAATCAATATTGTGAAAATGACCATACTGCCAAAAGCAATCTACAGATTCAATGCAGTTCACATCAAAACACCATCATCATTTTTCACAGAACTAGAAAAAGCATTCTAAAATTCCTATGGAGCCAAAAAAGTATTGAATAGCCAAAGCAATACTAAGCAAAAAGAACAAATCTGGAGACATCACATCACCAAATTCATATTACACTACAAGGCTACAGTTACCAAAACAGCTTGTATAAAAGTGGGCACACCGATCAGTGGATGAGAATAGAGATCCCAGAAATAGAGCCAAATATTTATCTTCAATAAAGCATACAAAAATATAAAGTTGGGAAAGGCTATATTCAATTAATGGTGCTGGAAAAACTAGCAAGCCATATGTTGAAGAATGGAACTGAATCATCTCTTACCTTATACAAAAATCTACTCCAGATGGATCAAAGACATAAATCTAACACTGAAACCCATAAAAATTCTAGAAGATAGCATCTGAAAACTCTTCTGAACATTGGTTTAAGCAAATAATTCATGACTAAGAACCCTAAGGCAAATGCCACAAAACAAAAAATAAATAAATGGGACTGTGATGGTTAATACGAAGTGCCAACTTGATTGGATTGAAGGATACAAAGCACGTTTCCAGGGCGTGTCTGTGAGGGTGTTGCCAAAGGAGATTAACATTTGAGTCAGTGGACTGGGAGAGGCAGACCCATCCTCAATCTGGGTTATCACCATCTAATCAGCTGCCAGTGTGGCTAAAATAAAGCAGGGAGGAGAAGATGGAAGAGCAGACTTGCTGAGTCTTCTGGCCTTCATCTTTATTCCGTGAAGCATGCTTCCTGCCCTCAAACATCAGACTCCAAGTTCTTCAGTTTTTGGACTCTTGAACTTACACTAGTGGTTTGCAAGGGACTCTCAGGCCTTTAGCCACAGACTGATGACTGCACTATCAGCTTCTCTACTTTTGAGGTTTTGGGGCTTGGACTGGTCCACCACTGGCTTCCTTGCTCCTCAATTTGCAGATGGCCTATTATGGGACTTCACCTTGTGATTGTGTATAAACTCCCTTTCATATATTCATATATCCTGTTAGTTCTGTCCCTCTAGAGAACCGTGACTAATACAGGGACCTAATTAAACTAAAAAGCTTCTGCACAGCAAAAGAAATAATCAGCGGAGTGAACAGACAACCCACCGAGTGGGAGAAAATATTCTCAAACTATGCATCCGACAAAGAACTAATATCCAGAATCTAAAAGTAACTCAAACAAATCAGCAAGAAAAAAACAAACATTCTCATCAAAAAATGGGCAAAGGACATAAATACAAAATTCTCAAAAAAGGATGTACCCACAAGCCGTGCCTCCATAGCACAGCAGGCAGGACGTCTGTCTCATAATCAGAAGATATACAAATAGCCAACAAACATATGAGAAAATGCTCACCATCACTATTTATCAGGAAATGCATATTAAAGCCACAGTGAGATACCATGTGAGAATGGCCATAATTAAAATGTTAAAAAATAATATATGTTGGCATGGATGTGGTGAAAAAGGAAAACTTCTACACTGCTGGTGGGAATATAAACTAGTACAACCACTGTGGAAAAACAGTATTCTCACATGACATTGTTGTCTCTATAGCAAATACCCAAGAATTGACAACAAATCTCCTGAACTAGTCAAATAGGATCCAAAGTTAATATGCAAAAGTTAATTGCTTTCCTTTAAACCAGCAATGAACAATTGAAATTTGAAATTAAAAACATAGTACCATGTACAATTACACCAAAAAATAAAATACACATGAATCTAAGTATATACTGGATCTATATGCAGAAATCTACAGTCTTCTGATGAATTGATCAAAGAAGATTTAAATAAATGGAGAGAAATTTTGCATTTATGAATCCGAAGACTAATTACTGTGAAGATTTCAGTTCTTTTCATCTTGATTTATAGATCATCATGTTCTCAATCAAAATAGCAAGCTATTTGTAGATATTGACAAACTGACTCTAAAGTTTCTACAGAAAGTTAAAAGACATAAAACAGTAAACATAATATTGAAGATAAAAAAACAAAGTTGCTATACTCACATTACCCAATTTCAAGACTTACTATAAAGCTATAGTAATTAAGATTGAGATTTTGTTGAAAGAATAAACTTATATAGATCATAGGTATAGAATAGATAGCCTAGGAATAGATTAATACAAATATAAGCAACTGATTAATGTAAAAAAAAAAAAAACCCACAGGAGCTAACTGAAAGATCTCTAAATGAACAAAGTTGGAACAATTTGAGCAACAAAATAACGCATAATTTGATTAAAATCTGGAGTATAAAATACATATCTATGAGTCCATACTGATACAAGGACACTCAATATACAAATGGGTAAGAATAGGCCTATTTTCTCTGCAGAATAATTTTAAATAATTTACGTAGCTACTCCATGCTCAAGGATGTGGAAAATTAGTTATCTTGTTGAAGTGTGCATTGCACTTCCTTCCAAAAGAAAATGGAGGAAAAGAGTAGTTTTACAGTGAATAAACAGGAGAAATACTACTTTAGCCAGGTGATTAGGGTTATCAGCAATAACAAATCATTGTTATTATTTTGATAATATGTACATTTGATATGATGTGATGAAAAGTGACACTCACCTCTCAGAAGCCCGTAACTCCAAGTCTAATCATGAACAAAATACCAGATAAATTTCAATTAGTGACATTCTATAAAATATCTCAATATTTTCAGGGTCATCTAAACAAGGAAAGCCTGAGAAACTATCACAGCCAAGAGAAATCTAAGAAGACACTCCTACTCAATGTAATGCAGTCCCTGTATGGTATCATGAAATACAGAAAGAACATTAGGTAAAAACTTGAGAAATGACAATAAAGTATACACTTTAGTTAATGATAATAGATCAATATTGGTTCATTAACTGTAATAAATCTACTATACAATGTAGCATACAAATGTAAGATACTGCAGGAACCTGGCTGTGCAATAAATGGGAACTCATTATGTTTACAATGTTTGCATAAATCTAAAACTATTTTAAAACAAAGTTTTTAAAAGAAATATTTTAAAAATCAGTAAAACCTGAGAACACAATAAAGTCATTTGTTACCAGAGAGAGATTGTTTGGGAAAAGAGTGGGTTGAAGGGTGAGAAAATAAGTTTAACCTTTTCAAGTGTTTATGAGGACAGCTACATGGATATATTTTGCAGTAAGCCGAATATTCAGGTTTGGTCTTAGGAGAAAGGTCTTAATTAGAAGTTTAATTCTGGAACACAAACACCAAGGCTGAATTCAGTCAATAATGTAGATCAGAATACTCAGGAAGAGTTTCAGAAATGTTAAAAGGCAAAAGTCTGGGGGAATTATAACTTTAAAAAGTAGAATGTGAAAGTAGGTGAGGAGCCAGAAGAAAATGGTGTCCTATAAGAGAAGAGAGAGGCATTTTCATAAGTGGAGAGGGTAAAAAAGACACACAAAAATTACAACAATGCATTTACCAAGGGTCAGAATTTTTAACATGCTTTTCTTATTTTGAACTGGAATTTTCAGTTGACGTATACAATTAATTAATGGGCTTTAAAATCAGTTTATAATGATTGGTATTATTTTAAATGAAATATAATGAAGTGGAATAGAAAATATGAAATTCATCACACACAGGAAAATGTTACATTCACCTTAAAAAGGTGAAATGGCTCAAAAATTTTGGTCCTTTATGGACGCTAATGATGGCATATATGCACCAAGAAAGTGTAAAAGATTTATTATCCACATCAAAGGATTTCTGAGGAAAGTAAGAAAGCTCCCAGGCAGGTTCAAAAATGACTTGAGAGAGTCACGAAAGAAGAATGGATGAGGCTTTTATGGTGGTCAGGGAGCAGAGCCATGATGAATATTCCCACGTGTCATCTGAGCCTTGGGCGATTTGAAATCCTACACCCATCTTAGCCCCAAAGAGTCAGCTTTCTTATTAATTTTCCTAGATGTGAAGTAAGAGACAAAGCGGGGAATGGTGGGATATGAAATCTGTAAGCAGTCAAACATCAAAAGCAGAAGCTCACTCTTTATCACAGCAAGCAGTATTTCAGGAAAGCTTTTATCAGTAGTATGTGTGTGAGTGCATGTAGATCGTATTTCGCAAAATGTAGTATTTTAGATGTGGTCTAAAAAGTTTAAAAGTTTGAAAGTCAAGAACCTAAAAGTTATTGAACAGGTTACATTAAATTATAACTCAACTTAAAGAGCACAGAGTAATAGATTTTTCCCTCCAAATTCATCACCAAATTAAATGTAGAAATGAATTTTAATGGTCTTACTCAGGCTCTTGCTGTCTCTCTTTTCTTTTATTCCAGGGGATTTAAGGACTGGGAAATTTAAAGTCCATTTATTAACACTCTTGCTTCCTGCCAAGCCATTTGATTCATCTGAGCTACACCACTAAAATTATTTCATTTAGTTTCATCTTGAAAATCAGAACTTGTGCTCCAATCGTAGAATAGATTTACATTTCCTAACAATCTTGTTATAAAATCCTTGAACTTCTCAGTCATGGTATCAGTCTCACATCATCTTACTTGGATTCTTCACTTTCTCCTATTGTTCTCCACACTTAGAGAAAGATTTTTTGAACCTTTAGAATCCACAAAGACAGAAATTCAAAATTACATTTGTCTGTCTGGTAAAGGTACTTAAATATTATTTAGTTTACCTAGATACCAATACAGATTCTATAATACATCCCATTATTAAGCATAAGTAATTAGAAACTTTATTTATTTTGGTCAGTCTACATATACATTTAGAACTTCTTTGGCCTCATGACTCCTTCTGCTGACCCTTTCTCCCAATATTGACCTTTACTGTAGCACTATATAATTTTCCTCTGTATTAGGGAATGTTAGCGTTTATCCAATTATCTAATTATTTCATTTTTTCCAGAGTACTTTTCAAATCTCTATGATTTCAGCCTTTTTTCCCTGCTTAAGCAATGCAATGAAGTTGACGTCAACCATACACACATATTTATACACATACACCCACACATTCACATCCTTATCTTTTTAATAGACAAATAGAAAATGTTGATTAAAATGATATCACTTTGCAACGTTAATTGGACCGTGATCTCACTGTATAATAAGCTTCCATTTAGAAAACATTTGCTATGTGAGGTGTTTTTGGACACTGCATTTTAGATTAGAACCTAATTGAATATATAGTATGTGGCCTTAAAAAGTACAATTACCACTTTTTAAAAGAACAACATAAATTGCTGTGTAATCTGACAAAGTGAGTGTTGTTCATCTAGAAGCAATGTGTGTGCGTTGAGAGTGATGTGAGGAGAAAGGGAGAGCAAAGACGTATTTCTATTTTGTTTGTTTTTCCTCCTTTCATATTTCTTTTTAAAATTTTTTTCTACTTCCATAGCTTTTGGTGGAGCAGGTGGTATTTGCTTACGTGTGTAAGTTCTTTAGTGGTGATTTGTGAGATTGTTGGTGCACCCATCACCCAAGCAGTATACACTGAACCCAATACCCAATTTGTAGTCCTTTATACTTCACCCCCTTCCCATCGTTTCCCCCCGAGTCCCTAAAGTCCACTGTATTCTTCTTATGCCTTTGCATCCTTATAGTTTAGCTCCCACTTATAAATGAGAATGTATGATGTTTGGTTTTCCATTCCTGAGTTACTTCACTTGGAATAATAGTCTCTAATCCTATCCAGGTTGTTGCAAATGCAATCAATTCATTCCTTTTTTATAGCTGAGTAGTATTCAATGGTATATATTCAATTCAATGGTATATTGAATTGGTATATATACACACACACCATTGAATTGGTATATATATATATATATATATATATATATATACACACCATTGAATTGTGACATATATATCTATATATCTGTATCTCTATATATCTATATCTATATCTATATCTATGTATCACAATTTCTTTATCCACTCGTTGACTGATGGGCATTTGGGTTGGTTCCACATTTTTGCAACTGTAAACTGTGCTGCTATAAACATGCGTGTGCAAGTATCTTTTTCATATAATGACTTCTTTTCCTCTGGGTAGATACCCTATAGTGGGATTGTTGGATCAAATGGTAGCTCTACTTTTAGTTTTTCAAGGAACCTCCACACTGTTTTCCATAATGGTTGTACTAGTTTACATTCCCGCCAGCAGTGTAAAAGTGTTGCCTTTCACTGCATCCATGCCAACATCTATTTTGCCAATAAGCACATGAAAAAGTTCTCAGCATCACTAATGATCAGAGAAATGCAAATCAAAACCACAATGCCATAGATACCACCTCACTCCCACAAGAACGGCCTCCTTTTCTATTTCTAATAATTTTTATCAATAAGTTGAGCACTTTTCATGTCTTCTTTTCTTATCCATTCTTTTAAAATTATTTTTCTATTACCTTTCTTTTTCTCTTGCTTCTTTTTTACTGTCTATTCCTTTTTTATTTTCTTAAATGTTGTAAAATAGATATAGATGGACTGGTGAAACAAAGTTGATACGATAAAAGGAAATAAATATGGGTCTTTTATGCACTTAAATTCTACCCATTATAAAGTTCCTTTATTTAAATTTTCAAAAATGCCGAAGGTTGGTCTGAACTTCCATTTGGAAAAGAGTCAGAGAAAGTGCGTAGTCTTGCTCACAGTAGAGAGGCAAAGATAAACTAGCTATTATAGTCTACATACCATATGGTCTTCAACTGATTATAATAAGATTTCCTTTGAAAAAAATCACCTTACAGACCAACAGGGAGAGGTATCATCCATTACTGTTGACATATCCTTTTCAGAATCCATCATATGGCATTTCAATATACCATGTGCTTCAAATTCCAAAAGAAACACATTTCATTAAAATGCCTTGGCTCATTTTCAAGGTCTCATTTTTATTAACCTTAATTGCTCTACCCCCAGATATCCAAAACTGTTACTGTATAATTGAGCCACAACTTTGACTTTTCAGAATGCCTGAGAAATACATTTGTCTACTAATATAGATTATTCATATAATAATGTGTGTGGAACGAATCATTCAACCATTGTTGTTTAAGGTGATGTATTATCTTAAGTTGTAAGTTTCAAAGCTCTAGGACAAAACAACAGAAGATGAAAAAATGAAGTTTAACAAGTAGTTATCAAGCAAGTTACATACTACACAAAAGTAAAAGTACATTAATGTGTTACCTATATATTTGACATATTTTTGCCTAAATCATCAATTAAAACGTTGAGTAAGAAAGAGTATTATTCTATGAGAGACTTTCTTCAAAAATGGCATAATTAATAATGAACTTGTTTTCATAATAATATTCAACTAGATATCTAATACCTCTATCTCTCAACCCATATATTAAGCCTAATCTAAAAATTGGGAATACCAAATAAATTGTTAAATTTCTTACTAATCTCATGATAAACATAACTGCTATTATTGGCAATATCTATATTTAGAGCAATACTTTTGAACACATCTGTATTTGTTAATAATAAATCACTTTGCTCCTAGGCCACAATATTTCATTGCCTGAAAAATAACCAAATGTTTCCTAATTTAGTCTAAGAATTCTAGAAATCAACATGAAATTTACCATTTGGCTCTAGTTTCCAGAAAGCTTTTTTTTTTTTCTTAATCATGATATTTGCCTATCTTCATTATTTGTTGTATTTCCATTCATCATTATCTTTTAAAGACCATCAAACCAAGCACTGATATTGTTTCAACATGTCACTCAGCTCCTGGGGTAAGTTTTAACACAACAATAAATTGAAAGAGACCAGGTATCGGTTCAGTGCCATGTCATGACGGAAAGTTTGAAAATAATCAAAACTAGATTTTACAACCCTGAAGTCATCATTCACGGTGTTAACATTAAGAACGGTGTGTTATAAAGATAATTTTTTAACACAGCCATACTCTGATACCTGCAGAATAAGAGTAGAAGTCGTCTAAGCCTGGTGAGAAGGCCATCAACAAAACTGTGCAAAAACAGAGATCATAGTATAATGAACTTCTAAGCGTGTATCAACAATCATAACAGTCATCAACTCATGAGCAGCTAGCTTCACCTGTATATAGTGAGAGTTTAATATGTGTTCAGAGAGTTTAATATGTGCTTTACTATGTTGAATGGTGGATTGCTGTCTGGCTTCCAACTAAAAAATATAATGGTACACATGAGTTAGTTATCCGACAATTGGTAGATGAGCTGAACAAGAGGTGCATGCGCTTCCAGAGTTCACTGGATCAACGGATACCTGAGTGTTTCCCAGGATGAGTGATGGGCTACCACAGAGCAAGGGTTGGCAGCATTTTAATCTGAAAGGGATTATGTAGAGTGGAGTAGACCAGCACAAAACAAGATGAGGGAAGTAGTGGAAGTGACAGGAAAGTGTTATGGCCTGCCTTATGGGCAGTGCAGAAGAAATTCTCAGTGGGACCATTGTAAAACCCATAAAAGTGCCCTAAAAACAAGTAGACTTTAAACATCTGCAGTGCCTATAGACTGCAAAGCCGTCTAAACACACACTGAGTTAAGTAAGAATTCTCCTGTGCCCTCTTACTCTCCCCCGTCCCTAAAAAGTCAAATCTGAGGGAGATCAGAATCCGTTTTCTTTGCAAATGGATATATGAGTAGGAAAAGGAAAATGAACCACAATACAATCCTACTGAATCTGCTGACTGCTTGCCGGAAAAATCTCTTAAATGGGGAGGATAGATTATTTAAGAGTTTTATCATTATATGGGTCTACCAATTATAATTTCTGAATTAAGAAAGTACATTAATTTCTGACTTAAAGTGACCATATGATTTATATTACTTACGAAGAGTTGTAAGTCAATGGACTGACTTAATATTTATGTATGTGCAAGAAATAATTTTGGTCACTGAATTTCCTTAAAAAATTTTTTCATTGTAAATTTCAAAAGTGCAAAAGCAGAGATCATAGTATAATGAACTTACAAGCACGTATCAACAATCATAACAGTCATCAACTCATGACCAGCTAGTTTCTTCTGTATATAGTGCCACGTTTGAATTTATTAAGGAAAATCACAGATATCATATTGACCACTGAATTAATTTTAAAGAGGCAAAGGGGGACAGAGTTACCTTAAAATTATAGTTTAAGAATCCTGCTAATCCCAGCACTTTGGGAGGCCGAGGTGGGCGGATCATAAGGTCAGGAGATCGAGACCATCCTGGCTAACATGGTGAAACCCCGTCTCTACTAAAAATACAAAAAAATTAGCCGGGCGTGGTGGTGGGCGCCTGTAGTCCCAGCTACTCAGGAGGCTGAGGCAGGATAATGGCTTGAACCTGGAAGGTGGAGCTTGCAGTGAGCCAAGATTGCGCCACTGCACTTTAGCCTGGGCGACAGAGCGAGACTCTAAAGAAAACAAAACAAACAACAAAGAAAAAGGAGTCCTACAAGCCTAACAGTTGTGGAACAAAAGATATATGAGTGTATCTGTGTGTCATGTCAGTGACACAGCTGGCCTGGATTTTAAATCATGTTTACAAAGGGTTGGATTATTCAGAGCCAAGAAAGTTGAATTAATTGATTTCAAGTTATTTGACACTGTTGTTTCCCAACCCATTTGGGCCTTCTGGGAAGCAATTTATTCTCTCAAAATTTATGTGAAACATTTCATTCTTACATAGGAATATTTTAATATCTTTATACATATAAATAACAATATAAATCAGGTAACTGATAATTCATATAATCAGACCAGAATGGCAGAAGATTGTAACAAAGACCACAGGTACTTGAAGATATTTATTCTTTCTTTTCATCCTGGGCTTATCTTTAGACTACATTTCCTAGACCCTTTGTAAAAGTGTGGTTTGTTCTCATCAATACATGATGGGCTGAAATAATGCATGCCAACACTCACCAAAGTGATTAAGAATGGATATGCCTTTCACGTGCTGTTTTTTATTGGTATGACAGATAGATGCAAAGAATCCCATAGGGGACATCAAGACCTTAGAAAATGACAAAGGCATATAATGAATAGAGTCTGGGTTGCTGAATGGCTGAACAGAGCAACACCTCCTTTCTGACTTGCATGAGACTGTAAAATAAGTGAGAAACATTTGTTTTTCTCATTAAACCTCTGAAATGTTGGGGTTGTTTGGTTCAGCAGTTAGCCTTCCCTTAGTGATATAGAGATAATAATAATTTATGACTACATTTTCTTAGATACTTATCATATGACAGACACCATATATTGCCATATTTAATTCTTTCGATAAGCCAATAACACAGGCTTTATTAACCCCTTATGAGAAGTTATATTACTTCTTCAAACTTATCACATAGCTTTTAATTGGGGGGACTGGACCTTCAAACTAAGTGACCCCAAAGTTTGTGCAGTTAACCTGATCTCTATTATGCTACTAGTTAATTTCTTGGTGTATATATATATTTAAAAAGTCTTTATTTTTAGTCATGGGTAAATCCATCAACCCAAACTGTGAAAATGTCAAACTACAGCTCTCACTAATATTTGATCAGTAGAATAATAATTTATAATTGCCACGCAACTGAAGGGAAATGTGAAGCATCCTCATAAACTAACAGTTTTATTAACATTGCATGTGGTTAATATTCCATCATTTTTCTAAGTTTATAGAACTGAAGCTTTGACCATTTACATGGGAAACTGCTTACATCATTTTAACTTCTAATCTCACATCACATATATGAGTGTTTATATGTGTGAATAATATTTTATCTAGGCTATTAAATAATATTCCAAATTACATTTTAAATTTTTTAAACAATGATGATTATAAGAATTTTCAGTATATTAAATAATATTTTTAAATATTTGTGTTTTTAAAAAATAAATTGCTGATCCTCTCACCTCCTAATTTCCTTACATACTTCCTACTAACCAGAATGTTCTGCATAAATGCATGGAACTATCTATCTCTCTCTCTCCCCCGACTTTCCCTTTTTTCCCAGATATAAATATTTCTACATTTGCCTATACCTACATATTGAAAACTGAGTCCACACCAATATCTTCAATTATCATCCAATACCACCTGGTTTATGCTATTTTCATCGCATTCGAAATTTGTCAATGCCTTCTCCTTCAGTGAGAAAGCCACTTTCATTTTCTTTCATAGATACACTATTTGTGTTTAAAAACAGTCCTATTTCACCTGTGAAGATGATGACCTTACTCTGCTCAGCTACAGAGCTCTGTGCCAGGGTGCTCCTCCTTCGTGAAGATCCTTCATACTATTTAGGCTCTGACCACCCACACCAGAAGTGTGTCACCCATGTCTCCAGGTGGGTGACACCTTGGACATGAATACTGATGTCCACTGCATGGGCGCCTGTTCACTCTGCTGTAGCTTGAGTTTCCTACTTCAGGCTGTCCCTTGTGGGGACACCCTCCCTACCCTGCTCAGGCTGACTGACATCAAGCACAAGTGCCTTCTATCCTACTTGGTCACCAGTATCCAATGTAGGGATCTACAAACCAGTATCCAATGTAGGGATCTACAAGTGTCCCCTCAAAATCAAATGATTTTGAGACCAAATTGTTCAGAAAGGAAAAGAAGAGGAAGAAAAAGAAGAAGGGCCAAAATTATAATTTTAATAGCTGAATTACTTTTTGTGTTTGTACCATGGCTTTTAATATCATTCTTCTAGCCTAATATGTCTAAAAAATCTTGAATTTTTCTCTATTTACAAAAATAAAGTAATAATTTTTGGAAGATAAGCTTATATTTTAAAGAAGATTGCTACAAGTGAAATTAGTATTTTGCAATATAAAAAATTCTTAAAATCTTTAAAAGATACTAAGAAAAAAGTCCTCTCTCTTTAATGTTTTAATCACTATTTCCTGAATTACCAAAAAATTACACTTTTTAAATTTTTTATTTTTCTCTGTGTGAATTATTTTTTCATGCTAACTGATATATTTTCCTGATTATTTAAAAACAGTTTATATGAAGCAAAGTAATACTTTGTCATACTTCTTGCAAATATGCTCATTGGTTTTTCATTTAGCTTTTAATATATTATATTTTAATGTATCATACTTTAATACATTTTAACATTCTCAGATAATTTCTTTTGCACACTTAGAAAATTCTTAGTCATAATTTAACTGCTTACTTGTAGCTTTCTTCTAGGACTTTTATGGTTTCATCTTTCATATATAGCTTTTTAAGATATCCAAAAAAGAATTCCTTTTGTGATTTCTTGTAATTAATTAATTACTTCTTCTGTAAATATAGAGCAATTTTTCCAGCATCCTCAGTTGAGTAATTTTTTATTTAAATATTAAATTCATTTATATTTGAACATACACATATACAGGTAGATTAAATATGTATGTGCATTTGGGGCTAATTTATTTTATTCTTTTTACCAACACTACACGTTTTATATCAATGCTACAGTGTTTTAATTATTGTATGTTTAAGTACCTAATAGATCAAATTCCTTTCATGCCTCATCCTATTCAATGACATCTGAGCTATTATACCAAGTGTCCTTCCAAATGGTCTTACTATCACCTTTGTTTTTCTCAAAGAAGCATTAAAGTATATTTAATCTGTTATATTTTGTCACTCATCCAAATATATAATATACCTCTCTTTTTGTTCAAGTATTTTTGTCTCTTGGTAAAGTTTTCACCTTTTCTTCTTATACTCATTTCTAGATATTTATGTATTTTGTTGTGATTGTGAATAGATACACATTTAAAAAATAATTTCTACTTCCTTTCTGTTGTATTGAGAAATTATTAATTTCTTTATATTTATCTTACATCAACCTATTTTACTACAGCAAAGGTATATAGTATTATACTTTATACTATAAGTATTATAGCATATTTTTCCCTGGAATTTTAAGAATACATTGACATTGCCTGCAAACCTCCCATATGTCTGCTCCCAAATAAACTATATTCAAATAAACTTATTAGTCAATTAATTACAAGAGCTAAACTTTCTCAGTGATATTCTCTCGTGAATGGCAAATTCACACCAGTGATATCTTGCTAGAAAATACACCAGTCTATTTGGGTTTAGGGAAGTTAGAACTACTATAAAACTGATTATAATAAGAGACATAAATGGCTATTTAAATATATATTTTATTAATATAAATAATATGCAGCCACTATATATAACTTTAGTTAAAGTCAGTATGTGTTTTTCCAACTTCATATTTTTTTCCATCTCTGTGTTTGTGTATGAATCATTCCTGAACTAATTTCTACCAGTAATGAATTGAATATCAAAGTCATTCTCTATTATAGTGTTATACAACCTTCATTAAATATTGTTAGTATGCTGTTCTTTAATTAGGCCCAATTAAGTGCTTTAGGACACCTCAATCCTTGACTCTAGAATCTCTAAAGTATATCTTCAACAGATACTTGTATAAAAATATTTAATGACTAAACCTGGAATAAAAAACAATACCTTTATATACATTAACTTGAAGATCAGAGAGGCTGTAGTTCTCTTCGCCATCAGTGAGGCTCACTAAGAATATGATCTTACATTCTCCCTGTCTGTTCTGAATTTTGCTGACCTTCTTATTTGCCAGACTACTATTTTCCAGAGTAAAGGTAATAAGTGGCAAGGCATTACTCAGTAATTATGCACATATTTGTAATATATAGAGAAAATGTCACAAAATTTATTATTTTAAAATGTGTTACAACTGCTCAAAGAAATCAGAGACAACACAAACAATGGAAACTCATTCCATGCTCATGGATAGGAAGAATCTATATCATTAAAACAGCCATACTGCCCAAAGCAATTTATAGATTCAATGTGATTCCTATCGAACTACCAATGACATTCTTCACGAAACTAAGAAAAACAATTTTAAAATTTATATGGAACCAAAAAAGAGCCCAAATAGCCAAGGGAGTCCTAAGCAAAAAAAAAAAAAAAAAATGCTGGAGGCATCATACTATCTATCTTCAAATTACTACAGGGCTACAGTAAACAAAACAACATGGTACTGGTACAAAAACAGACATATAGACCAAAGAAACAGAATAGAGAGCCCAGAAATAAGAATACACATGTCTAACCATCTGGTCTTCAACAAAGCTGACAAAAACAAGCAATGGGGAAAGGACTGCCTATTCAATAAATGGTGCTGGTATAACCGGCTAGCCATATGCAGAAGCTTGAAACTGGACCCCTTCCTTACATCATATACAAACATCAACTCAAGATAAAGACTTAAATGTAAAACCCAAAACTATAAAACCCTGGAAGACAAGCTAGCCAATACCATTCTGGACATAAATGGGCAAAGATTGCATGATGAAGATGCCAAAAAGCAATTGCAACAAAAGCAAAATTGACAAATGGGATCTAATTAAACTAGAGTTTCTGCACAGCAAAAGAAACTATCAATCATCAGAGTAAACAGACAACCTATGGAATGAGAGAAAATGTGTCCATACTATGCATCTGACAATGGTCAAATATCCAGCATCTATAAGGAACTTAAACAAATTCATAAGAGAAACCAAACCCCACTAAAAAGTGGGCAAAGTACAAGAAAAGATACTTTTCAAAAGAATACATACATGCAGCCAACAAATGAAAAAAGCTCAATATCACTCATTATTAGAGAAATGCAAATCAAAACCACAATGAGATACCATCTCACACCAGTCAGAATGGCTACTGTTAAAAAGTCAGTCAAAAAATAACAGATGCTGGCCAGGTTGCAGAGAAAAAGGAATGCTTCCACATTTTCAGTAAGAGCATAATTAGTTCAACCATTGTGGAAAGCAGTGTGGCAATTCCTCAGAGACCGAAAAACAGAACTACCATTCGACCCAGCAATCCCATTACTGAGTATATACTCAAAGGAATATAAATCATTCTATTATAAAGACATATACACATATATGTTCATTGCAACACTATTCATAATAGCAAAGACATGGAATCAACCTAAATGCCTGTCAATGACAGACTGAATAAGGAAAATATGGTACACATACACCATGGAATATTGTGCAGCCATAAAAAGGAACAAGATTACGTCCTTTACAGGGACATGAATGGAGCTGGCAGCCATTATCCTTGGCAAACTAACATAGGAACAGAAAACCAAATACCACGTTTTCACTTACATGTGGGAGCTAAATGATGACAACACATGAACACACAGAGGAGAACAACAGACACTGGGGCCTACTGGAGATCAGAGGGTGGGAGGAGGGAGTGAACCAGAAAAAATAACTAGTGGTATGAGGCTCAATATCTGCGTGATGAAATAATCTGTATAACAAATCCCCCTGATACAAGTTTACCTATATAAGAAACCTGCACATGCAGCCCTGAACCTAAAATAAAAGTTTAAAAAAAATGTGTTATAAAGGAATGATTTTGTTTTGCTCTTGTGTAAATATTCCAAACCTCATGAACTGATTGGTGTCTTAATTCCATGAGAACTAACTATTATCTTATCCTTGGAAATTTAAGTCTGTGAACATCTGTGTGTTTTATACCTCCTCAGTATAGGAAATACTAATGGGCCCATTGACATTCTCTTGAAGATAAACGTCTATATCTGACTTCATTCAGTAAACTTTTAATTAGTCTCAAATATGTAGAGAAACTCACTAGTTTTCTTGGAACATTACGCTGGTTAGAAATTCTGGTAAAAATTGCTGTGGGCAATATCATTTTAAAAAATGTTTTCAAGGATGTGGGAAAGGCTGGGATTGTAATTTACCTGCTTAATAGCTACCTGATATAAGGTGATACGCAGCACTCATTCCACAGATATTTTGCTCTTCACCTTCAGCAAGATGTTAAATGCTTTCAAATAGCTATTCTGTACTGTTTTATTGGTGTTAACAGAGCTATCATGGCTGTTACTGGCCATCTTTATAGCCCTTTGCTGATTCACTTCCACAGCATGTATGTCTGGCTACCAAAAATGTCATTGATCATAGTTCAAGCCATCATCCTTAGATGATAAAATTGGTGATGTCATTGAATGACAGATTCAAAAAGTATCATAAAAAGTTATTCAAACAGATGGCAAATACACCACTGTTTATATTTTTAAATGAATGCTACAGATGGTAAGAAATTATTCCACCATGTTTAATAGGAAAATTCCACAGCATTTCTACAAAGGCACTTTTCTTTTTATTGCAAGGAAATATATTCAGCAATTTAGCTACCAACCACTCCTTTTCCTTCCAAATGGTATATTGGAAGCATATGGGAAAGATGTCTAAGGAGCCAGTATTCATTTTTTCTTTATGTGTCCTTAAATTTATTGAGCAATAAAAATAAATAGGAAAGAGAAAAGTGTGTGGATGTGTTCATTCATTAGGAAAATATATATAATAATTCTTAAGGATATTTTTAGGTAACTTACTCATTCAGTTACAACATATTTAACCATTAAAGTATTTTGGGTTAAAAGAAAACATTTGAACGTCATGTTAACATTCTAAGAATATCCTTTTTTAATGTACTGTTAGTCTGCTTGTATTGTGTACTAATTTTATGCTTATTTTATGAAATGATGCTATAACAGCATGTTTTGCGCAACAAGAATAATTATATAAATTAAACAAGCATTTGAAAACAAGAATTTAAGTCTTTGCTTGATTACATATCTGATTATAGTTACAGTAACAGAGATTACTATACTTTATGTAAACAACTGTCCATATCTTAAATATTTAATTCTGTTCTCTCCATAGCATACACATATTCCTTGAATATTGATAATGAAATCAGCTCCTCCATAATCAATCAATCACATTTTATGTCACATATTACAAAAATCAAACATTTAATTTAACATCAGAATCCCTTTGTAGAACTTCAATATCTTTCATAACTTTTTTCCTTTGAACAATTATTACACCTGTCCTTGCTCTCAAATGTATATTTAACCTTTTAAAAATATAAATATAACCTATTTGAAAATATATATCACCAGATTTTACCTTTCAAATAGCCTTTCAAAATATTTCTTACCTGTGAGTATAAGGCTGTTTCTTCCTGAAGCATTGGCTGTAGGGGCAATCTGGTTGTGTCATATCTAGTGGATAACATGTTGCACTCTTGTGTTAGGAGCTGGTGCAGTGCTTCCCTGCTTCCTGATTGTTTGGTCCCATCATTTCTTCTTCATGTAGACCTTTAATAACCAAAAAAATCATGGTTAAAATTCAAAGTCTGTAACCTTTTCTACCAAAAAATATAAAAAATCAAAATGAATGAGAGATGGACTTACTTACTTAAAAAATGAACAGGTCAACATTTTAACACTATATGGTACAACTTCTATTTTGTGTCAGGATGGTGCCCAGTAGCCTTCCAAAGGCAGGACACAGACACTGCCTCAGTGCACCAAAGCCAAGGGCATGTAAAACAGCATTGTTACAAATTATTTTTAACTTTGATCTGTAGCCTCTAAAACAGTGGTTCTCATGTTAGCTTTCTCAGAATCACTGGAAGGTTTGTTAAAACCAAGATTGCCAAGCCCCAGACCTAAAATTTTGGATCCACTCAGCTTGGAGTGGGACCAGAAAATTTCGATTTCTAGCAAGTTCCTAGCTGATTTGGATGCTCCTGCCCTGGGGACCTCACTTGTAGAATGATTCTAGCATTAAGATAGATGGAGAAAGCAGTGAATTGAAACAGCAGGTTCTAAACTCAGCTTTGCCATTAGCTGTGTGATGTTGGAAATGGCATTTACTATTTCAGGTTTACTGTTTTATACTTATTTTAGATGAAAGTTCGTCTAGTTAATCATTTATTCCTTTGAATGTCACCTAAAAATCTTTGAATATAAATCAATAGCCACTAGAAAGCACACTGCACCTTTAATGAGGGTAATTCAAAGGTCTTACAGAAGACAGTTCTGAAAAAACTGAAATTACACAGAAGCTCTGCTTTTCATCCCTGCTTCTTTGGCAAAGGTAGACTGAACTTGAATTCAAAATGTTCTCTACTTGAGCTATACAAAAACCCAAAAGATGCACAGACAGCAAACAAATAAAAATACTACCTAGAATATTCTCCAATGGATATAAATGATTCTCAATTCAGTCACATCTTTAACATATTATTAAGTTAGTGCAGAGGCCTCCTCTTCAATGTTTTCAGATTTCTCCATCTCAGGCTGCTCTTTGGCCTCATGCTATACCAACCAGTTATTTAGCCCTCTATGCTGATTAAATGCTGGAGAGTCATAGATTCCCTTGCCAGGCTACCCAAATGTTGGGCTATTCCATAAATATGATTTTCTTGTTATATATAATGGTGGCTCTTTACATCTCCATATTTCAGGGCCCTAGAAAACCTCTGCAGCCTGGCACAGTGGCTCACACCTGTAATTTTGGCACTTTGGGAGGCCAAAGTGGGAGGATTGCTTGAGGACAGGAGTATGAGACTAGCCTGAGCAATATACAAAGACCCTGCTTCTGCAAAAAAAAAAAATAATTAATAATAATACAAAGTAGCTGGGAATGGTGGCATATGCCTATAGTCCCAGGAAGCTGAGGTGGGAGTATCACATGAGTCCTGCAGGTTGAAGCTGCAGTGTGCTGATTTCATCACTGCACTCCAGCCTGGATGACAGAGTGGGACACTGTCTTTAAACAAACAAACAAACCTCTCAGTTCTAGGGAATGGCCGGAGTTTAGAAACACAGAATTATTCCTTACATAGCTGAATTGATTGGGTTCTACATTGGTTAGATTTACTTAGGTCTGCCTAACCTCTCTTGAATTATATTAGTCCATCTCTATTATAGCAGAGACAATTTGACTAATAGATGCAAACAGACAAGAAAGATGATTGACTATTCAGAATTAATAAAGAGCAGGAGAGTTTTCATGTTTTGAGGGATGAACAAAGTGTTAAGAAAATGGTTTTCTAATCTGTATTCCTGAAAGGCCCCAGGTTAATAAAAGGAGCTATTAAATTATTAATAGCTTTAAGGAAATCAGATACCATATTTTTAAATTTTATTTGCAATCTATTTTAAAATGAATAAGGCTGAAATGTTATTTGCTCTGCAGGTTCTCCTTTCCTACATCCCCTTTAACAATGACACTCAACAAAAAGCATACGACTGATTCAAAACTCACATTAGTGGTGGTCTGATACATAAAAATCTCCAGTTTAGCAAATAAAGTAATATTTTCACAATTGCTTCTAATAATTAATCCACAGCATTCTTACTTTTAAATAGCATTTTTAAATGCTATTTTTAATGCTATTTTAAATGCTATTTAAAAAGTATTTCAAATACATTTTCCTTTCTAAAATTGTATTCATTAGAATTTATAATATATTTTGCTGTTTTAAATAAATTATGTACTATTAACAATTGTAATAAAAACTTACCTAGAAGATACATAGAGATTTATGGTAACAGGGACTCAAATTTTAAAATAAATATTTGTAGAGAAGTATGATAAGATATTCAATATAAGGCCTTCGAGCATAAAATCATATTACATTAGGACAAATTAATGTTGCTAAATTGGAATGGGAATAGAAATTCATGAAGACAGAATGAATGATATAAAATGTCCAACTCAAAGTAACAGTTCATTCATATGTTTTTAAATAAATGATGTTATCAATTATCATGGTATTTATACTCAAGTTCTGTCAATATTTAAACATATCATACTTTCAACTATCTATACTTGCTTAAGAATAAAAAATAGAAGATGGCCGAATAGGAACAGCTCCAGGCTACAGCTCCCAGCATGAGCGACGCAGAAGACCGGTGATTTCTGCATTTCCAACTGAGGTACCGGGTTCATCTCACTGGGGAGTGTTGGAAAGTGGGTGCAGGACAGTGGGTGTGGTGCACTGAGCGTGAGCCGAAGCAGGGCGAGGCATCGTGTCACCCCAGAAGTGCAAGGGGTCAGGTAATTCCCTTTCCAAGTCAAAGAAAGGAGTGACAGATGGCACCTGGAAAATTGGGTCACTCCCACCCTAATACTGCACTTTTCCAACGGTCTTAGCAAACGGCACACCAGGAGATTATATACCTCACATGGCTCGGAGGGTCCTGTGCCCACGGAGCCTCGCACATCGCTAGCACAGCAGTCTGAGATCAAACTGCAAGGCCACAGTGAGGATGGGGGAGGGGCGCCTGCCATTGCCCAGGCTTGAGAAGGTAAACAAAGCAGCCAGGAAGCTCGAACTGGGTGGAGCCCACCACAGCTCAAGGAGGCCTATGTGCCTCTGTAGACTCCACCTCTGGGGGCAGGGCACAGCCAAACAAAAGGCAGCAGAATCCTCTGCAGACTTAAATGTCCCTGTCTGACAGCCTTGAAGAGAATAGTGGTTCTTCTAGCATGCAGCTGGATATCTGAGAATGGACAGATTGCCTCCTCAAATGGGTCCCTAACCCCCAAGTAGCCTAACTGGGAGGCACCCCCTAGAAGGGGCAGACTGACACCTCACACGGCCAGGTACTGCTCTCAGACAAAACTTCCAGAGGAATGATCAGGCAGCAACATCTGCTGTTCACCAACATCCGCTGTTCTGCAGCCTCCACTGCTGATACCCAGGCAAACAGGGTCTGGAATGGACCTCCAGCAAACTCCAACAGACCTGCAGCTGAGGGTCCTGACTGTCAGAAGGAAAACTAACAAACAGAAAAGACATCCACACCAAAAATCCATCTGTACGTCACCATCATCAAAGACCAAAGGTAGATAAAACCACAAAGATGGGGAAAAAACAGAGCAGAAAAACTGGAAACTCTAAAAATCAGAGCACCTCTCCTCCTCCAAAGGAACACAGCTCCTCACCAGCAACGGAACAAAGCTGGATGGAGAATGACTTTGACGAGTTGAGAGAAGAAGCCTTCAGACGATCAAACTACTCTGAGCTAAAGGAGGAAGTTCAAACTCATGGCAAAGAAGTTAAAAACCTTGAAAAAAAATTAGACAAATGGCTAACTAGAAAAACCAATGCAGAGAAGTCCTTAAAGGACCTGATGGAGCTGAAAACCAAGGCACGAGAACTACATGACGAATGCACAAGCCTCAGTAGCCGATGTGATCAACTGGAAGAAAGGGTGTCAGTGATGGAAGATCAAATGAATGAAGTGAAGCCAGAAGAGAAGTTTAGAGAAAAAAGAATAAAAATAAATGAATAAAGCCTGCAAGAAATATGTGACTATGTGAAAAGACCAAATCTACGTCTGATTGGTGTACCTGAAATTGATGGGGAGAATGGAACCAAGTTGGAAAACACTCTGCAGGATATTATCCAGGAGAACTTCCCCAATCTAGCAAGGCAGGCCAACATTCAAATTCGGGAAATACAGAGAATGCCACAAAGATACTCCTCGAGAAGAGCAACTCCAAGACACATAATTGTCAGACTGACCAAAGTTGAAATGAAGGAAAAAATGTTAAGGGCAGCCAGAGAGAAAGGTCGGGTTGCCTACAAAGGGAAGCCTATCAGATTAACCACTGATCTCTTGGCAGAAATTCTACAAGCCAAAAGAGAGTGGGGACAAATATTCAACATTTTTAAACAAAAGAATTTTCAACCCAGAATTTCATATCCAGCCAAACTAAGCTTCATAAGTGAAGGAGAAATAAAATACTTTACAGAAAAGCAAATGCTGAGAGATTTTGTCACCACCAGGCTTGCCCTAAAAGAGCTCCTGAAGGAAGCACTAAACATGGAATGGAACAACCAGTACCAGCTGCTGCAAAAACATGCCAAATTGTAAAGAACATTGAGGCTAGGAAGAAACTTCATCAACTAATGAGCAAAATAACCAGCTAACATCATAAAGACAGGATCAAATTCACACATAACAATATTAACTTTAAATGCAAATGGGCTAAATGCTCCAATTAAAAGACACAGACTGGCAAATTGGATAAAGAGTCAAGACCCATCAGTGTGCTGTATTCAGGAGACCCATCTCACATGCAGAGACACACATAGGCTCAAAATAAAGGGATGGAGGAAGATCTACCAAGCAAACGGAAAACAAAAAAAGGCAGGGGTTGCAATCCTGGTCTCTGATAAAACAGACTTTAAACCAACAAAGATCAAAAGAGACAAAGAAGGCCATTACATAATGGTAAAGGGATCAATTCAACAAGAAGAGCTAACTATCCTAAATATATATGCACCAAATACAGCAGCACCCAGATTCATAAAGCAAGTCCTTAGAGACCTACAAAGAGACTTAGACTCCCACACAATAATAATGGGAGACTTTAACACCCCACTGTCAACATTAGACAGATCAACGAGACAGAAAGTTAGCAAGGATATCCAGGAATTGAACTCAGCTCTGCACCAAGCAGATCTCATAGACATCTACAGAACTCTCCACCGAAACTCACCACAATATACATTCTTCTCAGCACCACACCACACCTATTCCAAAATTGACCACATAGTTGGAAGTAAAGCACTCCTCAGCAAATGTAAAAGAAGAGAAATTATAACAAACTGTCTCTCAGACCACAGTGCAATCAAACTAGAACTCAGGATTAAGAAACTCACTCAAAACTGCTCAACTACATGGAAACTGAACAACCTGCTCCTGAATGACTACTGGGTACATAATGAAATGAAGGCAGAAATAAAGATTTTCTTTGAAACCAACGAGAACAAAGACACAACATACCAGAATCTCTGGGACACATTCAAAGCAGTGTGTAGAAGGAAATTATAGTACTAAATGCCCACAAGAGAAAACAGGAAAGATCTAAAATTGGCACCCTAACGTCACAATTAAAAGAACTAGAGAAGCAAGAGCAAACACATTTAAAAGCTAGCACAAGGCAAGAAATAAGTAAGATCAGAGTAGAACTCAAGGAAATAGAGACATAAAAAACCCTTCAAAAAATTAGTGAATCCAGGAGCTGGTTTTTTTTAAAAGATCAACAAATTGATAGACCGCTTGCAAGACTAATAAAGAAGAAAAGAGAGAAGATTCAAATAGATGCAATAAAAAATGATAGAGGGGATCTCACCACCGATCCCACAGAAATACAAACTACCATCAGAGAATACTGTAAACACCTCTAGGCAAATAAACTAGAAAATCTAGAAGAAATGGATAAATTCTTCAACACATACACCCTCCCAAGACTAAACCAGGAAGAAGTTGAATCTCTGAATAGACCAATAACAGGCTCTGAAATTGAAACAATAATTAATAGCTTGCCAACCAAAAAAAGTCCAGGACCAGATGGATTCACAGCCGAATTCTACCAGAGGTACAAGGAGGAGCTGGTACCATTCCTTCTGAAACTATTCCAATCAATAGAAAAAGAGGGAATCCTCCCCAACTCATTTTATGAGGCAAGCATCATCCTGATACCAAAGCCTGGCAGAGACACAACAAAAAAGGAGAATTTTAGACCAATATCCCTGAAGAACATCAATGCAAAACTCCTCAATAAAATACTGGCAAACCGAATCCAGCAGCACATCAAGAAGCTTGTCCACCATGATCAAGTGAGCTTCATCCCTCAGATGCAAGGCTGGTTCAATATACGAAAATCAATAAACGTAATCCAGCATATAAACAGAACCAACGACAAAAATCACATGGTTATCTCAATAGATGAAGAAAAGGCCTTTGAGAAAATTCAACAACCCTTCATGCTAAAAACTCTCAATAAATTAGGTATTGATGGGATGTATCTCAAAATAATAAGAGCTATCTATGACAAACCCACAGCTAATATCATACTAAATGGGCAAAAACTGGAAGCATTCCCTTTGAAAACTGGCACAAGACAGGGATGCCCTCTCTCACCACTCCTATTCCACATAAGGTTGGAAGCTCTGGCCAGGGCAACGAGGCAGGAGAAGGAAATAAAGGGTATTCAATTAGGAAAAGAGGAAGTCAAATTGTCCCTGTTTGCAGATGACATGATTGTATATCTAGAAAACTCCATTGTCTCAGCCCAAAATCTCCTTAAGCTGATAGGCAACTTCAGCAAAGTCTCAGAATACAAAACCAATGTGCAAAAATCACAAGCATTCTTATACACCAATAACAAACAGAGAGCCAAATGATGAGACAACTCCCATTCACAATTGCATCAAAAAGAATAAAATACCTAGGAATCCAACTTACAAGGGATGTGAAGGACCTCTTCAAGGAGAACTACAAACCACTGCTCAAGGAAATAAAAGAGGATACAAACAAATGGAAGAACATTCCATGCTCATGGGTAGGAAGAATCAATATTGTGAAAATGGCCATACTGCCCAAGGTAATTTATAGATTCAGTGCCATCCCCATCAAGCTACAAGTGACTTTCTTCACAGAATTGGGAAAAACTACTTTAAAGTTCATATGGAACCAAAAAAGAGCCCGCATTGCCAAGTCAATCCAAAGCCAAAAGAACAAAGCTGGAGGCATCACGCTACCTGACTTCAAACTATACTACAAGGCTACAGTAACCAAAACAGCATGGTACTGGTACCAAAACAGAGATATAGACCAATGGAACAGAACAGAGCCCTCAGAAATAATGTCGCATATCTACAACCATCTGATCTTTGACAAACCTGACAAAAACAAGCAATGGGGAAGGGATTCCCTATTTAATAAATGGTGCTGGGAAAACTGGCTAGCCATATGTAGAAAGCTGAAACTGGATCCCTTCCTTACACCTTATACAAAAATTAATTCAAGATGGATTAAAGGCTTAAATGTTAGACCTAAAACCATAGAAACACTAGAAGAAAACCTAGGCAATACCATTCAGGACATAGGCATGGGCAAGGACTTCATGTCTAAAACACCAAAAGCAATGGCAACAAAAGCCAACATTGATAAATGGGATCTAATTAAACTAAAGATCTTCTGCACAGCAAAAGAAACTTCCATCAGAGTGAAAAGGCAACCTACAGAATGGGAGAAAATTTTTGCAATCTACTCATCTGACAAAGGGCTAATATCCAGAATCTACAATGAACTCAAACAAATTTACAAGAAAAAATCAAACAACCCCATCAAAAAGTGGGCGAAAGATATGAACAGACAATTCTCAAAAGAAGACATTTATGCAGTCAAAAGACACATGAAAAAATGCTCATCATCACTGGCCATCAGAGAAATGCAAATCAAAACCACATTGGGATACCATCTCACACCAGTTAGAATGGTGATCATTAAAAAGTCAGGAAACAACAGGTGCTGGAGAGGATGTGGAGAAATAGGAACATTTTTACACTGTTGGTGGGACTGTAAACTAGTTCACCCATTGTGGAAGTCATTGTGGCGATTCCTCAGGGATCTTGCACTAGAAATACCATTTGACCCAGCAATCCCATTACTGGGTATATACCCAAAGGATTATAAATCATGCTGCTATAAAGACACATGCACACATATGTTTATTACGGCACTATTCACAATAGCAAAGACTTGGAACCAACCCAAATGTCCAACAATGATAGACTGGATCAAGAAAATGTGGCAAATATACACCATGGAATACTATGCAGCCATAAAAAATGATAATTTCATGTCCTTTGTAGGGACATGGATGAAGCTGGAAACCATCATTCTCAGCAAACTATCACAAGAACAAAAAACCAAACACTGCATGTTCTCACTCATAGGTGGGAATTGAACAATGAGAACACATGGACAAAGGAAGGGGAACATCACACACCGGGGCCTGTTGTCGGGTGGCGGGAGCCGGGAGGGATAGTTTTAGGAGATGTGCCTAATGTTAAATGACGAGTCAATGGGTGCAGCACACCAACATGGCACATGCATACATATGTAACTAACCTGCACGTTCTGCACATGTACCCTAAAACTTAAAGTATAAAAAAAAAATAAAAAACAGATGTAACTTTAAAATATGTGAGGAGTAGTACAGTTCTAGTACGGTTCTAACAATTATTTTGGGATAACAATAATACCTGGATGGTTGAGTTACATTATTGAACAAAGTATAAAATTGGCAACTCAAATAATAATAATATCAATAATTTAAATAATGAAAACTTAATAGCCTGGTGTAAAAAGCACATCTGACATATCTTACATTGAAACCTTTGTATAATGAAATACGCATTATTACAACATATTTATAGATGAAGAAACTGACCATTCAGGTAACATGGACAAGTAGCTTCCTCAAAGTTACAATAACATGAAAAGCACAGCCTGGACAACACTGTGATTCCAGTGTTTGCTCTTTCTACCAAACTTCCATCTAAATGTAAAAGGTAATGAAACATAGACAACAGTATGTACCAATTTTCATCTGTGTATCTTCACTGATACAAAAAATCTTGTAAAACCCTTTGTGTTTGGGTCTCATAAAAACAACCCCAGTTTATAATTATTTAACAATTACGACATTATAATGTTATATGTTTCCTTCCCAGATCCCTAATATCTTTTCATTTGAACTACTTCTCTGTAATTAGTATAGGTCACTTTTCCAGTTTTTGTTAAAATATTATTAGTGAAGCACCAGTGGATTTAATGTCATCAGATCCAATGAAGTTAAATTGCTTCTTGTGAATGATAATTCTCAGTAGCAAATTATCCCTGAATTCATCATGAATATTAACACTTATAATCATCTTTATTTAAAAAGAAGTCTAAATTAATTTAGTCCAAAAGTGATAAAAAATTGTATTAGACTAAATTGTTGCCATCGGCTGTAATAAGGGAATGAATGCCTGAAACATCAAGAATATTTGTTATGTTGCTACTACGTTGCTCTCACATTTCCCTCTCTAATAGAGTGTTAGTATCAGCCTTCATTTGGTATTCTCAAGCTCAGGCCAACATTGGCATCCAATAAACCTTGTCAATTACTTTGACTTGAAAAGAAAATCTTGAGCACTGCAAGTGCCCACAACCATCTCACGTTTTGCCCTCAAATATCTGTTAGGAAATATTACCAACTGTTAATCCAGCATTTGTTGTGGAAAGAAGCACTATTGTAATTGACTTCCACTACATGAACACACTGATTTAATGTAATCTAAGACATCTGTTTCAATACCTCAACAATATGCCCCTTCTGAGTACCTAAAAATGTCTTTGGGTCATGGGATTGTTACAGTTTGGCCTTTAAGGGGAAAACAGTTCTTCAATTCACTTTCAGCCATTTCCAGTATTTATAAATGGCACTAGGAGTATTTATAAATGGCACTCTCTGATAATTGGAAAATGTCTCAAGAAACTTTATTCTACATCACTATCCCCAAAAGACATGCTTAAAACTTGCTATATATTTACAGGTCAGAGGATATAATCTTAAGCACATCATCATTAATTTTCCTCAGTACTAAGAAATTTTATCTGTTACAATCAACCTTGACTCAAACCTGGAGAACAGCATCACAATGAAGTTTAAGTATAATTGTATACCATCTACACTAAATATCACAGACGTTTAGTGATGGAAGCTTGTGTTTTGAAAAACGCATTTTTCATTTGGCTCTGTTTTAAACACAGAATACTTTATTGGTTGTGGAAACTGAATAACATATGAAAAAGTTTCACATCTGTTATTAAGCCAGTTGCATGTTATTCCTAAATGGCAAACTTGGACAATTATGAGGATAGCAGATAAAAAAGAAATGGGTAAGAACGGAAGTAAAAATACTTAGGTGAAAGATTGCCCTTTTTGAGTGAACCTGATGACAGACATGGATTGCAGAATTGAGCAAGAAGGAAAGTATTTTCAGAATAAGTAGAGGGGACCTTTTCCTAATTACTAATCATAGTGATGTTCTTGACATTTCTAAGCCTTAAAGGAGCAGAAATTCATAATAGACTGAATCACACCTTTCCATAATTATGCAGTCAGAGGGCACAAAAATAAAGGCATTCTTTAAAGTTCAGAATGGAGTAAAATTCACTTTCTAAATATTATATATTAATATTTAATATTAATATTAGATACCAATATTAGATAACTATTTGAATATCAAAATAGTTATTTCCAATTCATAAGAATAAAGGCATTTCTTAAACAAAATTTACTTGCTAAAATGTGTTTATAAGAGAGAGGTTCATATGCTATTATAAGATACAATTCATCTAAGGCTCATTGCATTGCTAGTAAAGTCAATTACTTTTTTCTTGGTTACACATTATTTGGCAGGAAGTCTATTGTTGCTGAAACATTTAGGTTTTACACGTAGGCTTATTTTATAGGAAGCAATGGTAGTATTGTTTTAAAGAGAAGCAATATAATGCATTTTAGGGCCTCTGAAGGTGAAGATTTATTGTACACAATGGTGCCAAAAATAGATAGCATAGCCTGGCAATATACAAACGTGTCCATGGTCGTGACACAGCAGTCTAGTATCTACATGCAAAATGTCTCCTAGTTCAGCCCAGAAACTCCAATGGAGACTGGCAGCTTAGTCTTATAATAATGCATCCAAATATGAGGCAGAGTTCTAAAATATGCACCTCCATGTGCAAATAAAACTCTCATATATTTACTAACATACAAATTTTCCATAGAAATTGCCTATTAAGGTTTAATGTGTTAAGAAAAATTTATTTTCAACATTATTTTAATTCTCAGACTTTTATTAAACCAACTAGTTTACATGTATAAAATGCTTAAATAACATTTAATAATTATCTTAGTATCGATGTTATCTAAATTAATTCTCATCAGCCTATTGAAACAATAAAACTTTAGTTAGTAATTCACCTCTACTGTCCAAAATAATTTAGTCAAAGGGCAAAATATGATGTTTCCAGACAGAAATATCAATGTTTGCTGTGAGCATGTATTTGAAAATAATGAAGAGTAATTTTAAGTATTTTTGTAAGTAATTTACTTGTCTTATTGTAGAGTAAAACAACTTTAGTGGTAGTCTGACATGTCATAACACAGAAGACTGTTTCTTATTGCCTTTATTTAGAAAAATGAATGTAATTGTATGTAATTTGAATAAAGTTTTCAGCTTAGAAAAATATGACAATTTCATCCCACTGTATTAAAATGTTATAAGAGCATGAAAACATTAAGTTATGCATTTAAGCATAACTGATATTATAAATTACTTGTCATACTAATGATCCAATTGATCAAAAAAATGTGAAAATATGGAAGGATGATTACCTCATGTTTTTAACAAATATGTTCAGTAGTATAGGATCCTTTGAAAACAGGAATATATGATTCAGAATAACTTACATTATTTGATTTGATTGGGGTATGCTACTTTTATATATAGGATATGTAGTTAGACTGAAAAACAATGAAGGTCAGGTGATGTAATAGGTTTTACGATTTTCAAAGATGAAAAACCAATGCTAATGTGATTTACCTTAAAGATCTGTTATTTTTTAATTTCTAGTTTTTCTTCTCCAATATACTGATATTGAGTCTTTTGTTAAATATCTACAAAGATACACATACCTATTAATTATGGTTATTCTCATTGGCACTATTTTCCTTATTTCAATAAAGGAGCATAGGTAATTCAGTATCACATTATATCATAGTTGGTTATTTATATGGTCTTATATTCAGGGCACCTGCCTGCCTCACAGCATGTCATGTTTATTTAATTTGATAGGACAAATCTTTTAAAGCCTTATCAGTGTTACACATGGTTGGGAAAGTATTGTATAGCATTATTTCTAGACAAAATATATAAAAGAAAATTATACATTTTGGAAGGATTTTTAAAATGAGGTAATGCCTATAAATTCTTTAGCACTTTATCAGGAATGCAGAAAATGGTTAATAGATTCTAAATTTAAAAATTTAATATATGAGTCACCAACTATTTTTATATTTCTGTATTAACCAAATTGAAACTGATAGTCTAAAGGAGATTAAGACTTTTAAAAAAGCTTTTAAAGTCAGAGAAAATGTAATAAGAAATATTTTATATAATAAACTGCTGAATAACAATAATGGGAAAAATCTTAAGAGAAACTGTAGGAGAAGAGATACTGACAAAATATTTAGAAGCAACTAAGAAAGATTATTAACATAGGGAAACAAATACAAAATTGTTTTCTTACGATTATGTGAAAAAACTATAAAATGCTAATAAGGGATCATTCTAAAAGCAAAAAAGGCAACAGAAAAGAGGCAAATTATTTGGAATTAAAAATTATTTGGAATTAAAAATTATTTTAGGGCAAAACAAGCTTATGAAGGCCTATAAAAGAGCCAGAAGAAGGCTTTTGATAAAAAATTGAGGCACAGTGATATTGAAAAAGTGACTAAGGAATCAGATTTCAAATAGAACCAAATAAACCAAATAGAATTTCATATATATATATATGGTAGTGCGAATTTATTAGATAGGTTTACTCAGAATGTTTAACCTAAGTGAAGAAAGTATGAGTGAATTCAAAGATAGATGTGATTAACTGATCCAGAATACAGCCCAGTAATTGAACACATAAAAGTGTGAAAATACATGGAAAGAAAAGTTTCAACACAGATGTGCTTTGAGTTTTAGAAAGACTTTTTTAATATATTTAATATATTAAATTTAATATAATTCTGGTTAATGTGCAAATTGATTACTTGGAGGGAAGTTGACATATCATAAATTTTCACATTTGTATCACTGGTTTACAGCAATCCAACTCCTAGGTATATAACTGTATTAGTCCGTTATCATCATCACACGGCTGATAAAGACGTCCTTGAGACTGGGTAATTTACAAAAGAGGTTTAATTGGACTTACAGTTCCACGTGGCTAGGGAAGCCTCACAATCATGGCGGAAGGCAAGGAGGAGCAAGTCACATGTTACATGGATCTTACAAGTCACATCTTACATGGATGGCAGCAGGCAAAGAGAGAGAGCTTGTGCAGGGGAACTCCTCTTCTTAAAACCATCAGATCTTGAGAGACTTATTCACTATCACAAGAACAGCATGGGAAAGACTTGCCCTCATAATACAATTACCTCCCATTGGGTGTCTCACACAACACATGGGAATTCAAGATGAGATTTGGGTGGGGACACAGCCAAATGATATCATTCCACCCTGGCCCCTCCAAAATCTCATGTCCTCATATTTCAAAACCAATCATGTCTTCCCAACAGTCTCCCAGTCTTAACTCATTTCAGCATTAACTCAAAAGTCCACAGTCCAAAGCCTCATCCAAGACAAGGAAGTCTCTTCCACCTATGAGCCTATAAAATCAAAAGCAAGTTAGTTACTTCCTAGATACAGTCAGGGTACAGGCATTGGGTAAATACAGCCAATCCAACTGGGAGAAATTGGCCAAAACAAAGGGGCTACAGGCCTGATGCAAGTCTAAAATCCAGTGGGGCAGTCAAATCTTAAAACTCCAAAATAATTTCCTTTGATTCTATGACTCACATCCAGGTCATGCTCATGCAAGAGGTAGGTTCCCATGGTCTTGAGCAGCTCTGCCCTTGTGGATTTGCAGGGTACAGCCTCCCTCCCAGCTGCTTTCACAGGCTGGCATTGAGTGTCTGCAGCTTTTCCAGGTGCACAGTACAAGCTGTCAGTGAATCTACCATTCTGGAGTCTGGAGGATTGAGGCCCTCTTCTCACAGCTCCATTAGGCAGTTCCCCATTAGGGACCCTGCGTGGGGCCTCTGATCCCATATTTTCCTTCCTCACTGTTCTTGCAGAGGTTTTCCATGAGAGCCCTGCCCCTGCAGCAAACTTCTGCCTGAACATCCAGGAGTCTTCATACATCTTCTGAAATCTAGGTGGAGGTTCCCAAACCCCAATTCTTGACTTCTGTGCACTCACAGGCTCAACACAGCATGCAAGCTGCCAAGCCTTGGGGCTTGCACCTTCTCAAGCCATGGCCTTAGCTCTACGTTGGCCCCTTTCATCCATGGCTGGAGCTGATGGGACACAGGGCACCAAGTCCCTAGGCTGCACACAGCATGAGGACCCTGGGCCTGGCCCAGGAAATCACTTTTTTCTTCTAGGCCCCTAGCCCTGTGATGAGAGGGGCTGCCATGGAGATCTCAGGCATGCCCTGGAGACTTTTTCCCCATCATCTTGGGGATTAACATTCAGTTCCTCATTACTTACATAAATTTCTGCAGCCAGCTTGAATTTATCCTCAGAAAATGGGATTTTCTTTTCTATTGCATTGTCAGTCTGCAAATTTTCCAAACTTTTATGCTCTGCTTCCCTTATAAAACTGAATGTCTTTAACAGCACCCAACTCACTTCTTGAATGCTTTGCTGCTTAGAAATTTCTTCTGCCAGATATCCTAAATCATCTCTCTCAAGTTCAAAGTTCCAAAAATCTCTAGGGCAGGGGCAAAATGCTGCCAGTCTATTTGCTAAAACATAACAAGAGTTACATTTGCTCAAGGTCCCAACAAGTTCCTCATTTCCATCTGAGACCCCCTCAGCCTGGACCTTATTGTCCATATCACTGTCAGCATTTTGGGCAAAGTCATTCAACAAGTCTCTAGGAAGTTCCAAACTTTCCCACATTTTTCTGTCTTCTTCTGAGCCCTCCAAACTGTTCCAACCTCTGCCTGTTACCCAGCACCAAAGTCGCTTCCACATATTTGGGTATTTCTTCAGCAATGCCTCACTCTACTGATACCAATATACTGTATTAATTCATTTTCCTGCTCCTGATAAAGGCATTCCAGAGACTGGACAATTGACAAAAAAAAGAGGTTTAACTGGACTGACTTACAGTTCCCTGTGGCTGGGAATGCCTTACAATCATGGAGGAAGGCAATCAGAAGCAAGTCACATCTTACATGGATGGCAGCAAGCAAACAGAAAGAGCTTGTGCAGGGGAACTCCTCTTTTTAAAACCATCAGATCTCATGTGACTTATTCACTGTCATGAGAACAGCACAGGAAAGACTTGCCCCCATAATACAATTACCTCCCACTGGGTCCCTCCCATAACATGTGGAAATTTAAGATGAGATTTGGGTGGGGACACAGCCAAGCCATAACAGTAACCTAGAGGAAACCTTGCAGGTACACTAGAGGACATACAGGAGCATATTCATTGAAGAAGCAATAGAAAAATAAACCTAAACTTTATCACTGTTGTAAACAATAAGTTGTGATATTTAGAAGCAATTGAATATTATATAGCAGTGGGAATAAATGACTACAGCCACATTTGATGAGAAGAATGAATTTCAAAAGGATGAAGGATGTTAGGCGAAAAGAAAAATCTGAGAATATATACACAGTATTATTTCATTTATGCAAATTAAGTATAGGCAACATTAAATAGTGTATTGTTTAGATATACATAGTTAAGTAACAAGTCTATAAAAAACAAGGCAATTGTTATCATGAAATTTCAGACAGTAGTTATGTTTGGGAAGAGAGAAAGAGACGGAATGAGATTGCAGAAGGAGGAAAAATGCACTGGCCTGGATGCGGATGATGTGATATCTAAGAAAAATTAAAGTTGTATTTCTTAATTCACAGGGCAACAACAGTGTTCACATTAGCATTTTTATTTAAGCATAACATGTAGTCTTCGTACATGTTTTCTGCATGACACATTTCACCATAAAAAAGTTTGAAAGTAAAATTATGTGTGCAACCAATAAAACATTTTTGAAAATGGCTTACTTATTTTGTTTGGTAATACAAAAACGAAGTAAAATATGGACCCATATTTTAAAATAAAACATGAACTGTGATCATCAAATAAGATATTTGCTATGGACTGAATTGTCTTCCCTTAAAATTCATATGTAAAAGCCCTAACCCTTAATGTGACTATATTTGGAACCAGGGACTTTAAGGTTAACAATGTCAAAATGGTGGGGCACTAATCCAATATTAGTGGTTTCCTTATAAGAAAAGGAAGAAACACCAGAGTGTGTACTCAATCTCCCCCACACCCACAGAAAGAGAAAAAGGCCATGTGAGGACACAATGAGAAGGCAACCCAGGAAGAGAAGCCTCGTTAGAAACCAACCCTGATGGCACCTTGATCTAGGACTTCTGGCCTCCAGAACTGTAAGAAAATTAATATCTGGTTTTTAAGGCATCCAGTCTGTAATAATTTGTTATGGAACCCCTAGCAGACTAATAACAACATTATATATAAAGTCTGTTTGAAAAGTGTAACTTGTTTTATAAATGACATTGCCATTATTACTGGAATTGCTAATACCAGAAGCATTATTAATAGCCCTCAATTCACCACCTGATTTCAAGAGCAAAATAAACACATAGTGCACACTATCTCTGCACTATTAATGCTGATTAAAATAGCTATACCATCTACAGATCATAAAATTATATCCTAATACCTTTAAAATAGAGTAAATCTGAGCTAATACACTGAGAAAGAGACAAACAGAGGATATGCTTACTAGTTGTGCCAAATAAAGCATTATTTAATGGCCTTGGTCACTTTTTCTTTATTCTTACTGTCAATTACTTATATTCCTTTAAAGTCTGCCCAATACTACTTATCTCTTCTTTGTTTTGCTACCCTAAATTTTTTTAAAAATAATATCTCCTTATAAATCCCAACTTAGATCAAATTAATCTGTCCTTCAAAAATCATACTTCAGGATTTCCTCTTTTGATCACAATGATCAATTAAAACTGAACTAGCCCTCCCTCATAAAGAGCTAGAAAACTGAACAAAATAAATGAAAACTAAACTCTGCCCAGAAATATTCACCCATAAACATAATCAACTATTTTTTGATGAAGGAGTAGAAGAAATAATAGAGAAAAGATAGTCTTTTCAACAAGTGGTGATGGAACAACTGACATTCACATCCAAAAATTTGAATCCTGACACAAACCTTACACACTTCACAAAAATTAACTCAAAACAGATCACAGGCCTGAATGTAAAACACAAAACTATCAAACTTATAGAAGATAATACAGGACAAAATCTAGATGACCAAGGGTTTAGATACAACCAAAGGCATAATACAAGAAAAACAGAATTAATAAGCTGTCCTTTACTAAAATTAAACATTTCTGTTCTAATAAAGACACTGTAAAGGGAGTTTCTAAAAAGCCACAAAATAGAATAAAATATTTGTAAGAGTCATATCAGTAAAGGATTGTTATGCAAAATATACAAAGAGTTCTTAAAACTCAACAATAAGAAAACAAAGAACTGATTTAAAAAATGGCCCAAGGGTTGAACAGATATCTCATCAAATAAGCATATAAAAAGCATATGAGAAGATTCTCCCCATTATATGTTATCATGGAAATGCAAATTAAAATGACATGAGCTATCACTACATGCCTATTAGAATGGCCAAAATCCAGAGCACTCACACCATCAAATGCTGGGGAGGATGTGAAACAACAGAATCTGATGAAAATTTGAAATGGTAGAACCACTTTGAGAGAAGTTTGGCAGTCTCTAGCAAAACTAAACATATCTTGTGATCCAGCAATCATACTTGGCAATTACTCAAAGGAGTTGAATATACAAATGCAGACAAAAAACTGCACACAGATGTTTATAGCAACTGCATTTATAATTGCTAAAATGTAGAAGCAAACATGTCCTTCAATAGGGAAATAGATAATCTAGGTAAATCTAAACACTGGAATATTACTCAGGCTAAATGGAAATGAACTATCAAGCCATAAAACAATATGCAGGAAACTTAAATGCATATTACTAAGAGAAACAAACCAATGCTATATAGCGTATGATTCTAACTATATGACATTCTGGAAAAAGCAAAACAATGAAGACAATAAAAAGACCAGTGTTTACCAGGGGTTAGAAGGGAGGGAGGGATGAATAGGCAGAGAACAGAGGATTTTTAGTGTAGTGAAATTATTCTGCATGATACTTTAATGGTGGGTGCATGCCATGATACATTTTACCAATCCCACAGTACATGCAACACCAAAAGTGAGCCACAAACTTTGGACTTAGGGTGATAATGATGTATTCATTGTAGGTTCCTCCATTGTAGCAAATGGTCCACTGTAGTGGGAGATAATGCTAACAGGGGCGGGGTCGGGGAGAGGCTATGCATGTGGGAAGGCAGGGAATATACGGAGAATCTCTGTACTCTCTGCTGCATTTTTCTGTGAACCTAAAACTACTCTAGAAAATAAAGTATATATTTTAAAAAAATAGACAAGAGACAGCACAGGACTTTGAATCTTGAGAGTAGAAAACAAATAAAGTAAGCCCTGCAATTGTCCAATTTTTTTGATTGAATAATTTATTCTTTTTTCTTTTTTTTTAGGTGGAGTCTTGTTCTTGTCACCCAAGCTGGAGTGCAGTGATGCAGTCTCAGTTCGCTGCAATCTCCACCTCCTGGGTTCAAGCAATTCTCCTGCCTCAGCCTCTCAAGTAGCTGGGACTACAGGCACCCGCCACCATGCCAGGCTGTTTTTTTGTATTTTTAGTAGAGACGGGGTTTCACCATGTTGGCCAGGCTGGTCTTGAACTCCTGACTTCAGGTGATTCACCTGCCTCGGCCTCCCAAAGTGCTGGGATTACAGGCGTGAGCCACCGCGCATGGCCTGAATGATTTTTTTAAAGCACAGACAGGAAGGGAATTCACACAGCCATGATGGTCTTGCTGAATTGAAGGGATGAAGACTAGAGTTTAGATAAACTCAAGCAGATAGAATACAGGGCAAAATATTTGTCAGAAGGTACATTCACAGTGGAAGAACGACTAAATCTGCATAGGCATTCCCTTGACTTGTGGCCAATATTTGGAAATGTGCATGTGAAGGCGAGATTCTATGTGCTCAGAAAAAGAAACTACTGAGAAAACAATCATCAAGAATTTCTAGCCACATTTCCTAGAGCTTGCAAAGTATTGAAAAATGTTAGAGATCTGATAAAACAGATTGGAGAAACCTTATTAAATACCTGGGACATTTAATAGAGAGTCCAAAAATACCTTTCTTCTTTTAGGAAGAGAAATAATCTCCTTAGGGGGAAGCTATTTTAGAGTTGTCCCATTAGTGCAAATATGCATGCACATACACACACACACACAAGACACACACACACACACATTATCATCGTCATTATCGAGCTAATACCAAAGTAAATTAATACTTGCCAGGAAAACCAATATTTCACATCCTTCAAAAGAAGATAATGAAAGCAAAACATAAAATATTGAAGTATAAACAATGTCCAGCATCCCATATCACATGCAAGTGCTATGAACTGAATGTTTGTGTGCCCTCCCCCACTTAATATGTTGAAACCCTAATCCTCAATGGGATGATATTAGTAGGTAGAGCATTTGCAAGGTAATTAGATCATAAGGGTGGCGCTCTCATGATAAGATTAGTGCCTTCCTAAGAAGAGACACAAGAGAGCTTGCCTTTTCTCTCTCTCTCTCTGTATGTGTGTGTATGTGGTGTGTGTGTATGTGGCATATGTGTCTTTTTCTCACCATGGACACGTGATAAAACAGCAAGAAATTGCCCACATGAGAAAACCAGAAAGAGAGGCCACATGAGAACATTACCATGCTGACACCCTGATGTACTTTCCAGCCTCCAGAACTGTGAGAAATAAATGTTTAAGCCATCTAGTCTATAGTGTTTTGTTTTAACAGCCCGAACTGACTAAAACAGAAATGCAAGAAAGCAGAAATCTTGATCTACAATTAGAAGGAAAAAGACAAATAGAAAAAGACAAAGAAAAGAGAGAGACACTCATAGCTAGCTACCATGGACATATTTAAGATATTAAAGAAAAACATTAGCATAATGAATGGAAAGGTGGGAACTATAAATATAGAATTTCAACAACTGAAAAAATACGTATCTGAGAAGAAAAACTTACTGGACAGGCCTGGAAACAGATAGGAAACTAACAGAACAAAAATCAGTGAACTTAATGCAAGAAAAAGAGAAACTACCCAAACTGAAACAAAAAGATGTTTTTAACCCTGAAAACAATAAGCAGAGCTTTAGCGTCCTTTATAATTATATCAAATAGTCCAATATACATGTGACTTCACCTACCTAAAAGAATGAGAATAAAAAATTATTTGAAGAAATAATGACCAAAAACTTTCCAAATATGATGAAAACTCTGAACTCAGCAATCTATGAAGATCAATGGACCCTAAACAAATGAAAAACATGCATACCACTAAGGCACATCATAATCAAAGTCCTGAAAGCCAATGATGAATGCATCATTGTCTGTTTACACCCTTAGCCCATTTTTTGGATGGGATTATTTTTTTCTTGATAATTTGAGTTCCTTATAGATTCTTGATTTTAGTCCTTTGTCAAATGTATAGATTGTGAAGATTTTCTCCCACTCTGTGGGCTGTTTACTCACTGTTCCTTTTACTGTGCAGAAGCTCTTTAATTAAGTCACACCTATTTATCTTTGTTTCTGTTGCATTTGCTTTTGGGTTTTTGGTCATGAAGTCTTTGCCTAAGCCAATGTCTAGAAGGATTTTCCTGTTGTTATCTTCTAGAATTTTTATATTTTTAGGTCTTAGATTTTAAGTCCTTGATCCATCTTGAGTTGTTTTTTGTATAAAGTGAGAGATGAGGATACAGTTTCATTCTCCTACATGTGGCTTGCCAATTATCCAGGCAACATTTGTTGAATGGGGTTTCCTTTCCGCACTTTTTTTGTTTGCTTTGTCAAAGATCAGTTGGCTATAAATGGATAAAGTGAAAAGGGAACACTTCTACACTGCTGGTGGGGATTTAAACTAGTACAACAACGGTGGAAAACAGCGTGGAAATTCCTTAAAGAGCTAAAAATAGAACTACCTTTTGATCCAGCAATCCCACTACTGGGTATCTACGAAGAGGAAAAGAAGTCATTATACAAAAAAGATACTTGCGCACACATGTTTATAGCAGCACAATTTGCAATTGCAAAAATATAGAACCAAATGTCCACCAATCAACGAGTGGATAAAGAAATTGTGGTATATATGGCATTTGCAGCAACCTGGATGGAACTAAGACTACTATTCCAAGTGAAGTATCTCAGGAATAGAAAACCAAACACTGTATTTTCTCACCCATATGTGGAAGCTAAGCTATGAAAATGCGAAGGCGTTAAGAATGCCACTCTATGGACTTTGGGGACTCATGGGAAAGGGTGGGAAGGAGGTATAGGATAAAAGACTACAAATTGGATTCAGTTTATACTGTTCAGGCGATGAGTGTGACAAAATATCACAAATCACCACTAAAAACTTACTCATGTAACCAACTAACGCCTGTTTCCCCAGAACCTATGGAAATAAAAAAATTCAAAAATAGCCATAAAAAGACATATAACATATAGAATAGAGAAACAAAGAAAACAACACTGTGGGTTTTTCATCATAAGTGATGTAAAGAAGACAATGAAATGACATGATAAAGTGCTAAACAGAAAAAAAAATCTGTCAACCTAGAATTCCATATCTATTATATATAATCTTGAAAAATGAAGGCAAAATAATGATACTTAACCAACAAATGCAAAACATAAAAATGTGTTGCTGGCAGTAATGCACTACCTGAAACATTACGGGAAACTTTGCAGCCTGAGGTAAATAACTCTGGAAAGAATACCAAAAGAATACAAGGAAATAAAGAGTGCCAAAGATGTGAGTAAATACAAATTTTATTTTTGCACTTTTAGTTGTTAGTATATAATTGGTCACTTAAATAGGATATTAGTGTATTCTGAAGTTTATGAAATACATAGAACTTAAACACCTGACAAAATTATCTAAACTAATCAATTTTAAAAAGAGAACCGAATATAGCATCTAAAATAAAAGAGGAGACATAACAAATAGTAGAGAAATTAAAAGGAAAGTAAGATAATATCACAAACAAGTTTATGACAATAGAATCTATCTAGATAAAAGGGAAAAATCTTAAAAGACACATTACATACTGAAATAAGAAAAAAAAGAAAATTCTTAGTCTATACAATTCTCTATCCATAAAATGAATTAATATTTAAGAAGCACTAGGTTTCACTAGTGAATTACATCAAATATTTTATAATGAATATTAATCTTATACAAACAATTTTAGAAAGAAAAGAGGAAGGAATGAAGTCTAATTTTATGAGGCCCGCATTACTCTGATATGAAAACCAAAAGAAAAGGCATTACAATAAATCTACCAATAATATACCTCATAAGTATAGCCACAACATCCTAAACTAAACATTAGAAAATGTAATCTTGGACTCTATAAAAAGATTCATGATCAAATGAATTTTATAACAGGAACTCACAGTTGATTTAACATCTGAAACACAGCCACATGTTGAGCTAGAAATGTTGAATGATTAATTCAACATACGTTGAGTGATTAACCACGTTAAGTGATTAAACATGATCACAGATTAAAGGAAAAATATCGTATAATCATCTCAACAGGTAGAGCAATAACACTTGTAATAATTCACCTCTCATTGATGACCAGCAAAAGAAAAAACAAACCTCTTAGTAAAATATTGAGAAGGAAATTTATTCATATTGATACAGAGTATTTATGAAAATCCTGAACAGAATTGAGAACAAGACACAGATTTCTGCTTACACAACTTTGACTCAAAATTGTATTGAATGTCCTAGTGAGTTCAGTAAGGTGAGATAAATAAATACATATTTAAAAGAAAGAAATAAAACTGCCACTATTGGTAAGTACTATGACTATTGTATTAGTTTGTTCTCATGCTGCTAATAAAGACATACCCAAGACTGGGTAATTTACAAAGAAAAAGAAATTTAATGGACTCACAGTTCCACATGGCTGGGGAGGCCTCACAATCATGGTGGAAGGTGGAGGAGGAGCAAAGTCATGTCTTACACGGTGGCAGGCAAGAGAGCTTGTGTAGGAGAACTCCCCTTTATAAAACCATCAGATCTTGTGAGACTTATTCACTATCACGAGAATAGCATGGGAAAGACCTGCCCCCATGATGTTTCAATTACCTCTTACTGGGTCCCTCCCATGACATGTGGGAATTGTGGGAGCTACAATTCAAGATGAGATTTGGGTGGGGACACAGCCAAACCATATTAACTGTATATATCAGTGTGTGTATATACATATATACACACACACACAGATAATATATATATTATTCATATATATATACACACACACACATATATATATACACATATATATATATATATATATATATATATATATAGATATATATATATATATATATGACTATTCTGATGAAGCAGAATAGAACATATGAAAATAGCCCTATCTATCAATGGGGAAAGTTTAGTCTTTCTAGAAATGGTTCTGGAAGAAATGTATTTTTTGTAAAAGTAAAGGCATCTTACCCATACCTCACAACATTCTCAAAAATTATTCACAAAAACTTTATAATAAGGTCACAGAATTAGGATAAAATTTCTAGAAATAAAATTAACATTAAATTAAAACATAAAACAATAACATTATCAGGAGAAAATTATTATAAAGAAACAATTTCTTAACCAGGATACAAAGTCACTAAGTATAGAAGAATATAATAATAAACTGGAGTATGCCAAAATTTAAAACTGCTGCTTTTCTAAAGATAATACAAGCAAATCATACAGCATAATGCTAAATAGGATAAAATATTAACAATATGTGTAAGTTACAAAGTATTTCTGCAGAAAATATATAAAGAACTTTACTACTCAATAATAATACAATAAAAACTACACAAAATATTTGAACAAACACTTCACATTGGATGATATACAAATGGCCAGTAAACACAGAAAAAGATGCTCAACATCATTATGAGTCGTTAGAAATATATAAATTAATTTAGGAGAACACAAAGGGGAAAATGTGTAATTTGCAATTCCATGATTTCATAAATATCAGCTTTTCTATAGAAGTCTAACCATTCTGACGGAACAGGTCAGGACTTACTAAATGTACCTCAAGAAGTATCTCAAGCTAATATGAGAAGTGAAGGCAGAAACTGCACAACTGGCAACCAGTAAAAACTAATTCTATCTGCATTATTAACTATAGTTATTCTGTACATGAAATCCCCCAGAACTTTTTCATCTTGTAGCTGAAGTTTATACCCTTTGATCAATGCCTCCCCATTTCATCTATTCCTCAGCCTCATTGACTGATAGATAGATAGATAGATAGATAGATAGATAGATAGATAGATAGATAGAATCCCAAGTACATCTGCTAGTCTCACTTTATCAACATGATTAAATTTAAAGGCTAATTTCTTCAGCTACCATATTCTCTGCAAGTATAGAATTTATTTCATCAAAGTTAACCATTCACAACGACATTTGTGTATTATAGGTTACCATGTATTCCACTTTTGCTAGTGAAGTATCTGGTTAACTAACCAAAACATATTAATAAACATGGTCAAAAATACGGAAAACCCCTTAATTAAACCCAGATCTTAAAGCATGAAAGCAAATTGTAAATATAATGATGTTGGTAATTTGAGATTTACATAATACTTTGAACACTTGGAAGACTGGCACCTTATCTTCCATCCATATCAGTGTTTATCATTATGTCCATTGGAAATGATGTATATTTCCTATTGATTCAGTTCAACCAAAGAAACAGAACTAATAGAAAATATATATTAACAGATTTATTACAAGAAATTATTTTGTGCTATGCTAGTGCATAGCTAGGCAAGTACAAAATTCATATAGTAGGTAATCAAGAAGGGCAGAATGGAACTCTGCGGCACAAGCCAAAGCACATATCCACAGGCAGAAATTCTTCTTCCACGGGGAAGCCTCAGCTCTGCTCTTAAGGACTCTCAGCTAATTAAATCAGGCCCATGGAGATACACTAGATTAATCTTTCTTACTTAAAGTCAACTGATTATGAACTGTATTCACTTCTATAAAATACCTTCTCAGTAGGTAAATAATAAGTGAGGCTGGAGCATAACCCACTTGATGCACAAAATTTACATTCACATCCTAGTCCTTTTCACTTTAGCACCCATGCAAAAATCTTCTTAATCCATATTAATCTCTAAGTGAGGATAATAACAATGTCATAATTCTGCCTAATATAGTATAACTATCTTGTGTGCAACTAAAAAACATGAGGCAATGATTCAAAAACCTTGAGTAATGTAGACTCTTCTCTGATGATATTTAGTAATTCAAATGCTGTAATATAAAGTTAGCTATCATTTGTATATTTTATGACAAAGGAATAAGAGAGGGTAGAAAATAAAAATATTTAGCTTATATATACAAACATATTAGGATTCTTCAGCGAAACAGAACCAATGGGATAAGGAGAGAAAGAGAGAGATAGAGAGAGAGAGAGAGAGATATCTTAAATAATTGGTTCATGTGATTGCAGAGCTTGGTAAGTCCAAAATCTGATGGGGCAGCCTGGAAGGCTGAAGGCCCAGGGAAGAGTTGCAGTTCAAATCCAAAGGCAGTCTACTGATAGAATTCCTTTTAGCTCTTGGGGTGGTTACACTTTGGACATTAAGGTTTTCAGCTGATTGAGTTAACCCCACTCACATTATGGAGAGTAATCTATTTTGCTCAAAGTTCACCAACTTAAATGTTAATCTTATCTAAAAAAAAAAAGTCACAGAAATATTCAAAATAATGTCTGACTAAATAGGTGAGCATTGTGACCCAGTCAAATTTACATATAAAATTAACCATCAGACATACTATTACAGTCCTCATTTTTGCAACTGACCACATAATCATAGCTGGTATTTAGAACTACCTTCTTCTACTACCCATTCAATATCCTCTTTGCTCTCAGCAATCACTATACTTAGTTGTTGTTATTTGCCTGACAGTGTGGCTCAATCTTCATTCCTGAAGGATCTGAACCATTAGAAGTTTAGTCTGAATCTGGTTTTTGCAGTTTTCCATTTACTTAATCACAGAACACGATAATCTTAAGAGATGCTTTATGGAATATCCTGTATCCCAGACACACTGCTTCTCACTTCCATTCTATGGCAGCAACCCAATTTCCTCTTGGTATTCAGCACCAATCCACATAGCCAATTTAGTAATCCCCTTCTTTGCTTATTGTTTCAGAGGCATGAAACCCAAAGTTACTGGATGGAAGTCTATACTTTCAGTTCAATGGCCATTGGTGTTTCTCCAAAATTTCTAAACCATCAGATGTTAAGGTGATGAAACAGAAAGTATCAATTTTGCTAACAGATCACTAGGGGTAAAAGTTTGTGGAGTCACTCTCATTTCCACCCCTTGATTCCTGGACAATAATCCTGGCTATAAGAGAAAAAGCACCATTATACTGGATGCTGATTTAGATCATATACAGTATCTTGGAGGATATTTTTCCGGCCTCACTAAGTATTGTCCCTTAGATGGTGTTTTAAATGTCCTCAAAGTCCATTCCACTATTTTGTCAAACCAGCTGCTTATGGATGATAAGGAACATAGTAAGACTAGTAATTTTATAAATATGGTCCCTTTGCCACACTTTACTTGCTGTGAAGTGAGTTTCTTGATCAGAAGCAATTAATACTGTGTTGAATACCTTAAAAGCAGATAAGGGATTTTGTAAACTCATGGCTAGAAGTTTTGGCAGGAACATCTTGTAAATGAAAATAAAGATCCATATTCAGAGTAAGTGTCTTTTCCAGTAAAGTCAAAGTGCTGCACCTTTCATGATGAAAGTGATCCAGTGTAATCAACCCGTTTTTAGGTAGCAGGCTCCAGGGAATGGTTCCATATCAAGGACTCAGTATTGTTCTCTACCTCTGGCAGATTGGACAGTAAAGAGTAGCTGTGGCCAGGTTGACAATGGGAGTGAAAGTCCAATTGCTTAACCCAGCATAACCTCCATTCCTACTGCCATGGTCACTTTCTTTGTTAACCTGTTGGGCAATGGCAGGAGGGGCTGGAGAAAGAGGCTGACTAGTACCCGCAGAAGAGATAATCTTATCCACTTGTTTAATTAAGTCTACTCTTTTGAGATCATCCTTTTATGAGAATTCACACAGGACAAAATAATTCTCATTATTCGTCCATTCAGATAAGTCTATAAACATACTTTTTCCCACGCTATCTTGGAACCAATTTACCAATCGTGCTCCTTCCAAATCCCTGACCACCTAGTCAAATAATTGATCAGAGCTTGGGAGTTAATATAGACTCTTACTTCTGACTGTTTTTTGCTTCCTAGGAAAATAAACAGTCCAGAATACTGCTTGAAGTTCTACCCCCTGGGAAGATTCTCCTTTATCACTGTTTTTCAGGAATGTTCCAGAAAGGGCCTTTAGTGCTACAGCTGTCCATTTGTAGGTGGTACCTGCATATCAAGCAGAACCAATAATAAATCAGGCCTCAGTTTTCCCTTCCTAGTCAACAGGTCACAGGAAATTATTTATGTGGGCATAGGAGTGGGCTTAGAGAAAAAAGGTAATGTAGCAGGCGTAGAGGTCATGGGTATTTGGACCATTTTCTCATACAATTCCTTTATGCTCTCAGGATCTGCTCAGACCTGATTGTATATACCACTTTCATTTCATACTAGAGTTCTGCTGTGCACACCCAACATTATGGTTTAGTGGGTCAGTTTGTATTAGTTCATAATGGGCAGCTCAGGTCATATGGGAACTTGGCAGCCTAGAGTTAAATGTTCAGTCTCTCCTAAGTCCTATTAGCAAGCCAAAGAGGTGTTTCTCAAGAAAGCTGTTATCCACAGAGGATAGCAAACTTTTGTTCAAAAATCATAAGAAACTGCAATGGGATTCACCGATAGGGAACTGTCAAAGACTCCAAAGAACATCTCTATCTGTGTATGACACTGCAAGATGTTTGTTGGATTGTATGGACCAAGTGTCAGGGTAGCTTTCCCAGCAGTCTGGACATTTTGCAGAGCCTTCTTTTGTTCTGGGCTCTACTTTAAAACTCAAATAAGGAATATGTTGCTGACCAAAAAAAAAAAAAAATCCAAAAAAGGCCAACTAGGTGTTGTGCTCTTTTTCGGTTGTAGAAGAGGCCAAATGTGACAACTATCCTTAACTTTAGAAGGAACGTCTCAACACGTTTCACACCTCTGTACCCTTAAAAATATGTCTATAATACTTGATATTTCTTGCTTGCTAGTTCTAACCAGAATAATATTATCAATATAATGCCTTGATAATATTATTTCTTCTTTGCTTATTGTTTCAGAGGCATGAAACCCAAAGTTACTGGATGGCAGTGTAAACTTTGTTTTGTGATGTTTTGTGGAAGGCAGAAGTGATTGTGTCCCTATGGACTAAATTATGACATAGGGTTGGAGAATTTATATTGCTGGCATTAAAAGCTCAAAACAAACTGATTTCTGGCAGTCTTTCATAACAAGGATAAAGGAAAAGCATTTGCCTGAACAATAGCTGCATATCAGGTACCAGAGGATGCCTTAATTTGCTCAGACAATGAAAGCACGTCTGGAACAACAGCTGCAACTGGAGTCACCACTTGATTAAGTTCATATATTATCATTCTCCAAGACTTATCTCTTTTTTGCACAAGCCAGATAGATTAGTTGAATGGGGATGTGGTGAGAATCACAACCCCTACATTTTTCAAGTCCTTGGTAGTGGCATTAATCTCTGAAATCTCTTTAGAAATGTAGCATTGCTTTTTCTTTACTATTTTTGTACATAAAGATAGTTTGATTGTATTCCATGTGGCCATTACTACCATGATAGCTTTCATTCCACAGGTCAGGGAACCAATGTGGATATTCTGCCATTTGCTAAGTCTAACTATAACAATGATGCAGTCTAAAATGGGGAAATAACCACAGAATATGTTCAGGAACCCACTGCTTCTACGGTGAGACAGCTGCTGTAAAACTGTTTTGATCACCAGACCTTTATAAGCCTCTGAGGTCTACCACTCTAACTGATAGACCACAGTAAAGTTTCGGATCTCTGGAAATTAGTATTTGGTCATGTGTCCCTTAACGGAAGGCTTGAAGAAGGAATACCAGATTAGATTGTTTACAGTGTAATGGGATCCTTTCTCAAGGGGATATAGCCTCTCCTTTATTCAAGGAGTTTTGTGTCTGTTAATTTCCTCCAGTCTAGAAATTTATTGAGTGGTCCTGACTCCTGCTTCTATCATACAAGTTAGTCCTCTGTTCACTTGACCTAGAACTATCCCCCTTACACAGAACTAGTGGACTACCTATTTCGTTTATAGGAACACCATGATCAACCACCCAACACCATAGGTCTCTGCAAATCAGATTAAGGATTACTGCTTTGACTTCACTGTCCATTATGACACCCATGCCCACTTTGACTTTGAAGATATTTTCTACTTGGTCTTGCCTCTGTAGGACACCATTATGCCACTGCATTTAGAGATTCTAGTTTGGCAACACGCATTCCCACTGTAATTTCTGACCTACAGACACAAGTGATCACAGAGAACTTAAAGATGCTTAGTTGCCCTCAAAAATTCATTTCTCACAGTCATGGGAAAAATTCTGGGCCTTCCCAGAGTGAATGAGCAGGTCTTCCATAATAAATCCACTCAACATTTAAATCTCCTTAAGCTTTTGTATTCCTTTCTCTATATTATACCGAATCAGTTTTGGCATTTCAACCTCATTTGGTGTAAATTACCTTTGGATTCATGTTTCAGCCAACCAACTAAACTGTCAGGGTTCTTTCTAGCTCCTTAAAATAAAAATTGAGGGCTGGGCATGGTGGCTCACGCCTGTAATCCCAGCACTTTGGGAGGCTGAGGCAGGCAGATTGTTTGAGGTCAGAAGTTAAAGAGCAGCCTGGCCAACATAGTGAAACCTTGTCTCTACTAAAAATAAAAAATTATCCTGGTGTGGTAGTGTGTGTCTGTAATCCCAGCTACTCGGGATGCTGAGGCAGAATTGCTTGAACCCAGAAGGCAGAGGTTGCAGTGAGCTGAGATGGCATCATTGCACTCCACCCTGCCTGGGCAACACAGCTAGACTCTGTCTTAAACAAAGAAACAAAAAAAAAAAAAAAAGAAAGAAAAATTGAATGCAAAATCTTTATTTTGTGTACCTATATCAATAAATTCAACCTGATCCACCTTTGTATTTTTTCCATCATGTGTATAGTACATCAGCTTATGAATCACATTTTGTACCTTATCCTCTAGGGTCTGCTGGGACTTCTACTTATAGGTCTCGAAGTGAAAAATAGCATGGGTAAATCCTATGAGAATCAACAATGCTTCGCAAAGCAACTACCACAGGAGTTGGTTCTTCAGGCAAAGCAGAGGTAACCTCCTCAGGCAGGAGTGAAAAGGCTCATTCTATTGGCAAGAAGATTTAGCAAAATTTATAGATTTGATGTCCCCCATCGGGATCTTCCTATATTTCTCCATTCCAACTTTCATGATCTCATTTCTTCCTAATAAATGCCCTCAATTTAGTGGAAGAAACTCTGTAAAGTTGGTAATTAAATTTGCTTTTTAATTCAGTGACCAGCAGGATAAGGCTTGTGGTTTAACTTTCAGAATCTCAGCCCAGAAGTTAAGAGTTTCTTTCAGGTCAAGCATAGAAGCTTCAAGGTCATATATAAGGAGTTTCCACTGCAAATTTGAAGCTCTTATTTGACTCTTTTCCCCACATTCTCTAGGGCAGTTAGGAGCAACCAGCCAATCCCATTATACTTCTTAGTTTAATTTGAATATTTTGCGATATCAAATACAGGGTCACCCAGAACCCTACCTTTTATAAGCATCTGATTAGGAGTGTCCAATGGCAATATTTTTCATATTGCTACTATCATACCGTGCCATGGACTAACAATGCCTTCTTCATCAATGAAAATTGAGTCATCAATGTCTTTAGATGGAATCAGAGAACCAATACAAGAAAATACATAACCAATTCAGAAAACTCATCCTAAGCTTCTGTCTCTCTTGAACGTCTTTAGGTACCAAGATTTGCATCTGTCAAAGAGATACAAACAGAGAAATGAAACCAGAAGTAGATACGTATTAAGAGATTTATTGCAAGCATGCAATTATGGGAGGCTGCCAAGGCAAACCTGAAATCTGAACAACATCAAAAATGTAAGTTGCAACCCTTGGACAGAAGCTAAAGCTTCTATTCATAGAGGGAATTTCTTCTTCCTGTAGGAAATCTTGTCTCTCTAATTTTAAGGTTTTTTATCCGACTGGAAGAGGCCTGCACAGATTTCTTAGAATAATCTCCTTTAATTAAAATCAACTGATTATGCACTTCAATTTATACTTATAAAAGTAAAGGACCAAAATCTAGCTTAAGTTAACACCGTGAAAGAGAGGGACACCATTCTGGAGTTGTGGGACTAAGGCATCTATTTCCTATAGGCCAGAGTATACCCTGAAAAATAAAGATGAGGCGCAAGGAAAGTTTAAAGGCCTATCTCCCCAAGCTGATAAGTTGACGTGTCCCAGTTACACCAAACACAGAAAACCAGAACTGAGATGTTCTGAATTAGTTGCAGCCAACTAATGGAGATATCTTTTATACTAGAGAACAATTAACATAATATCCAGCAGACAAATTTCTGAGACAATTACAAAATCACCCTACAAAAATTTGTCATATATAGAGGGACAATGCTGCAGTCATGAAAGTGACTGTGCTGCTCTAACACTCTCAATGATGCTTCCAATTGGTAGAGTGAGAGGGGATATTGTATCCATATAGGGTGAAATACTAAAATCTAACATTTTGTATAGTAGAATAGACTGGGTTGTAAAGCATTTGATAATAACCAGAAAAAAAGAAAAACATGAAATCTGTTGGTGTTTCATCTAGGGGCAAGAGTCCCTAGGGAAGACAATAGGGGCAGTTTTGACAAAAAATTGTTTCTTCTTGCACCTAACAAGTCTAGATCATTCAATAAATAAGCTAAATTAAATTCCTAGCTTCAACCTAGCATGATGCCATGAAGAGAGTTCTCTTTCCATAAATAGTAGGTTCTAAAAAGTAATATGGATAGCAAACATTAAATTAAATTTAAAGGTAAAATTTGAGATTGATAAAAATTAAAAAGGAGGATAGAGTACATATTCACATAGAAAAATTAACTCCATATACTGAAAACATAAAACCATATAGAGAATAAATATGAAAATTAAAAGCTTAAGGATGCTATTTTAATCAATAAATATATAGATGGGTAATTAACAATTCTGTTTTGCAAAACGTTACCAAGGTCAGATGCAGTTTTATTAGCGTTTGAAAATAAGTAAAAAGCAAGATATGATGGATATCTTTAGTTCATTTCTACTCTTACAAGTACCTAACATTTCTGATAATATGATATTTACCCATAAATATATGTATGCATGTATAACTTCTCAACACTGCTTCTCATGCCATGAGACAAGAGAATCCTATTGTTGGTAAACTCTTTAACTTCTTTGCATGTCCATCACATTTTTACATTTTGCTGTAGTCTTGCTAACTACGGTAGTGTGGCATAAAGCAAGAAAATATTTTGTTCTTGTCAATTATGCAGCAATCACATTAAAGGGAAGATATCACCCACCAGCCATTCTTGTTGATATTTGTTAATGAGGTAATAAGGACTAAGGGGTCAGAGATATCTTTGCAAGCCCTCCTTGTAACCATTGAACTGGATGCCAAAGACCAGAGTTCTAATTATTTCCCAGTTGTAACTTCTCTGGTTAGATAGTTGTTTCTGCCAGCATAATTGCCTCAAACTTCGACTACTGCAGGAAGTTTACCTGCTCTCTGGCAAATAAACCTCTGGTAGCAATGTTTGAATTCCCAAACAAAGTGAAGTATATTTCTCAAGTTGTACAAAATGGATTTTTCTTTTCAACAAATGATAAACATATGAATTAGATGCACTTTCTAAATGTCATCAAGCTTCTCTACAGACACAAGTATGAAAAAAGGGCAGGAGAAGATAAAAAGCAACACGGTTTTATAAATAATTTGATAAAGATTCCTACTTGGGAAGAATTTTGAAAAATAATGATTTACCTGGATGTTTTAGTCATAAAAAAAGAAAAATCTTGTTGACAACATACATGATAGATGCAAGATCTCTGAAGATGTTATTTGTATAGAGCACATTTTAGCTTTAGATAAAACCATATAAACGAGGCTCAGTAGCTCACAGCTGTAATCCCAGTTCTTTGGGAGTCTGAGAAGAGAGGATCTCCTGAGGCCAGGAATTCAAGATCAGCCTGGGCAACATAGCAAGACCCTGTCTCTACAAAATTATTTTTTTACACTTAGCCAGGCATGGTGCCACACACCTTTAGTCCTAGCTGATTGGGAGGCTGAGGTGAAAGGATTGCTTGAGCCCAGGAGGTGGAGAGTACAGTGAGCTATGATCATGCCACTGTACTCCAGCTTGGGTAACAGAGCAAGACACTGTCTGTAATTTAAAAATATACATATGAAACTGGCATTTTTCTAGGTAAAAATCAGTCAGATATCAGCAATCTTATATAGTTCAACTTAAATATTACATAGTTTTATTTTATCACTGTACAGTCAGTCACTCTGTTTTAACTTTATGACATTGTTTCTCGCTTAACCGTTTTTTTTCCTATAGCAATTTGTATTATATGAAATTACTATATTTGTTGTTTTAGGGAAATATATTATTGAAGCAAGTCATTTTTAATGACTTATGTGTTTCAATTCTTGGTGTTGATGACTATTTTTTTCTGGTCTCTTACATGGTCTCTCATATTTTTTGCAGTATGTTACAAAAAATTCTTACTAGAACCCTCTGAAATACTGTATTGTTTCTGCTGGCATAAATGGTAGTCATCAAAAAGCAATAGTGAGACAAACATGAAATGCAATGTGCTGCTTTTCAAGGAGTTTTAGGAAAGACTTGTGTTCGTGAGACTCAAACCCTATGTAAGAATTTCAGCTTTTTCTCATAAGAACCACTTTCTCTATTTAAAAAGGAGTTGCCACTCTACCTGATATCAAGCTTTGTTTCCTTTATCCCTTTGAAGTTCAACTGACACTCAGAAAGAGGGGGAAAAGAAGCAAAAGAGAGCACACAGATGAGTAACAACAGATGACTCACAGGATAGACATACAAGACAGTGTGGCTTCAGTTTAGGAAGGAAGCTGCCTGCAAAATATGCTCACAGTGTTGCATTTGCTTTCACCAATGAGAGTTTTCAAGGAGACCAGTGTTTTCTGTTTTTGTTTTTGTTTTTGCGTTTGTTTTTTCTTGTTTTTTTTTTTTTTTTTTTTTTTTTTTTTTTTTTGGCCGGGCGCAGTGGCTCACGCCTGTAATCTCAGCACTTTGGGGAGAACAAGTTGGGCGGATCACTTGAGGTCAGGAGTTGTAGAGCAGCCTGGCCAATATGGTGAAACCCCATCTCTACTAAAAATGTAAAAATTTTGCCAGGCATGGTGGCACACCTGTAGTCCCAGCTACTTGAGAGGCTGAGGCAGGAGAATTGCTTGAAGACTGGAGGCAGAGGTTGCAGTGAGCCGAGATCATTCCACTACACTCCAGCCTCTGTGACACAGTAAGAGTGACACTCCATCTCAAATATATATACACACATTTAAAATCTCATTTTTATTTTCAACTCAATCACTTTTTGCGAGTAAATTTAAATGATTTACCCTTGCTTCTCCTGTGAAAGCATATAGTAAATAACTTTTCAAAAATAATTTATTGAAATGTCTATTAACGTTAGTCTTTGCCTTTGTATGACAAGCCCTGTCAAAATGGCATGAAGTGGACACAGTGATGCACCTGTGCTGTAGCAACTCATGATTGGAGGCTTATTTTGTCATTTGATCTTTATATCGAATGGGTCCCTGTTGAACGTGAATGAGTGATTGAAAGTGACAGGAAGAGCAAGTCAGTGCCTTGCATCTCAATGGTAGGTTGCACAGCACCTTGGTCCAAGAGTCTTTATGCAGATGTGAATCTTGATGTGGTGCTGCCACAACATGTGCCCGCCTTTCTTTGATATGGTTTTCAAATTCCTGATTTATCACTTTGACATTTGACAGAGAAGAGAAAAAATAAAAACCAAAATTCGGTGACAGTTAACAGCTTTTTCTTCCCTCAAAGATTTTGTAGGTTTGCCTGAGGAGAGTTGAATCTGAGCTATTTGACTCAGAACTGCTATATGAGCACCACAAAATCAAATCAAACATAATCTGGTTTATGTCATCTCACATTTACGCTGGTAGAGCAAATCATCAATTTCTTAAAATTAACAGGTAACAGCCTCAAGGCTTAAGCCTCAAAGAAGGCTTTAGATGTATTCTAATTCCAGATTTGTTGGGGGTCATTATAAAGAGTAGTAATACATTTAAGTACTGACATATGCAAACACACAAAAGTTAGGTTCAATTAACTGAATGTTTACAGTTGAAATACTAATCCCCAAGGTGATGGATTAGGAAGTGGGGGCTTTGAAAGTTGATTAGCTCTCTTATATGTGATTAGTTCCCTTATAAAAGAGATCCTAGAGAGATACCTTGCCCTTTCCACTATGTGAAGTCAGAGCATGATGATGGGCACTTATCCCAAACTGAATCTTCTGGTGTCTTGATCTTGGACTTTCTAGTTTTCCTAGCACTGTGACAAATAAATTTGTGTTGTTTATAAACCACCCAGTCAATGTATTTTGTTATAGTAGTTGGAACAGACTAAGACATCAGGCTTTCCTCAGCAGCCCTCCTTAACTAAAACTAGTTTAGACAGAATGCTATTTATACTGAAAATCAAAAATGAAAATAATATTTGGTATTTGGTTTGCTGATATTAGATACATACTTGAGTTTTTTAGATAAGTTCATACGAAGAATTTGACACTTTTTTTTTCTTGTTTCCCTAGGCCTTTTGCTGACTAACAGGTTATTATGCAAACTGCATTAGTGTCTAAACACATTTTAAACACAGTCGTAGTGATGCCATAAGAAAACCTTCAGAAACCTCAATGGAAATAATTTAATTACGTGGAAAGATAGTTAAAAATGCAGCATCAACACTGTTAAAGACTAACGAATACTCTTTAGATTTTTTCGATGATAATTTCATTTTACCACATTCTTTGCTTAGGAGTAGAGGCATATAGTATTTTTGTTGATAATTCATAAAACAATACAATTTAAAAAATATACCTGCCATTGTTTTGTGGTTAACTAATTACCTATTTTTCTGCATTATTCCATTTTATTACTTTACTTTCAAATATATGATCAGACATAAAAATGTTTCCTTTATAATTATTCATTGATTAGTATTGATAATTTAATATGTATAAGGCATTATGAGGTTCTATTCTTTGACATGTATTGTTTGCTATAGTGAACATTAGCTGAAGCAGACACTTTGTTATGCAGAAATTCCTTTTATTCTTCTAATAGTTCTGGCAGACAGATACTATTATAGTATCTATTTCATGGATTAGGCATAGAGAGGTTAAGTTATTTGCACAAGGTCACACAGCCAGGAAGTGGTAAACAGAATTTTGAACCAAAGCCATTAGGCTCTCGACCACTACACTGCTTTGCCTCCCAGAACATCCTGCATCACAGTGGTGTAAGCATTACCAGTTAATTGCCTAACATGACATTTCTTTCCATAACAGATATCAGGATTATAATGATTTTCCTGCTCCTGTCCCTCAAATATCTCTCGTAATGTAATTTCCCTCAGGATTTTTTTAATAGTCCGTATTTACTAATACAAAAATATTCACCACAACTTACAGGCTAAAGAGGTAAGACATTTTCATTTACACAAGAGCCTCTTGAAAATAATTACTTAGCCTAAATGAGTGACTCTAATGGAAGTAATTCAGGTGGATCCTTGAAAAAATGATATTGTGTACATGAAAACCTTTGGGAAAATATCCTATGATGGCAACATCTTCAGTTTTATACTGGAAATATACAAAATTCACTCCCCATTTAACCAAAATATTAAGAAAAAAGAATTGCTTTTTTGGATATTTGGCATCAAATATCCAAAAAAGGTTATGTGAGGTGGTGAGGGAGGTGGATGAGGAGAGGGAGAGCATTAGGAAAAATAGTTAATGCATGCTGGTCTTAATACTTAGGTGTTGAGTTCATAGGTGCCAACAAACCACCATGGTACATGTCTACCTATGTAACAAACCTGCACATCCTGCACATGTACCCCAGAACTGAAAATAAAATAAAAATTGAAAATAATTGAGATTCAAAAAGTTAATTTATGAGTCATAGGCTATTGTTTTTGAGGCAAGGTCTCACTCTGTTGCCCAGGTTGGGGTGCAATGGCACAATTACAGCTCACTGCAGCCTCGACCTCTCTCCTAGGCTCAAGTAATCCTTCTACCTCAGCCTCCTGAGTAGCTAGGACCACAGGCATGCACCACCACAACTGCCTACTTTTTTAGATTTTTTTTTGCAAAGATGGGATCTCCCCATGTTGGCCAGGCTGTCATAGGCTATTCTTTTTTATTTATTTAACTTATTTTAGGTTCATGGGTACATGTGCAGGTTTGTTATATAGGTAAATTTTGTGTCAGAGGGTTTTGGTGTACAGATTATCTTGTTGCTCAGGTAATAAGCATAGTACCTTATGGGTATTTTTTCACCCTCTTCCCACCCTCCAACCTCAAGTAAAGCCTGGTACTTATTGTTCCCTTGTTTATGTCCTTTTGGTGTACTCAATGTTTAGCTCCCACATGTAAGTGAGAACATGTGGTATTTGGTTTTCTGTTCCTGTGTTAGTTTGCGTAGGATAATGACCTCCAACTTCATCCATGTTTCTGCAGAGGATGTGATCTCATTCGTTCTTATGACTCCATAGTATTTCATTGTGTATATATATCATATTTGCTTTATCCAGTCTACCATTGGTGGGCATTAAGGTTGATTACGTGTCTTTGCTATTGTAAATAGTACTGTGATGAACATACATGTGCATATGTCTTTATAGTAGAATGCTTTATATTCCATTGGTATATACCCAATAATAGGATTGTTGGGGGAAATGATAATTCTATTTTAAGTTCTTTGAGAAATTGCCTAACTTCTTTATACAATGATTGAGCTAATTTACATTACCACCAGCAGTATGCAAGTGTTCCCTTTCTCCACAACTTCACCAGCATCTGTTAGGTTTTGACTTTTTAATAATAGTCATTCTGACAGGTGTAAGATGGTAGCTCATTGTGGTTTTGGTTTGCATTTCTCTAATGATCAGTCATATTGAGCTTTTTTTCATATGCTTACTGACCACATGTATGTCTTCTTTTGAAAAGTGTTTGTTCATGTACTTTGTCCACTTTTTAATAGGGTTGTTTGGTTAATGCTTGTTAATTTGCTGAAGTTCCTTGTAGATTCTGATACTAGGCCTTTAGTCAGATGCCTAGTTTGCAATTAATTTTTCTTACTCTATAGGTTATCTGTTTACTCTGTTGATAGTTTCTTTTTCTCTGCAGAAACTCTTCAGTTTACTTAGGTCACATTTGTCAATTTTTTTTGTTGTTGTTGCAGTTGTTTTTGGCACCTTCATCATGTGAGCTTTGACTGTTTCTATGTCCATAATGGCATTTCCTAGGTAATCTTCCAGGGTTTTTATAATTTAAGGTATTATATTTAAGTCTTTAAATCCATCCTGAGTTGATTTTTTGTACGTGGTATAAGGAAAGGATTGAGGTTCAATTGTCTGCATATGGCTAGCCAGTTATCCCAGCACCATTTATGGAATAGAAAGTCCTTTCCCCATTGCTTGTTTTTGTTAACTTCTTCAAAGGTAAGGTGGTTTTGAATGTGTGTGTGTTTTTTTTTTCTGGCCTCTCAATCTGTTCAATTGGTCTATGTGTCTGTTTTTATGCCACTACCATGCTGTTTTGGTTGCTGCAGTCTTGTTGTATGGTTTGAAGTTGGGTAATGTGCTGCCTCTAGCTTTGTTCTTTTTGCTTAGGATTTCCTTAGCTATTTGGGCTCATTTTTGGTTCCATATTAATTTTAAAATAGTATTTTCTAATTCTGTTAAGAATGTCATTGATAGTTTGATGGGAATAGCATTGAATGCGTACATTACTTTGGGCAGTATGGCCACGCTAACCATATTGATTTTTCCTATCCATGTGCATGGAATGTTTTTCCATTTATTTGTGTCATCTCTGATTTCTTTCAGCAGTGTTTTTTAATTCTCATTGTAGAGACCTTTCACCTCCCTGACTACCTGTATTCCTAGGTATTTTATTCTTTTTGTGGCTATTGTGAATAAAATTGCATTCTTGATTTGGCTCTCAGCTTGGACATTGTTGGTGTGTAGAAATGCTATTGATTTTGTATATTGAAACTATGCTGAAATCGTTTATCAGATCTAGGAGTTTTTAGGCAGAGGCTATGGAGTTCATGGTAGAGTATCGCATTGTCTACAGCACAGATAGTTTGACTCTGTTTCTTCCTATTTGAATGTCTTTATTTTCTTTCTCTTGCCTGATTGATCTGACTAGGACTTGCAGTACTATGTTTAATAGGAGTGGTGAGAGTGGGCATCTTGTCTTATTCTCATTCTCACAGTGGAAGTCTTCTAGTTTTTGCTTGTTCAGTATCAAGTTAGCTTTGGGTTTAGCATAGATTGCTCTTATTATTTTGAAGTATGTTTCCTGAATGTCTACTTTAGTGAGGGTTTTTACAATGATGAGATGTTGAATTTTATCAAAAGGCTTTTCTGCATCCATTCAGATAATCATTTGGTTATTGTTTTTAATTTTGTTTATGCAATGAATTAAATATATTGATCTGCATATGTTGAACCAACCTTGTATCCTAGGGATAAATCCTCCTTGATTGTGGTGGATTCACTTTTTGATGTGCTGCTGGATTCAGTCTGCTAATATTTTGTTGAAGATTTTTGCATCTATGTCCATCAAGGTCATTGGCCTGAAGTTTTCTTTTTCTTGTGTGTCTGCCAGGTTATGAGATCAGAATGATGCTGGCCTAAGAGAATGAATTAGGAAGAAGTCCCTCCTCCTCAATTTTTGAAATAGTTTCAGTGTGGATGACACCAGCTCTTTGTACATCTGGTAGAATTCAGCTCTGAAGTGGTCTGGCCCTGAGCTTTTTCTGGATGATAGGCTTTTAGTGCTGATTCAGTTTCAGAACACATTATTGATCTGTTCATGGATTCAATTTATTTCTGGTTCAATATTGAGAGGTTGTATGTTTCTAGGAATTTATCTATTTTTTTCTAGATTTTCTAGTTTATGTACACAGAGATGTTCATAGGAGGCACTGAGGCTTTTGTGTGTTTCTGTGGGGTCAGTGGTAATGTTTCATTTGTCTTTTCTGACTCTGTTTATTTTGATCTCTCTTTTTTGTTGTTAGTTTAGCTAATGGTCTATCGATCTTATTTATTTTTTCAAATAACAAACTACTAGATTAATTGTTCTCTTGTATAGCTTCTTGCATCTCAATTTCCTTCACTGCAGCTCTGATTTTGGTTACTTCTTGTGTTGTGCTAACTTTGGGGTTGATTTGCTCTTCTTTGTCTAGTAATTCTAGGTGTCATTTTAGGTTACTACTTTGAGGTTTTTCTAACTTTTTGATGTGGGCATTTAGTTCTGTAAACTTCCCTGTTAACACTGCTTTAGCTGTATCCTGGATTCTGGTATGTTGTATCTTTGTTCTCATTAGTTTAAAAGAATTTCTTGATTTCTGCCTTAATTTTTTGTTTATCCAAATGTCATTCAGGAACAGGTTGTTTAATTTCTATGTAATTGTAGGGCTTCAAGCAATCTTCTTGGTATTGATTGCAATTTTTATTGTGCTGTGCTTTGAGATTGTAGTTGGTAGGATTTTATTTTTATCTTGGAATTTGCTGAGAAATGTTTTATGCCCAATTCTGTGGTCAAATTTAGAATATGTGTCATGTGCAGATGTAAAGAATGTATATTCTGTATTTTTTTTCCAGTGTGATGGAAAGTTCTGTAGATGTCTGTAAGTTATATCTGGTCAAGTGTGGAGTTCAAGTCCCAAATATTTTTGTTAGTTTTCTGAAACAATGATCTGTCTAGTACTGACACTGGGTTGTTGAATCTTCCACTATTATTGTATGGTTATCTAAGTATCTTTGTTAAGTCTCTAAGAACTTTTTTTTTTGGTGAATCTGGGTACTTCTGTGTTGGGTGCATATATATTAGGATAGTTAGATCTTCTTGTTGAATTAAACTTGTTACCATTATATAATGCCCTTCTTTGTCTTTTTTTCAACTTTGTTGGTTTATAGTCAGTTTTATCTGAAATTAGAATACTAACCCCTCCCTTTCTTCTGTTTTCTGTTTTCTGTTTGCTTGCTTGTTTCTCATCCCTTTACTTTGTGCCTATGGATGTCATTGCATGTGAGATGAGTATCATGAAGACAACATACATTTGGGTCTTTCTTCTTTACCCAATTTTCCCCTCTCTGTCTTTTAATTAGGGAATTTAGCCTGTTCACATTCAACATTAATATTGATATATGAGGATTTGATCCTGTCATCATGTTGTTGGCTGGTTATTATGCAGACTTGATTGTGTAGTTGCTATATACTGTCAGCAGTCTATGTACTTAAGTGCATTTTTGTGGTGTCTGGTAATGGTCTTTCCTTTCTGTATTTTGCATTCCCTTAAGAATCTCCTGTAAAGCAGGTTTGGTAATAACAAATTCCCTTAACGATGGCTTGCTGAAAAGGATCTTATTCCTCCTTCACTTATGAAGCTTAGTTTGGCTGGATATGAAATTCTTGGTTGTAATTACTTTTATTTGAGAATGTTGAATGTAGGTCCCCAATCTCTTCTGGTTTGTAGGGCTTCTTATGAAAGGTCCTCTGTTAGTCTGATGGAGTTCCCTTTGTAGATGAGCTGCCCCTTCTCCAGAGTTGTGTTTAACATCTTTTATTTCATTTCAACCTTGAAAAATCTGACGACTATGTGTCTTAGGTATGGCCATCTTGTATGTTGTAGAGGTTCTCTGCATTCCCTGAATTTGAATGTTGGCTTCTCTAGTGAGGTCGGGGAAATTTTTATGAACGATATTCTGAACTACATTTTCCAAGTGGGTTGCTTTATCTCCGTGTCTTTCAGGGCCACCAATGACATGTAGATTTGATTTCTTTACGTAATTTCATGTTTCCTGAAGATTTTGTTCACTATTCTTTATTCATTTTTTAAAAAATTGTTGTCTGAGTTATTTCAGAGAATTGATCTTCAAGCTCTGAGATTCTTTCCTCAGCTGGATTGATTTTGCTGTTAATACTTGATATTGTATCATGAAGTAGTTGAAGTGAGTTTTTTGGCTCTATCAGATCACTTTGCTTCTTTCTTAAAATGGCCATTTGCCTTTCATCTCCTGTATCATTGTACTGTACTCCTTAGATTCCTTGGACTGGTTTTTGACATTCTCCTAAATTTCGATGGTCTTCATTCATCTCATATTCTGAAGTATATGCCTGTCATTGGAACCATTTCAGCCTGGTTAAAAACCATTGCTGGAGAACTAACATGCTTGTTAAGAGGTAAGATGACATTCTGGCTTTTTGAGTTTCCAGAGTGTTTGTGTTGGTTCTTTCTCATCTGTGTGGGATGATGTGCCTTCAGTCTTTGAAGTTCCTGTCCTTTGGATGGGGTTCTTTGCTTTAGCTTCCTTGATGACCTTGAGGGTTGTTTGTGGTATAAGGTGGGTCCAGTCAACTGGGTTTGTTTCTGGAAGATTTTATGGGATCAGGTCTGAGTTCAGTACTCCTGGGCTTCATGCTCTGACTCTGGGAGCTGGGACTGGGCCTCCAGCTTTGTTCTGTGGCCCTTTGAGATTATAAACCTGTTGCACTGGAGGGGTAGAAGTGTTCTGGGTCCCCTGGCCACAATACTCCAATATGTGAAGCTGGCCAAAGCCCTTCATCAGGACAGTGGCCATGAGATTGGTGCTTGCTTGTACATGCCAGCAACTGCACCAGTACGGTGTAGTGTACATATGTCAGCTGGGGTGGGGTGCCAGCAGGACTGGGGCTGCAGCACTCCTACACATGCTTAATGCAGTGGAGGCAGTGGCAATGGAGGCAAGGTGCTGGCATGGGCATAGACACCAGTGTCCCTATAGATATTCACAGCAATGGGCTGGGGGTGGGGGGTTGCTGGCATCTATGCATGCATTCATAGTGATTGTTGTGTGGTCAGGTGTCTGCATGTCCACGAGGGGTGAGAGTCAGTGGAGTGCATCTGCACTGGCAGCAATGGCAGTACACAGTAGTGAACATGCACATGCATGCTGGTTGGGGAGTGGGGGCAAGGTCCACCCATGCATGCATGCTTGCAAAGTGGTGAGAGGGTAGCCATGGGAGAGAGCATGCCAGCAAAGCAGTGGGGAGGGGCTTCAGTGGAGAGAGGGTGTGGGTGGACTGGTGCCCATAGAAGGGGTCAGTCTGCTGGAACTCTCTTGGTTAGGGTAGGAGCTATGATTATGGCCACAGGGAAGTACCTTGGTTGAGCATCAGAGCCTTCCATGCAAGCAGGTGCAGCCAGGTTGTTGGGGGAGAGGCCAGCACACAGGGAAGTATTCAGATCCAACTATTTTTGTCTCACAGGCAGCACCACCCTGCTCTATGCAGGTACGCCAGTCACCCTAAGACTAAAGTCTACTAGAGGTGTATGATGAGCCTTGGGGTATGGGCACCTGTGGCCATACTCCACTGCAGACATTCCCACACCAAACTCTCCGGGCTCCACACAGGCTGTAGACCCACCCCTACCAACTCTCTAAGCAGCTCTCCCTGCCAACTCAAGTGTTTGTGGGGTCTCCTGATGCCGTGAATACAGATTATTGTGGTTAGAGCAGACCACTTTGCCTGTTCAACTCACCCTTTCCCTAGGAATCACTGGGGTCCAGGGAACAAGTCCTGGTGCTTGGTAGCCCTGTACAGGGTTCTCACCTTCCTCCTACTTCAGCCCCAGACCTGCATCCTCCCTTGATGCACTCTCAATACCCTTCCTCTGAAGATCTGCTTGGAGCACGCCAGTCTCCCCAGTGTCTTGGTCCCTCAGTAGGAGATGTTACTCTTTGCTGTGTCTACTCAGCCACCTTGGCTCCTCTTGTCACAGACTATTTTTAAAATTTAAATAGTTTAAGTTACTTGTAGATTCTGGGAATTAGCCCTTTGTCAGATGGATAGATTGCAAACTTTTTCTCCCATTCTGTCGGTTACCTGTTCACTCTCATGATAGTTTATTTTGCAGTGTAGAACACTTCAATTTAATTAGATCCCATTTGTCAACGTTGGCTTCTGTTGCAATTGCTTTTGGTGATACCATTTGACCCAGCAATTCCATTACTGGGTATATAACCCAAAGGATTATAAATTATTCTACTATAAAGACACATGCACAGGTATGTTTATTGTGTCACTACTTACAATAGACGACTTACAATAGCAAAGCTACTTACAATAGCAAAGACTTGGAACCAACTCAAATGCCCATCAGTGATAGACTGGATAAAGAAAATCTGGCACAAATACACCATGGAATACTATGCAACCATAAAAATGAATGAGTTCATGTCCTTTGCAAGGATGTGGATGAAGTTGGAAACAATCATTCTAACTAATCAAACTAATACAGGAACAGAAAACCAAACACCACATGTTCTCATTCATAAGTGAGTTGAACAATGAGAATTCACAGACACAGAGAGGGGAACATCACACACGGGGGCCTGTCGGGGGATGGGGGGCAAGGGGAGGGATAGCATTAGGAGAAATGCCTAATGAAGACGATGGGTTGATGGGTGCAGCAAAACCACCATAGCACATAGATACCTATGTAACAAACCTGCACGTCCTACACATGTATCCCAGAACTTAAAGTATAATTTAAAAAAAAAATTTAAATAGTTGCGCACACTTGTAATTCCAGCATATTGGGAGACTGAGGCAGAAGGATGGCTTGAGTTCAGGATTTCAAGACCAGCCTGTGCAACAGGGTGAGACCCCATCTCTACTTAAAATAATTAACCTGGTGTTTCGTGCATGCCTGTAGTCCCAGCTACTGGGGAGGCTGAAGCAGGAGGATCACTTGAGCCCAGGAGGCTGAGGCTGCATTGAGCTGTGATCATGCCACCCACTCCAGCCTGGGCAACAGAGAGAGACCCTGTCTTAAAAAAAAAAAGTTAAACAGACATGTGTACGCAAAAAGATAGGGAAAAATATGCTAAATGGGGATTATGTATTTTCTATCCTCTTTGTCTTTCATTCTATCTAACAATTAAATATCATTGTTACCCTTATTCCTCACTCTATATACCATAACTCTAATACCTATTGCCTGATATAAAAATCTCATATTCATATTTCATCTTCTATCAATCTATGCACTCTTACTGCTATAGAATCTCCAAATTAGTGTATCCAAATAGATTCCCACTCTTCCCAACCATTTCCTCTTCTATTCCATTCCTGCCTATTCCTCCCTGTCCTCGTCTATTATCAACTTTTACCTTAATTCTAATATCCTCCTTATTGACTCCCTGGTTGGAGCCCCGCAGATCATCAGTAATTTTTCAAACACACTAGCTAAAATTATGTTTTCAAACACAGAGATATTACCATGTCACCCATCTTCTTATCACCACCATTCTCAGGTTCAAAATCCTCAACAGTGAATATAGAGTAATTCAACTTAGTGCCTTCCTTAATTCTTTCATACTTACCAAGACTACAGCAAAGTATGCTACCTATAAATTTGTTTGCATCAAATTAATATTTTTTCCTTAAAAGTTATACAGTATATTCCTTTTGATGGAACATTTTTGCAAAGATTTGATTGTAGAATTCCTAAAATAGTTTACTTATTTATATTTACCATTTTTGTAATACCATATATTTTCATGAAAGTTAGTTCTCTTTTGAAATTCTACTTACAGCAGACTTTCAAGTGCAAAATGAAGAGCACATATGCAACACAAGAATGGAAAGAGAGTGAGATTCATCAAATATATTAAAGGAATTTTACATGTGAAATCTAAGCTTTTTCAAAAACAACTGCAAGTTCTAGTTTAAAATTAAAAATAGAATAAAAATACTTGTCTACATTTCTTCCCCAAACCACATTAAAGATACAGTATTTTTTGTTTTTGTTTTTAAATAAAAATACATATAAACCTCTTCCAGTTTCTTCCCTTTCTCAAGATGGCAGCAGCCAAGAACAAGATACTAGGGTCATTGCAAGAAAGTTCTGGATTCAGCAAAAGTAGCATGTGAATCTGCCAGTTTTCAGACGATCTAAGATAAGGTCGGGGGGTTGAATTTCACTAAAAGAAGGCTGTGACAATATTATCGTAGTTCAACCTGTTTACCCAAAATCAAAATTTGGAGGAGAGGGCTTCTACCAATCTAAAGTAGCTAATGGTGCCAGCATTGCAAGTAAGCATCAACATAAAATGAGTCATTCCCAGCAAGCATCTGGATGATTTCCAAGTGTCTTATAATGCCTTACAGAACACTATCTAGTAGTAAAATGCCAGCATTATCACATGGCATAATTTGAGCTGCTCAAAACCAAAAAAATGCTCAGCTGAAGTGAACACTAATGGTTTATCCATCATGTTCTATCCAAATCTCATTAATATAGTATCTCAGAGATAATAGATAGGAAGATTACAAAGAGAAATACAAGTAGAAGAAGGTTGTAGGGAAAGGCTGATTTCATTGAAATCTGCTATGGAAAATGGTCAAGTCAATAATAACTTAGTTTATGAATATTATTTCTTTACCTTTGTAGGTGGATCAGTATCATCTTGGAAGAGAATTGAGACATTGATCAAGAGAAAAAGACTCTGAGAGGCTGACTTTACAAAACCGGTATCTGTTTTTCACTCATGTTGTTAGAATAGGCCTCCAATGAAACCTTTTATTCTTACCTGCAATATTACTCAAACAAGTGGGACATTTGGAACTGGTTATTTAATTCTGACAGCTATAAGAGTAAGTGTATGATCAACATCAGAAATATGAAACATTGCAGTATCAAAAATAGAAGACAATAGGTATAAATGAGTGAAGGAAGGTAGAAATACACTGAAAGAATCTGTAGTTGAATTTATGCTGCTGATCTCTTACTTCTTAGCAGTGAAACTCAGATAAATATTGTTGCTCTTTAAATGAAGTAGTAATCTGGACCAACACTGCATTACAGAAAGAACAGTGGTGGCATTGGGTTTATATTTTTAAAAATAGAAGAATATTTTCAGATGGGGCAGCAGTAGCAGCTTGGTTTTTAATTTCTCCAAATCTCTAAAACTGATCAAGCAACTAGACAGCAAAATCCAAAACTCATGGACAGCGGTTCTGCTTCTTATAGTGTTTAAGTGACTTGTATTAGACCAATCTTCTTGCAAATAACACTTACATATCTCTAAACAATGTAAAAATAACCACCTGAATTTCCTAAAAGCAACAAAAAGAATACAGAAACTGGAGAAGAGTCAACACATTGAAGAGGATGGCACGTGGAATTCCTCAAGGACAGGTACTGTGATGTATCATTCTATCCTCAGTGCCCAGTTTAGTAATTGAGCCATAGTAGGTACTCAAAGGTGTATTTGGAAGGAATAGTTAAGAGAGAATTGTCATCACGTAAATGGAAGCAACATGGAAAAGTAGAAAAAGCATAAACTTTTGGGTCAGACATACCTGGAGTTACCAATCCAGCTTCTACCACTTAATAGATGGGTCATTAGCCTTTTTGACCCTCAATTTAGTCATCACCAAACATTGTGTGTTTCATATTGCACCTTACAGAGCACTTTCACATGTGTTATTTTGTTTGATCCTCTTAAAAATTTCATAATGCAGATCATATAATTCTCATTTTACAGCTAAGATGTTGGACTCTGAGAACTGACTTGCCTAAAGTTACATGGCAAGTAAGTGGCCAGACTAGTATTTAAGCTCACATTTTCAAATTCCAAATTCTACTGACATTTCCACTACAGCACAGAAAAATGGAAGCATTATTAAACATATCATAATTAAACTGCTGACAATCAAAGATAATGAAATAATATAGAAATCTTTGAAGGGAAAAATAATGAGTACCTGTAATCCCAGCTACTTGAGAGGCTGAGGCAGGAGAATTGCTTGAACCAGGGAGGTGGAGGTTGCAGTGAGTCGAGATTGCACCACCGCACTCCAGCCTGGGTGATGGATGGAGCGAGACTCTGTATCAAAAAAAAAAAAAAAAAAAAAAAGAACAAAAGAAAAGAAAACCAGCAATTGAATTGTCATGACTTTCTTATCAGAAAATATGGAGGCTAGACCAGTAGAATAACATCTACAAAGTGCTTAAGAAAAAAGGGGATCAATGAGAGTTCTATATTCATAGAAAATATTCCATAGGAATGAAGGCACAATACATAAACAATTTTTGTTTTGTTTTGCTTCACTAGAATAAAAAATTGAAAGTATTTGTTGACAATAGATCTGCTCTGTAAAATATGCAAAACGAAAGTCTTCAGTTTGAAGCAAAAGATACCAGAGAATAATTTGAATCTTAAGGAATGAAGAACGTTAGAAATGGTAACTAAGAACATACCTAAAAACCAAAAATGTATAAAATAATATGGTTTCTTAAATTCTATAAAATATGTATGTTTTTGAAGCAAGCATTATAACATCAGAATTTTCATGCATGTAAATGTAATATTATGACAACTACAGTATAACATGAGGGTAGGTAGATATATATATGGTTGTAAGATTTCTACATTTAAAATGAAGCAGTGCAATATTAACTCCCAGTAGGCTGTAACAAGTTGGGTATATTTACTTCAATCCTTTTAGAAACTCCTAAAAATCATAGAAAAGAATAAAGCAAAGGAGTCGATACATAAATTGAAATGGAAAACTAGAAATCATTTAAATGATCCAAGGAAGAAAACACAGGGAGGTCAAAAATCAGCAGGGAAAAAAAAGTAAACAAATAATAAAATAGTAGACCTAAATCAAAGCATATTAACAGTTTCATTAAATATTAACTTATAATATTAAATGATAGAGATTGAAAAATTAAATAAAAAGGCAAGATCCAAATATATGATGCTTACTAGAGTCACACTTTTAAATATCATTGCAAAGATAGATTGAAACTAAATAGGGAGAAACAAATACACTGTGCAAATAATAATTATAAAAGAAGTGGCTGGTAGGGCAGGCCAAGATGGCCAATTAGAAGTGGCTGCAATCAGCTGCTCTCTTGGAGAAGAACAAAAATGGCGAGTAAATTCTATACCTTCAACTGAGGTACCCAGGTTCTCACAGTGAGACTGACTAGGCATTCAATGCAACCCACAAAGAGTGAGGAAAACAGGATGGGGCAACAGCCCACCCATGAGTGGCATGAAGCTAGGGGAGCTCACACCCCCAGCCAAAGGACGTGCTTCCATTGATGATACCTCCAGGTCTGGGAGGGATCCAGGCGATTAGGGTCTGGAGTGGACCCCAAGGAAGCCACAGCAGCCCCATGGAAAAGAGACTTGACTGATAAAAGAAAAACAAACAAACAGAAAGCAAAACCACCACCACCAATAAAAAAGACCCCACAAAAAACCCATTCAAAGATCAGCACCTCAAATATCAAAGGTAAATAAGCCCACAAAGATGAGAAAGAATCAACACAAATAAACGCTAAAAACTCAAAAAGCCAGAGTGCCTCTTCTCTAAATAATTGCAACACCTATCCAGCAAGGGCACAGAACTAGGCTGAGGCTGGGATGGGTGAATGGACAGAAGTAGGCTTCAGAAGGTGGATAATAACTAACTTCACTGAGCTAAAGGAGCATGTTGTAACCCAATGCAAAGAAGCAAAGAATCATGATAGAACATTACAGGAGCTAATAACCAGAATAGCCAATGTAGAGAGGAACGTAACTGACCTGATACAGCTGAAAAGCACAACACAAGACTTCACAATGCAATCACAAATACAGATAATTGAATAGAACAAGCGGAGGAAAGAATCTAAAAGCTGAAGACTACCGTTCTGAAGTAAGACAGGCAGACAAGAATAGAGAAAAAAGAATGAAAAGAAATGAATAAAACTGCTGAGAAATATGGATATATTCCATTGTGCACACAATGGAATATATTTAAGCAATAAAAATGAGCAAAATCTTGTCATTTGCAGCAAGTTGGCTGGAATGCTTTTTCTGCATCTACTTGGTTTTGTGTTTCATTCTCTTGATATGATTTGCATATGCTGAACCATCCTTACAGCCTGGTATAAGTCACACTTGATAATGATGTACTACCTTTTTAATGTGCTTTTGAACTCAGTTTGCTAATATTTTGTTGAGAATTTGTGTGTCTATGTTCATGAGAGATATTGGCTTTTAGTTTTCTTTATTTGTTGTGTCCTGTCCTTGTCTGGTTGGTAACAGGGTATTACTGGCCTTATATAATTAGTTAGTAAATATTTCCTCTTCATTTTTTTTGGATAGTTTGAGATGAAATTATGTTAGGTTTTCTTTATAAGTGTGGTAGAATTTGGCAGTGAAGCCATCTGGTCCTGGGCTTTTCTTTGTTGGGATGCTTTGTATTACTGATTTAATCTTGTTACTCATTATCGGCCTGTTTAAGTTTTCTATTTCTTCCTGATTCAGTCTTAATAGATGACATGTGTACAGGAATTTATTCATAAGTTTTCCAATTTATTAGCATATAGTTGCTCATAACAGTCTCTGATGATCCTTTGTATTTCTGTTGTATCAGTTGTTATGTCTCTTTTCATTTCTGATTTTGTTGACTTGGGCCTTCTCTCTTTATTTTCTTGCTTAGTTAAGCTAGTATTAATTTTGTTTATTTTTTCAAAAAACCAAATCTTTGATTCATTGATTCTTTGTATTTTTTTAGTCTCTATTTGTTTAGTTCTGCTCTGATCTTTATTACTTCTTTTCTTCTACTAATTTTGGCTTTAATTAGTTCTTGCTTTTCTAATTCCTTAAGGTGAATTTTTAAATTGTTTATCTGAAATCTTTCTGCTTTTCTGATACAGGCGTTTATTGCTATAAACTTCCATGTTAGCACCGCTTTTTTGTATCCTACAGGTTTTGATATGTTGTGTTTATATTTTGTTTCACATTTTTATGTCCTCCATATTTTTTCTTGACTCAGTGGTCATTCAGGAGCATATTGTTTAATTACATGTATGTTTATTGTTTCCAAAGTTCCTCTTCTTACTGATTTCTGGTTTTATTCCATTGTAGTCTACAAAGGTACTTGGTATGGTTTTGATGGTTTAAAATTGGTTGAGATTGGTTTTGTGGCCTAACATATTGTGTATCGTGGAGAATGTTCCATGTGCTGATGAGAAGAATGTGTATTCTCCATCTGTTAGATAAAATGTTCTTAGATGTCTGTTAGGTTCATTTGGTCTAAAGTGCAGTTTAAATCTAATGTTTCTTTATTCATTCTCTGTCTAGACGATCTGTTTAATGCTAAGAGTGGGGTGTTGACATTACCAGCTATCATTGTATTGGACTCTGTCTCTCCCTTCAGATCTAATATTATTCGCTATATATCTCAGGGTGCTCCACTGTCGAGTGCATATATATTTACAATTGTTACATCATCTTGTTGAATTGATCTGTTTATCATTATATAATGACCTTATTTGTTTCTTTTTACTATTTTTGACTTAAAGTCTGTTTTATCTAAGTATAGCTAGTCCTGCTCACTTTTGGTATGTATATGCATGGAATATCTTTTTCCATTCCTTTACTTTCAGCCTGTGGTGTCTTTACAGGTGAGATAAGTTTCTTGTATGCAGACTATAGTTGGGGCTTGATTTGATATTTTTTACATTCAAGGTTTTTATTGATATGTGAAGACTTATTCATGTCATTTTGTTGTTTTTTGTTAGTTTTGCATATCTTTTGTTCTCTCTTTCTCTCTTGTTGTTTATCATCACACTTTGGTAATTTTCTGAAGTGGTAACATTTGTGTCTTTTCTCTTCCTCATTTGTGTGTTTGCTTTACCAGTGGGTTTTATACTTTTGTGTGTTTTCGTGTTGGTAGATATTGTTCTTTTGTTCCCATGCATAGGACTCCTTTAAGCATCTTTGTGGGGTCAGTCTAGTGGTGATAAATTCTCTGTTTCTGCTTGTCTGCAAAATGCTTTACTTCTTTTTCATTAATGATGAATAACTATACTGGGTATAATATCCTTGTTTGGCATTTTTTTGTGTGTGTTTCTTTTTCTTTCAGTATTTGGGATATACCATTTTATTCTTTCCTGGCCTATAAGATTTGTGATGAGAACCACAGTTAGTCTGATGGGGGTTCCCCTATATGTGACTAGATGCTTATCTCTTGTTCTTCTGGAATTCTCTGTTTTTTGCACTTGACACTTTGGCTATAATGTCACATTATTCATCATTACATTGTAAGAAAACCACATTTTTTTATATGCTCAGACTAAAAGAACTATAGTGGTAATTTTTCAATACAGTATTTTGCTGATAAGATGAAAATCATATTCTTCCTTATTTTTCTTTTCATGTTCAGTCGGTTTTACACCTGTATTTCTTTTCTTAAACTATGCAGAAAAATAATTGACTCCACATGTGTATAGAGGTACAAAAATGAAGTATTTGGGAGAGGAAGAGCCATTGTTAGTTCAAACAGCATTTGACTTTAGAAGATTTTTAAACTATGTTTTATCGTAAATTGTTGAGATGATGATTTTACATTCAGGAAAGAAGATGAGATCACTTCAGGAGTATTATATATTAAAATTGATTTTTTGAATTTCTCCTGTTTATGTATTTATTGCCAGCAGTTAGAACATAGTTTAATATTCCATACTTAGATATCTTCTTTGGCTTTAATTGTTTTATTTTTTTTCGCAGACTTCCTTATCTCTAAACTATCTCTGATCTAGTGAAACCACATTAAATCTTATTGTCAGTTCTAGGTCATTCTACACCTTTTTATAGAGGTGTGCCTACCATTAAGCAAAGTGGATATATGAAATATTTCATTTAACCAAAAGTTTATTTTGCAAATGGTTAACCTGTTTGCAGAATTACATTACACTTTACAAATGAATTTGCACTACTTCTATTGGGCTTAAGATATCATTTTATTGCAAAGCATTTTTTCATACTTTCTTGGGGTATTATTCACTGTGGAAATTCAGCAGGTCATTTATCTAAAAGTAGATCTTCACTCATTCATTCCACACATAATTATATTGATGAAGCTTCAAGCATGTAATTCTGAAAAGTTGATAGGTGTCCTGATACTGACATTTCACTAAAGACAGTTAAAATTTGATCCCAAATTCTTTTTGACCATACTAAAACAGCATATGCCATTATATAAAATGACATAGCAACGGTGTTCTAAAAATTATTCTTGACATTTTTCCCCATCAGAACAGTAAAAAGAAAGCCAATTCATCTCTCTGGGGCTGTTTATACACTCATTATCTTCATACATTAATGTATCTATTTTTTTCTTTCTTGTTAGTCTTTCTAGTATAATATGTAGTTATTGGCAATCAATTATCTGTTTAGTTTGTACCAATTATTTATTATGCATTAATCTAGGTACTGGATTTCCAAAGATAAACCTGGATTCAAGGCACAATATAGTTAGGAAGATGTTAAAGTGAAAGGTAATTATAATACAGTGTGATAAAAGCCACAACTGCAGTATTACCAGAGATATATGGGAGTCAAAAGAGGCCTAGATCTGTTTCAGAAAACTTTATAGAGAAGATGTTAAACTATACTTGATATATAAACAACAGATTGTTGCTCCTCTTTTTTTGTTTGTCTGGTTGGTTTTGGTTAATTTCCTTGTCACTGTTTCCAAAAGTGTAATTTAAAGATCACATGATCCAAATTAATGAGAGCATTATTAATAATGTAGTTAATACAACTTTTGTTCAATAACTATGGTATTGTATGCAGAATCTCTTTTAAACTTCTTAGGTCCTTCTTTTAGCTTGATAAATTTTACCATAGAAACAAGAAAAACATAATTTCCTCTTATATCATGATGACTATTATCTTCATAACCATGTTGTTTACTACCATCATCTCCAAATTGTGTAGTTTGATGTATTGTATATCCAACAAAGTCTGGTTTACTTAGAGATAAATCAGATCCCATGAGGCAAGGATCCCATGATTAGTGAATATTTTTTAGGTCAAAGTGGTTAAACCCCCTAACAAATCCTGTCTGCAATCCCTTACCATGTGGTCAATCTAACCTGTGCCATTTCTTTGCCATCTACCTGGAATATATTTGAACCATCACCTGCTGTCTGATACTTGCTCATATTTCACATCTAGCCCAAGTGACTCCTCCAAGCCATCCATAAATAATTCCAGTCCTGCAAAGGTTACATTTTGTTCTGTTGTGCCCTCACCAGACATACCTTTTGCTAGTAAGTCTAACACCTAAATATCATTGATATTTCACACTGATAATAATTTTATTCACACAGATTAAAGAGAGGAGCATACATCTTTTCAGGTTGAAAAATATTAGAACTTGAATTTTGTAAATAAGATAGAATCAGTGATACAGAGGAGTTAAAATTTTAGAGTTTGTATGTGTAAGAAAAAATGCAGATATTTTTCAGGTTTTTTTTTGCAGAAATAAACAGGCAAATTCTGTTCTTAAGTGAAAAATAAGAGTATAAAAATATTTTTAATTTTCCCTTTGAGGTTACAGTGCAGAATTTTGTTTCCAAATCAAATAAAGATAATTAAATATCTTGCATATTAAATATTAATGTAAAAAATGGTGGATAGGAGGCAGGAGTAACTTACAGCTCCCACTTTGACAGACAGAGCAGTGTGTGAGACTGACATCGTGAATTTTTGTTCCAAGCCCTACCGCATTAACATACCAGGAAAGTGAAGAGGATCCACAGATCATTTGAAGGAGGTGGACTGCTGCTGCAGGCTCCCTGGGACAGCTGAGGAACTGTGAGTCAGCTTGCTTTCTAAGCTGGGAGGCTTGTAACCTGGGGCAAATTCTCAGCCCTGCTTACTGGCTATCTGGAAATAAACTTGGTACTGTTAAGGGGGCACTGTGGAAGTGAGACCAGCCTTTTGGGCTGCGGGCTATGTGGGAGCTGGGTGAAGCCTTTGGCTGCCAACTTTCTCCCACTTCCCTGGTGACCTGTGTGACACAGCAGATGCAGCCATAATCCCCATGGGAACATAATTCCATTGGCCTGGGAACCACACTCCCCACCCCCACAGCAGCCACAGCAAGCACTGCCCAAGGAGAGTCTAAGCGCAGACACCCTTAACCCTGCCCCAACCTGATGGTCTTTCTCTACCTGCCCTGGTAGCTGAAGACAAAGAACATAAATTTTGGGAGCTCTATGGCCCCACCCACTGCCTGACCCTAGGGCAAGATTGTATCCTCTTACTGCAGCTGATGCACTCTTGAAAGCACCACCTTCTGGATGGAGGCCAACCAACACAAAAACCAGTGAACGTAACAAAAATATGACCAAGGACCCTCACAGAGTCTGCTTCACTGCCCTTCTACCTCCATCGGAGCAGGTGCTGGTATCCATGGCTGAGAGACCTGAAAATGGATATCACAGGACTCTTTGCAGACACTCCTCAGTACCGGCCTGGAGCCCAGTAGCTCTGCTGGGTGGCTAGATCCAGAAGAGAAATAACAATCACTGCAGTTTGGCTCTAGGGAAGTCCAACCCTAGGGGAAGGGGAAGAGCACCAAATCAAGGGCACACCCTGTGTGACAAAAGAATATGAACAGCAGCCCTTGAGTCCCAGATCTTCCCTCTGACATAGTCTACCCAAATGAGAAGGAACCAGGAAAACAGTTCTGGTAATAAGACAAAACAAGGTTCTTTAACATTGACAAAAGATCACACTAGCTCACCAGCAATGGATCCAAACCAAGACAAAATCTCTGAATTGCCAGAAAAATAATCCAGAAGTTTGATTATTTATTTATTTATTTATTCATTTATTTATTATTTATTTATTTATTTAATTTTTTTGAGACAGAGTCTCGCTCTGTCACCCAGACTGCAGTGCAGTGGCGCAATCTTGGCTCACTTCAACCTCTGTCTCCTGAGTTCAAGTGATTCTCCTGCCTCAGCCTCCTGAGTAGCTGGGACTACTGGTGTGCACCACCATGCCTGGCTAAGTTTTTTGTATTTTTAGTAGAGACGGGATTTCACCGTGTTAACCAGGATGGTCTCGATCTCCTGACCTCGTGATCCACCTGTCTTGGCCTCTCAAGGTGCTGGGATTACAGGCGTGAGCCACCCCGTCTGGCCCAGAAGTTCGATTATTAAGCTAATGAAGGAAGCACCAGAGAAAGGTGAAGTCCAACTTTAAAAAATCAAAAAATAGGCCAGTCGCGGTGGCTTACGCCTATAATCCCAGAACTTTGGGAGACCGAGGCAGGCAGATCACCAGGTCAGGAGATTGAGACCATCCTGGCTAACACGGTCAAACCCCATCTCTACTAAAAATACAAAACATTAGCCAGGCATGGTCGTGGGCGCCTGTAGTCCCAGCTACTCAGGAGGCTGAGGCAGGAGAATGGTGTGAACCCGGGAGGCAGAGCTTGCAGTAAGCCGAGATCGCACCACCGCACTCCAACCTGGGTAAGAGAGCGAGACTCCATCTCAAAAAAAAAAAAAAAAAAAAAAAAAAAAAGATACAGGATAAAAATGGAAAATCTCTAGTGAAATAGAATAAATAAAAAACAGTCACAGCTTCTGGAAATAAAGAACACACTTAGAGAAATGCAAAAGGCACTGGAAAGTCTTAACAATAGAATCAAACAAGCAGAAGAAAGAACTTAAGAGCTTGAAAACAATGCTTTTGAATTAACGCAATCCAAAAAACACAAAAAAGTAATAATTTTTAAAAATGAAGAAAGATTTCAAGAAGTTTGGCATTATGTTAAATGACCAAATCTAAGAATAATTGGTGTTCCCAAGGAAGAAGAGAAATCTAAAAGTTTGGAAAACATATTTTAGGGAATAATTAAGGAAAATTTCCCTGGCCTTGCTACAGATCTAGACACCCAAACACAAGAAGCTGAAAGAACACTTGAGGAATTTATTGAAAAAAGATCATTGCCTCAGCACATAGTTATCAGGTTATCTAAAGTCAAGAAAAAGAAAAGCATCTTAAGAGCTGTGAGGCAAAAGAATCAGGTAACCTATAAAGGAAAACCTATTAGATTAACAGATTTATCAGCCAAAACCCTACAAGCTTGAAGGGATTGGGGTCTTATCTTTAGCCTCGTTAAACAAAACAACTATCAGCCAAGAATTTTGTATCCAGTGAAACTAAGCTTCATAAATGAAGGAAAGATAAAATATTTTTCAAACAAACAAATGCTGAGAGAATTCACCACTATCAAGTCAGCACTACAAGGAGCTCTAAATCTTGAAACAAATCCTTGAAATACACAAAAATAGAATCTCCTTAAAGCACAAATCTTATAAGACCTATAACACAATGGCACAATGAAAAAAATAAAACAAAGGTATTCAGGCAACAAATAGCATGATGAATAGAATAGAACCTCATATCTCAATACTAACATTGAATGTAAATGGCCTAAATACTCCACTTAAAAGATACAGAATGGCAGAATAGATAAGAAATCACCAACCAAGTATCCTCTGTCTTCAAGGACTCACCCAACATATAAGGACTCACATAAACTTAAGGTATAGGGGTGGAAAAATATATTCCAAGTAAATAGACACCAAAGGCAAGCAGAAGTGGCTATTCTTATATCAGACAAAACAAACTTTAAGACAACAGCAGTTAAAAAAGACAAAGAGGGACATTATATAATGATAAAAAGACTAGTCTAACAGGAAAATATCAAAATCCTAAATATATATGCACCTAATACTAGAGCTCCCAAATTTGTAAAATAGTTACTACTAGACCTAAGAAATGAGATAGATAGCAACACAACAATAGTGGAAGACTTTAATACTCCACTGACTGCACTAGACAGACCATCAAAACAAAAAGTCAACAAAGAAGCAATGGATTTCAACTACATTCTGGAATAAATAGACTTAACAGATATTTATAGACATTCTACCCAACAACTGCTGAATACATATTCTATTCATCAGCACATGGAACGTTCTCCAAGATAGACCATACGATAAGTCACAAAACAAGTCTTAACAAATTTAAGAAAATTGAAATTATGTCAGGTACTCTCACAGACCACAGTGAAATAAAATTGGAAATCAACTCCAAAAGAAACCCTCAAAACCATGCAAACACATGGACATTAAATAACCTGCTTCTGAATAATCTTTGAGTCAACAATGAAATCAAGATGTAAATTTAAAAAATTATTTCGACTGAACAATAATAGTGATACAACCTATCAAAACCTCTAGAATACAGCAAAAGAAGAGTTAGGAGGAAAGTTCATAGCATTAAATACCTACATCTAAAAGTTTGAAAGGGCACAAACAGATAATCTAAGGTCATACCCCAAGGAACTAGAGAAACAAGAACAAACCAAACTCAAACCCAGCAAATGAAAAGACATAATCATGATCAGAGCAGAACTATATGAAATTGAAACAAAAAACTACAAAAGATAAATGGAATAAGAAAAATGGCACTTTGAAAAGATAAATAGAATTGGTAGACCATTAGTGAGATTAACCAGGAAAAGGAGAGAGAAGATCCAAATAAGCTCAATTAGAAACAAAACGGGAGATATTACAACTGATACCACAGAAATAAAAAGAACATTCAAGGATTCTATTCAAGGATACTTTGAACAGTTTTACACTCATAAACTAGAAAATCTAGAAGAGATGGATAAATTCTTGAAAAATATACAACCCTCCTAGATTAAACCAGGGAGAAATAGAAACTGAACAGATCAATAATAACATTTTAGCAAGGTCCTCCACAAAAATGTGCAGGACCAGATGGATTCATTGCTGAATTCTATCAGATATTCAGAGAATTGTTTCCAATCCTGTTGACGCTATTCCCAAAGATAGAGAAAGAGGGAATCCTTCCTAAATCATTCTATGAAGCCAGTACCACCCTAATACTAAAACCAGGAAAGGACATAAGAACAACAACAAAAAACACTACCAACCAATATCCCTGATGAACATATTATATGATTAACATAATAGATGCAAAAATCCCCAACAAAATACTAGTTAACCCAATCTAACAGCATATCACAAAGATAATTCACCCTGATCAAGTGGGTTTCATACCAGGGATGCAAAGAAGATTTAACATACACAAGTCAATATATGTGATACACCACATAAACAGAATTTAAAACAAAAATCACATGATCATCTCAATAGATGCAGAAAAAGCATTTAACAAAATTCAGCACTTCTTTATGATTAAAACCCTCAGCAAAACTAGCATAGAAGGGACATACCTTAAGGTAATAAAAGTCATCTATGATAAACCCACAGCCAACATTACACTAAACAGGGAAAAATTGAAAGCATTCTCCCTGAGAACTGGAACAAGACAAGGATGCCACTTTCACCACTTCTATTCAACATAGTATTGGAAGTCCTAGCCAGAGGAATCAGATGAGAGAAAGCAATGAAGAGAATCCAAATCAGTAAAGGGGAAGTCAAATTGTCACTGTTTGCTGATGATATTATAATATACCTAGAAAGCCTTAACAACTCATCTAAAAAGCTCCTAGAACTGGTAAATAAATTCATCAAATTTCAGGATACAAAATTAACGTACACAAATCAGCAGTTCTGCTATACACAAACAGCAACCAAGCTGAGAATGAAATCAAGAACTCAACCCCTTTCACAGTAGCTGCAAAAAAAAATTTTTTTTTAAGTGTAGGAATATACCTAACCAAGGACATGAAAGACCTCTCAAGAACTGCAAAACACTATTGAAAGAAATCATAGATGACACACACATGCAAACATATTCCATGCTCATGGATGGGCAGAACCAATGTTGTGAAAATGACCATACTGTCAAAAGCAATTACAAATGCAATGCAATTCCTATCAAAATACCACAATCATTCTTCAAAGAACAAGAAAAAACAATCGTAAAATTCATATGGAACCAAAAAAGAGCCTGCACAGCCAAAGCAAGACTAAGCAAAAAGAACAAATCTAGAGGCATCATATTACTCGACTTCAAACTATAATATAAGGCCATGGTCACCAAAACAGCATGGTACTGGTATAAAAATAGGTATATAAATCAATGGAACAGAGTAGACAATCCAGAAATAAATCCACATACTTACAGCCAACTGATCTTTGACAAAGCAAACAAAAACATAAAGTGGAGAAGAGACACCCTACTCAACAAATGGTGCTGGGATAATTGGCAACCCACATGTAGAAGAATGAAACTGGATACTCATCTCTCACCTTATACAAAAATCAACTCAAGATGGATCAAAGACCTAAGTCTAAGACTTTAAATCATAAAAATTCTAGAAGATAACTTTGGAAAAAACCCTTCCAGACATTAGCTTAGACAAACATTTCATGACCAAGAACTGAAAAGCAAATGCAACAAAAACAGAGATAAATAGATGGAACTTAATTAAACTAAAAAGATTCTGCACAGCAAAAGAAATAATCAGCAGAGTTAACAGACAACCCAAAGAATGGGAGAAAATCTTCACAATCTATACTAAGACTAAGGACTAATATCCAGAATCTATAAGTAACTCAAACAAAGCAGCAAGAAAAAAACAAACAATCCCATCAAAAAGTGGGCTAAGGACATGAATAGACAATTCTCAAAAAGAGATATATAAGTGATGAACAAATATATAAAAAATGCTCAACATCACTAATGATCAGGGAAATGCAAATGAAAACCACAATGCAACACCATCTTACTCCTGCAAGAATTGTCATAATCAAAAAATAAAAAATAATACTTGTTGGAGTGAAAGTGGTGAAAAGGGCACATTTCTACACTGTTGGTGTGAATGTAAACTAGTACAGCCACTATGGAAAACAGTATATAGTGGAATGCTACTCAGCTGTAAAAAGGAACAAAATAATGGTATTAGTAGAAACCTGGATGGAATTGGAGACCATTATTCTAAGTGAAGCGATTCAGAAATGGAAAACCAAATATTGTATGTTCTCACTCATAAGTGGCAGCTAAGATATGAGGACGCGAAGGCATAAAAATGATACAATGGACTTTCAGGGCTCAGGGGAAAGGGTGCAAGGGAAGTGAGGGATAAAAGACTACATATTGGGTAAAGGGTACGTTGCTCAGGTGATGGGTGCACCAAAATCTCAGAAATCATCACTAAAGAACTTACTCATGTAAAAATAAATAAATAAATAAATAAATAAATAAATAATAAATAAAAAACTACAGAAAAATAATGTATATATTTTATAGTGCACAGTGTACAATTCCAAGACAAATAATTAATTTATTTGTTTTTTAGTGAAAGTTTTTCATTTACATAATGCTGACAAAATTTGACTTCAAGATACCTTTTGGGTACCATTTTTCTAGCCACTAAAATAAGAAACATAATTATGAAAATTGTATGGCTGTTCTTACTGATGGCTGTTTTCTCAAGAGAACAATCCAACATAGAGTCTCCTACAGATGTATATGAATTCCACAGACAACTGAGAATTTCTTTAAAAAAATTATTTCCTCTTGGCTTCTTAGGTAATTAATGGTAAGTAAAATGAATAGTTGTTTCCCCATAGTATATCATTACGATTACAATAAAATAACTTTTCTTTATATTTATTAAATTGTTCTTTCAATTTGATGTAGTGGTTAAAAGACTCTAAGCAACCTGAAGAACACAATTATAAAATAACATTTTCAAAAAATCTTACAATCTGTGATGCCATTAAAAAGTGAAAGTTTCATTCATGACTATAGATAAATCATACATTGCTGAGCCAGTATTAACATTTAAAATATCAGTTTTGTGTTCTAAAGATTTGTGACAGTCTGATGGCAGGAAATGATGGCAGTAAGATAACAGTTGACCTGTTGCTTCAAAATAATGAGCCAAACCTTTTCAAGAAAGCCTGGGGCACACAGAGGTCAAGCTTACCTGCAGATGCTGGTAATGAGAAAGTGAAATAGCTAATTCTTATCTGATCCATTATCCAGGTACAAAAACTCCTGTGAGAAGCCCCATTAAAAACCAATAGATGTTGGCTTTTCCCAAAAAATCTGCCTCCTGGGAAACAGTTGAGGGTCTCTCAACTTGAGATTACAAAAAAGGAAAAGGAAGAAAAGGAAAAGAAAGGGAAAAATGTTTAAGGCGAAAGAAAGTTCTCCTAAGTGCTTTTATGTGAAGTTTTAGGTCGGCTTTAAGCTATCCCAGAAATCTTTACATTAATGACATTCAGATGTGTAAACTTTGCTCTTGTGAGTGCACTTGCCATGCTCTCCTTTTTCCTGTTCTCTTCTATCCTTCATTATAACCTCCACCCAGTACATGGGGCTCCTGGGGATGCTCCCAGTTTTTTTTTTTTCTTTTGAGGCCAAGTGAAAACGTGAAATTCACAACCTTTATCTTAAAGAGAGTTATATAAGAAGAAAAGAAAGTTACGGAAACTTTACCAATGTATTAAAAAGTAGTGGCTTAAAGATGTCTGTCAGACTATTCTATTCGCTTCAAACGTCAGATTGGCAGGTAATCAGCCCCAAAGCCTCACTTCATTGACTATTTTTTGGGGGAAAGTACCTGATAATTTTGTTCGGTAGGGTTAATCCTCCGTGTGAGTACCACCTGCCTCCCAGCAGCCCCAGCCCAGATTAGGCAAAGTTGTAATGAATGTTCTTTCTTCTGTGAAATATGATATACAAAATGGCATCTCTGGTTCAGAGGCCTAAAATAAATTTGAGAAGCCATTCTAAGGACTATCTGCATGACCTGCAACCTTGTCAAAAAACAAACAAACAAACAAAAACAAAAATAAAAATCCTGGAATTTTGCCTTGCACCTTTGAACTGGCCCAAACCTCAACAACCACAACATTCTGCAAAACAGCTAAATTTCACCAGCACTGTGACTCTTGAACAGCAACAACCAATTAACTATAGAATAATGTACTAAGCCAGGCTCCTTCAACGTTAATTACTTGAAAACAACTTGTGTAATCACCCTTAGCTTTCTTTTACATTACTACTCCCCTCTCTGTCTTCAGAACACAATTTGGCTTCTAGCAGGATCTATTCCTCAAGCTGCAATGCCTAGGACCCCAGTAAATGACTTGTCTTACTACTTTGCAGTCTGGTCTTACACTTTTTCTTGGTGGACACTTCATCACCAGCAAGCGAGTGGTGGATGATTGTCAGTTTTGATCTACTGGACATTTTGATTGTCTTCCTTCAGCAACATCAGTTGTCTGGCTGAGGTTGTGCAGCCATTCTTAGCACTCTGAGGTGACTTCTTTTGATAGATGGACAGTCAGAGGCTGAAGTAACTTGACAGCACCTGTGATTCTATTGCATGTCAGAATCAACCTACAGATTCGCACTAGATGAAGACGCACACGTGGAAGACATTACTCATTAGAGTGAGTATCCTCAGAACACTTGCTTTTTTGGTTCATTTGTTGTTTCATTTTTCTTGGTGGCCTTGAATGTTTCTAACTTTTGCATGCTGAGACTCAAGTGCAGGCAGGAGCCCCATCTTTAATGTCCTAGGCTTTTGCTACAACTGAGCATTGGTGAGACTATGGAAAATCCAGATACATATACAGGTGGTCAGAAGGAACACATAACCCATTTTATGCATTGTGTCCACCAGAGCATTTTACTTAACAATATTCTTTTATGAAAGTAAAAGACTCACTGAATAATAATCAAGCCAACCAGGCTTGAAGTAAGAAGGATAAGGTATATATTTTAATTGTCATGAATATAATAATTTTAACAAAAGGACCAAATAGAATCTTCTGGTTCTAATTCTGGGCAAAGAAATGTGGCTTTGTTCAAAGTCACAGAGACACAGCACAGAGGGCCCCGGCTAGCACACCTGTCCCTGTCACAGAGGTCTCTGCTACCCCACCTGTGCTCTGCCTCAGATTGGTTCTCAGACTGTGGGAATGAATTCAACTACACAGGATTACTGAATCTTCCCACATATTGGCTTACTACAGCATAATATTTATATTTTGTTCTCTCCAACATCACCATCAGATCATCTAATTTTTATAAATCCATGACTAGAACATTTTAATTTTGTTACTTATGGTCACGTGAATCAATTTTTTAACCGTACACTGTATTTATAAGTTAAAAATTTATAAATTCAAGACGCTGTAAAGTTTCTGTCTTTAACATGTGAAGGAAACGCAGGCTGGAAGTCACAAAGAGAGCAGGGGTCCCCATTTCCCAGCATCCTGTGGAGAGGTGTGCTTGCACCAGGTCAGAGCTAGACGAATGTGCTTCAGTAGGTTTTTTTGAAGGGTGTGGTAGTGCACCTTGCTAGTCTCTGTTCAGATCTTCTCAAATGCGTTCTAACAGTTCTGTACCCTCCTTCTTCAGTGTCATTGTGCTTTTGGTTCATACAGTCCATACTGTAAGACTCCTCTTCATCCGACAACCCTTGGACTACTAGAGTTGTCTTCCCAGAAGCACAAAGGGCAAAAAGTGCTTGGGAGGTCACATCCCACCAACTCCTCACCTTCCCCCACCAATAACAAACAGCTGAGAGCTTGTCTTGCCTTTGCACAGAACAAATCTGAGAAGTAACTTAGACTCCAGAGTTTTTCTGTAGGATCAAGCTAAAGCTACTCTTCTCCAGACTTCATCAAGGATCACATCTTTGCTTGTCTTCTTCTCCTTCTCTGACTTGCTTTTCCCCACTCCTTTATATGTTTCTCTAGGAAGAGTTCTATAGTGAATCACTTGCACAAGATAATCTTTAATCTTGGGTTAGGATCTATTTTCCGATAACTTGACTTCAAACATGGGGCAAGTGTGGAAGCCAACTCTTACCTGCAGATTTATTTGGTCACCAGGCTTTCTGACCTTAGTGTCAGCAGTTTTCAGTTGTGAAATAGCAGCTGCTGAGCACATGGAAATCTGGGGAAGCCATGGGAGGTTTGGTAGGTGTATTAGTTATCTTTTGCTTGTAACAAATTACCCCAAACTTAACAGTTTAAACAATGCACATTCATAATCTTACAGTGTCTGTGTGTCAGGAATCACAGCACAATTTAACTAAGTCTTCTTCTTTAGGGTCTCCCATGAAACTATAATCAAAGTATCAGACTGGACTGCAGTCACACTGGGGTTTAACAAGGTAAGATCCACTTCTGAGCTTACTCAGTGGTCGTTGGCAGGATTCAATCTTTTTGGTTGTTGGTATTATTTCCTTGCTAGCTGTTGGGCAGAGTTCACTCTCAGTTCTTTGCCACTCAAGTCTCTTCAATATTTTTCAGAAAAGTGTAAAAGACGAGAAGGCAAGAGAGTTCCAGTAAAAGAGAGAGAGAGAGAGAGAGCTAGGAAGGTGGGAGTCACAGTCTTTTGTAACCTAACCACGCAAGTGACATTTCATCACTTTTGCCATATTCTTTTGGTTAGAAGCAAGACACCAGGTGCAGCCCACACTCAAAGGCAGGAAATTACACAAGGGCACGAACACAAGGATGTGGGATGTAGAACTCTCCCTCTGGAGCCTGCATTCTTCTAGGCAACCTGACATAAGCATCTAGGGCTGTTTTTGGAGAATCCTGCTTGTCACTCTGGTTTCCTTTCATTAAAACTTTAATTTATACCTCAATGATCATATTCATAAGAAAATGCTATGGGGTTTCTTATTCCACATAAAAAAGCAAAGCCTATATTTACCCATAAATATCACTTAAATGTCAGCATAAGGGAGAAATACTTGGAATGCTTTCACCTTTGGAATACCTTATAAAAATAAAATGGTTAAAGTTCTGTATGACAAATCATGCAGTTCTGAAACACAAAAATTTCTGCTGCCACTTGGTTGGCATTTCCTTTGACACTTTCTGAAATGATGCTCAGATAATTTGCTTTTTTGCTCAATCTGGCTTGACAACTGGAAGGTATTTTATGCTGATCCTCAATGAAAAGCTCTGTGTCCACTTCAATGGCTCTAAAATGAATCAGCTCAACTCTTAGATATGAATGATTCATTGGATCTTATCATCCTTATGCTGGCTGCCTTGGCTCTCAATTCACTAATATAATGATTTCTAAATTCCGTGTCCAGATGTTCCCTTGGGATGAGCAGGGCAGAGAGAACACAGGTGTGTGAAAGGATGAAGTTTGTTTTATTTTGAATTTTTAATGAAAAAAGTAGTTATGGCTTATAGTCAGACTGTGATAAAGTGCTAATACAGTGTTATAGATGGTCTTATTCTCTCCACCAACACTACTATGTGCACCTGTACATATTCATTTTGCCCTGCATGATATAGATAATAAATAAAGTCTAGTCAGTGGGGCTGTCAAGGCAGCCATCATTTAGAATTTGGCCTTACACCTATCTAAAATTTCAGAAAAGATTGAGAAATCCCTGCCCCCACCAGTAAATGAGAAAACCAAGAGTCATTAAATAAAAAGTAGCAATCATATGACAGACTGAGTGGCCTTTTATGCTCACTGATTCCAGAGTGAGCTGGAACTATTGAAAGGGACCAGTGACCTTGTTTTAATATCAAGTGTGCATGAAGGTTATCTTTGGTTCCCAGAAATTTTATTTAATACAGAAATGATTTTTAGTTGAATCATCATTGTGGTTAAGCATTATGTATATATATGTGTGTATATATATGTGTGTGTATATGTACATATGTACATATTCATATGTGTACATATGTGCGTATGTGCATATGTGCATATGTGCATATGTACATATGTGCATATGTGCATATGTACATATGTGCATATGTGCATATGTACATATGTGCATATGTGCATATGTACATATGTGCATATGTGCATATGTACATATGTACATGTACACATATTTATATATGTGTATGTGTATATGTACATATGTGTATATGTATATATGTACATACGTATATATGTGTATATACATGTATACACACACACACACAACTAAGAAAAAAAAAGGCTTGCTTTGTGCCAGAATGTTTAAAAGGCACTAAAATCCCAGGGCACCAGGCAGACACCCACTCAGATAGCTGAATAAAATTTCAGAGCCATGTCATTCATATAAATACACAAAGATGTAATGCTGGAAATTCATTATTTTTCTTGTGGGATACTTTCTGTCTCAACAGTAATAAAATTTATACAATTGTTGAATCAAACAGATGTAGCTTACATTTTGTCTAAAGGCCACAAAATCTGGATTCTGGAAGAATTAGATAAGAGAGTAAGCTCTTGTCTCAAAACGGTAAGCCCTGCACTGTCTACCCAGCTCTTCATGCTGCTATGAAGGCATAAATAGAAGGTTAAAGTCAGATTTCTATCTACAGTTTAGACTTTCCCAAATGAAACAACGTATTTGCTGAACAAGAAGCACGTAATTCCTCTTACCCCTGTTAAGTAATTTTCTAGTCTACATACAGGCCACGGAGATTGGTTGTTGGGACACTAAGACACTAGGTGAGCAGAGCAAAGCCTGTCAGAAAAACTGGGCTATTTTCTATTTTCTAAAATCTAACAAAATCAGATTCAAAAAGGACATTAATCTTATATTTTTTAAATAGTATAAGTCTAATATTTAAAATAGAATTGAGTTAAAAAATTGTCACCTCACATTTCCTCCACATCCTTGGCAGGGTATGGTGGCTCACCCCTGTAATCCCAGCACCCTGGGAGTTCCTTTAAAGCAACACATAGATTTTCATTAATAAGTACACACATGTGTATACACACATGCTAAATCCTTTTGAAAAACAGAATATTGTAGATGTCATTTTTAAACTGTGTTGAAAATACATCGTGAACACCATGCACATTATGGTAGCTATTGATGGCTACCATCCACTCCCTATTTTCTTCCTAAAAAGGATGTCTGTGAAACAGCAAGGTGTCCAGTCCAAAGGAAGGATAAAGATCAGTAAAGCCACTCACAAGAATCCCATTCCCTGATTTCCCAGCCTCCTTGGCATGTAGGGTGAGCAATGATCCAGTTTGGACCAAAAAGATCTAAGAGAAGAGAGTTGGGGGGCGGGGGCGTTCCAGAGAACTGTTGAACTTTTGCTTTTCTTTGTTTCTTTTTTTTTTTTTTTGTCTTGGAGTGATCTCTGCTCACTGCAACCTCCACCTCAAGCCATTCTCGTACCCCAGCCTCCCGAGTAGCTGTGATTATAGGCATGTGCTGCCACACCTGGCTTTTTAATTTTTATTTTTGTAGTAGAGACAGGGTTTTGCCATGTTGGCCAGGCAGGTCTCGAACTCCTAGCCTCAAGTGATCTGTCCACCTCGGCCTCCCAGGTTGCTGGGATTACAGGAGTGAGCCATCACACCCTGCCAAATATTTGCTTTTCCAATTAAATAAGTCCAGATGGCTTCATTCTTTCTTTTCCCCATCCTTTTACTTTCTTCCAACTTGCATATAGATTTGAAGACTGGCACCTTAACAGCCATCTTTGGAGCATGAGGGAAAGGCAAAGAGGATTACAGACACATCATCCTTGAGCCTCTAGCCCAGCACTGCCTACCACCAGATTCCTCAATATGAAGGAAACATAAACATAAATTGCCTCAGCCATTGTGCTTGGGTTTTCTCTCGCTTAGAACCAAATAAGGCTTTCATTTTTCATCTATCTCAGTGTTTCCTTAAATGTTGGATATATGTCTTTGATGTTATGACTACAGAAGCTAATTTCATGTTGTTTAGAGCAAGTCACTAAATAATATTATGTCAATAACATAAACTTCATTTCGTTTCTCATTTTACTGCAGTCATTCGGATTATATAAAGACCTAAGTATGACTTAAATAGTCATTTTTTTTTAATTATCCTTTTCTAAAATGCCTAAACAGGCTATCAAGCTTATAATTAATAGTATTGTTTTGATCATATTTGTATTTATCATTACTTTTCCTTCATATTAAACAATGCTGGTTTCTGTTTTTGACAAGTTTATTAGCAGACGTAGGGAACTATGTTAAGAAAATATGGACTCAGGTGGCACATGCATATGGCAAAATTCTTGAGGGTAAAATAGCAAATTATTAAAGCAGGGAAACACCATTGCACCATGTCACTTTTAATGGTTGTAGACTGTACTCTCAGAAGATTATATTTGGGTGTAATATTTAGAATATTAACATCTTGCATGTTGTGGGCACAAACCGCCAACCAATAATCATAAAGCAAATGGCAGAAACAGATGCTAACATAAACCGTTGGAACTGTGGGTGACTATCAGCTACTTATCAGGCCTGATTGTAACAACAGTGCATTTAATCAGTCGCTTAGTAAAAACTACATTTAAGTTGTGACATGTTAGCAGCCAAATCTTTGCTAAATTTATTCATCAAATAAATGTTTCAATTATTTCCTCAAGATTAATGACTAAAAGTTAAGTTTCTGGAGACAATGACAAATATTTTTTAAGTATTTTCATATGTATTTACCTAAATATCTCCCAGAATGCTTATACCAATTCCATTCCTACAAATATTGTAAAAAACTGAATTTTTTTCTCAATCTTTCTATCATGTTTTTTGTTCATGAACAAACAGGTCTATTTGTTCGTAATCATTTTCTTTTATTCATGAAATATGTCACAACAATCACTCAATTCAATATATATTAATCTAACAAATTATTTCAAAATTTCAGTATATTTTAAATATTAAATGCCACACAATGTACTTTATTTTTAAATTGGTAGATATTTGTACTTATTTATTGTGTACATGTGATTTTTGACATGTATCTACAATGTGTAATGATCAAATCAGAGTATGCAGCTCATCCATCACCTCAAACATTTATCATTTCTTTGTGTTGGGAACATTTCAAACCTTCCGTTCTAGCTATTTACACAATGCACTTTCTAACAAACTAAATAACGTTGAGATATAAAATGATAATGCTAGTAATTTTCACTCACCCTACCTACTTCACAAACATACCTACCTTGAGTCTATCTTTTTAGCAGAGATATCTCATATTATTCCATTTTTAAACACACATATGCCAATATATAGCCATGTATAAGGACTTCAAATACTTCTGTCTTAGAAAAATGAGATTTTAATAACAGTTTGGCAATTTTTGTCTTTGGAGTATCATTTACATCCCATCACATCAATAGTGAGAGATACAATTCACTTTTGATGTTGGGTTATACTACACGGTGTTAATATTTTATAACCAATTCAAACATTACCTACTCTATTGGCATATATATATCTACTCCCAAATCTTTTGCTACCATTAAAAAAGTCCCTGTAGACATACATGTTTCTACTCATGTTTATTGAGTTTTTCTCTTGAAGAGAGATCTCCTCCACTTCACACACATAACAAAATAGGATTGTTAAGTCAGAGTATGTATAATTTTAACTCACAGTTGTTATAGAATATGTGAGACTACATTTCTCCACAAAATGTTCCAGTATACATATTTCCCCATTTAATACTGGATATTACTAGTCTTTTAAATTTTGTTAATCTGATGTTTTTTAAAAATGATGTTTTCTTGTGATTTACTTACCATGAGTTTCAGAATATTTTTTATTTCCTTCTTTATTTTAATAATTTTCAGTTATCTTTTATGGGTTGTCTTTCTTGCTTATTGTATCATTTTTACTTTAACTTTTGCTGTTTTTGAATTTATAGTGCGGTGTGTGGGTGGGTGGATGGGTGTGTATACACACAATTGTCCATATAGAAATGATGGTCCATATATATATGGAATATTAAATTTTGATTACAATAAATGGTTCAAATGCTTTCCTAGTCTATTGTTTGTCTTTTAGCTTTTCTCAGTGTAAATCAATCTTATCTATCTATCATTTATCTATATCTTTGTCTTTTTATCTATCAAGTTTTATTTTCTCATGTAATAAAATATGGCTAATTTACGTATAGACAATAGAGATTTTATTTTTGTCTTAAGTGTGTTAGGCTTTTAACTTTATTTTTGTTAAGTTGGTTAGGCAATCATTTATTAAGCAAACATTTTCCAGGAGACTGAAATAACACTTTTATCAGTGGTGTGCTCCAATTGTTAAATTTTTAAGAGTTTTGAAAGCTGGTTGGTATGACATTGGTAGCTTATAATTGGCTATAGTCTAAGCATTTATATCACAGAAACTGGTAAACTCTATATCAGTCTCCCCTCTACCCTGCTGCAGCCCCAGAGAGCTGAATGTTAAACAGACTCACCACTTTTTAGTCGTATGTGTTTTCCTTATATCCTTGGACCTAATGCTGAACTCTATATTTCAATCCTCTCATCTGTTTGTTTAATGATATACAAATATTTTATATTTACAGTAGATCTGTTTCAGAAACTGGTGTAGCAAAAATACTTTTTAAATATTTTTTGCAAAAATCTTTTGGCATTTCTAACATTTACTATATATTTTTAAATACTTTTGACAAGTTGTCATTCTCAAATGACTAAAAAAAGAGCAAAAATTGTCATTTTGACTGAAAATGGATTAAATCATGCATTTGTTTGAGAACAGTAGATGTTTTTATAATATTCATTTGGTAAAATTATTTTTCTCTGTTGAGCATTTTAAAGAAATATATTTATGTTCTCTTAGGCTCACTGTAATAAGTCTACTTGTCTTAGTGTTATTAATTTAAATTGTGAAACTGAAATTAAAACATAATTCATTTACTTTTTTCAAATTACAAAGTTGATGTGCTCCTAATGGAACTGAGCATCCTTTCTTATGTGACACTTTTCTCATGTAATTAATTAGTTAAGAGGAAGTTGCTAAGTAGATATCTATCTACTTATCTAAATTCTTTTTTTAGAAGTTTTATGATTTTGGAACCCACATTTACATTTTTAATACATTTCAAAGTAATTTTTGTATATTATGTAAAACGATGGTCCAATTTTATTGTTTTGCATGTGTATATACAGTTTTCCCAACACTATTTATTGAAGGAACTGTCCTTTTCCCATTTTGTATTCTTGGCACATATGTCAAAGATTAGGAGACCATACATGATTGGGTTTTTTTCCTGGGCTCTCTATACTGTTCTGTTGGTCTATGTGTCTATTTTTATCCCAATACCATACTGTTTTGATTACTATAGCTTTGTAATATAGTTAAAATTAGGGAATGTGATGGCCCCAACATTGCTTTGTCTTAAGATTTATTTGGCTATTCATGGTCTTTAAAGATTCTATATGAATTTTTGAATATTTTTTCTATTTCTGTAAAAAATGTCATAGGAAATTTATAGGGATTGCATTAAATCTGTAGATCACCTCAGGTAGTATGGACATTATGATAATACATCTATACTTTGCTTATTTCCTAGCCTTCTTTTCTGGCTCTGATATGATCTTAATACTGGTCCCTTGGGGAAAATGGGAAGATGTTGCTCAAAGGGCACAAACTTTCAGTTATAACATGAGCAATTATGGGATTTAATGCAAACCACAGGCAGTGATAATTTGGTTAATTAATTTGATATGATAAAAATTACAGTATATGCATATCAAGTAACCACATTTTTAATCCTGGAACATATATAATCCTTGTCAATATTACAAAATTTAAAAATAATAAATAAAATTTGAAAATAAATTATGTCATTAACATGTATAATAGTCAGGGTTCTCTAGAGGGACAGAACTTATAGGATACATATATATATGTATACATATACGTGTATATACATATATATACATGTATGTACATATATATATACACATGTATATATATATCAGGGGGGTTTATTAAGAATTAACTAACATGATCACAATGTCTCACATAGGCTGTCTGCAAGCTGAGGAGTAAGGAAAGCCATTCCATGGCCCAAAAATGAAGAACATGAAGTCCAATGTGTGAGGGCAGGAAGCATCCAGCACAAGAGAAAGATGATGTAGGCTGGTAGGCTAGGCCAGTCTGTCATTTCACATTTTTCTACCTGCTTTTTATATTCTACCCATGCTGGCAGCTGATCAAATGGTGCCCACCCAGAATAAGGGTGCATCTGCCTTCCCCCACCCACTGACTCAAATGTTAATCTCTTTGGCAACACCGGCACAGACACACCCAGCATCAATACTTTGTATCCTTCAATCTAATCAAGTTGACACTCGGTATTAACCATCACAAGCCTACCCCTTGTCAACTTGAACCCGTACACATCTTCTGAGATCGTACATAATCTTCAAATAAAGACAATAATAAGGTCATAACTATGCCTAACATAATACAACTATCTTTCATACGGGAAACACAACAGTCCCCAACCCAAATACTATTACATAAAGTTAACAATGCTTAAATGCTGATGTGAAGTCAATAAAACTTATGTCACATGATAAGAAAAAGGAAATAAAATGAAGATAGTTTCTTAGTACAAGTGTATAAATGTACAAACAAGTTTTTAACGAAAGAAGGAGGAAATAAATACTCATGACAATACTCATGACAAATATAGTCCTTGTTTCTGCAGCTAGTCATGTGGTCATAGCTGATATTTATGACTACCTTCTACTACCAATTCTGTATTCCCTTTGCCTTTAGCAAGCACCACAGCAGGTCGTTTGTTTGTTTGTTTGTTTATTTATTTATTTATTTCTGGTGGAGTGACCCAAACCTTTGTTGTCGAAGAGTCTGGGCCATTTGTAGTCCTTCCTGTATAGATTGGGTTGTTGTTGTTTCCCACTGACTTTAATCACAGGGCACGGTAATATTAAGAGAAGCCCTAATGGATCTCCTGTACTCCATGCATACTCTTTCTTTCCTGCATTGTGGAGTAGTAGACAGATTTCATCTTGATAGTCTGGGTCAATCAACCCAGCCAACACTGTAACTTAAAGATACGTAACTTAAACACTGTAACTTCTTAGCCTGTTGACTTAAAGGTAGGAGGAACCCAAAGTGTCCAGGTGGCAATCTTAACTTCCAGTTAATGGAATCATTGTTGTGTCTCCTGGTGGCAGCATTACTCCCTCTGGAACTAGGACATCTAGGACAGCAGAACATAATGTTGTGGGAACAGGAAGCACAAATTTTGCTAGTGGATCAGTAGGGGTGATGGTGAGTGGTGCCACTTACACTTCCACTCCTTGATTCCTGGACCCATGAATCCTGGCTATGGAAAAAACTACCATATATTGGAAGCTGAATCAGACCATACACGGTCTTCTGGAGAACTTTGCCCTAACCCTGCAAAGTATTGTCACCTAGTTTGTATTATAATTGGGACTTCAAAAGGCCGTTTCACCATTCCATCAAACAAGCTGCTTCAGGATGATGGGGAACATGGTAAGACCAGTGAATTCCATGACCATAAGCCCACTGTAAAGTGAGGGCCTCAGTCTGAGGCAATGCTGTGTGGAATACAATGATGATGGATAAGGCATTCCATGTGTCCACAGATGGTAGTCTTTGCAGAAGCACTGCGTGCAGGAAAGGCACACCCATATCTGGAGTAAATGTCTATTCCAGTGAAGACAAACCTCTGTCCTTTTTTTGATAGAAGCGGTTCAATATAATCAACCTGCCACCAGGTAGCTGGCTGACCACCCCGAGGAATGGTGCCATATCGAGGGCTCAGTGTTGGTCTCTGCTACTGGCAAATTGGGCACTCAGCAGTAGCCATAGCCAGGTCAGCCTTGGTGAGTGGAAGCCCATGTTGCTGAGCCCATGCATACCCTCCATTCCTGCCACCATGGCCACTTTGTTCATGGGCCCACTGGGCGATGACAGGGGTGGCTGGGAAAAGAGGCTGAGTGGTGTCCACAGAACAAGTGGGTCATCCTATCCACTTGATTATTAAAATTCTCCTCTGCTGAGGTCACCCATTGGTGAGCACTCACATGGGATACAAATATCTTCACAGTTTTTGACCACTCAGAGAGGTCCATTCACATATCCCTTCCCCAAATTTCTTCATCGCCTGTTTTCCAATCATGCTTCTTTCAAGTCCCTGACCATCCAGTCAAACCATTGGCTACAGCCCATGAATCAGTATATAATCACACATCTGACCATTTCTACTTCCATGCAAAGTGCACAATCAGATGCACTGCTCAAAGTTCTGCCCTCTAGAAGATTTCCCTTCACCACTGTCCTTCAGGGATGTCCTAGAAAGGGGCGGTAATGCTGCAGCTGTCGAATTTCAGGTGGTGCCTGCATATCATGCAGAACCATCTGTGAACTAGGCCCTAGTCTTCTCTTTCACTGTCAACTGATCATAAGGAATTCCCCCATGAGGCCATCAGTGCAGGCTGGGGGAGAGAAGGCAGGGTGCAGGAGTGGAGACCATAGGCATTTGAGCCACTTCCTCATGTAACTTACTTGTGCCTTCAGGACCTTCTCAAGCCCAATCCCATATATACCACTTCCATTTGATGATGGAATGTGACTGGGCATGACCCACTTTATGGCTAGATGGGTCAGAAAGCACCCAGTTCATGATAGTCAGTTCAGGTTGCATGGTGACCTGATGACTCATAGTCAAACATTCGGTTTCCACCAAAAGCCCAGTAACAGGCCAAGAGTTGTCACTCAAAAGACGAGTAGTTATCTGCAGAAGACGGCAAGGTATTGCTCCAAAATCCTAGAGGCCTCCACTGTGATTCACCTATGGGGGCCTGCCGGAGGCTCTAAACAGTATCCCTATCTGCCACTGACACCTCAAGCATCATTGGATCTGCTGGGTCATATGGCTCAAGTGGAAGAGCAGCTTGCACAGCAGCCTGGACCTGTTGCAGAGCCTTCTCCTGTTCTGGACCCCACTCAAAACTGGCAACCTTTTGTATCACTCAATAAATGGGCAACAGTAACACACCTAAATGAGGAATGTCCTGCCTCCAAAATCCAAATAGGCCCACTAGGCATTGTGCCTCTTTCTTGGGTGTAGGAGGGGTGAAATGCAGCAACTTATTCTTCACCTTAGAAGGAATATTTCGACAGGCCCCACACCATTGGACCCCTAGAAACTTTACTGAGGTAGAAGATCCCTGAATTTTAGTCAGATTCATTTCCCATCCTCTGGCATGCAAATGTCTCACCAATAAGTCCAGGGTGTTTGCTACTTCTTGCTCACTGGATCCAATCAGCATAATGTCATCAAAGTAATGGACCAGTGTGATACCTTGTGGAAGTGAAAAGAGATCAAGATCTCTCCGAATAAAGTTATGACACAAAGCCAAAGAGTTGATATATCCCTCAGATAGGATAGTAAAGGTATATTGCTGGCCTTGACAGCTGAAGGCAAATTGCTTCTGGTGGACCTCATGGGCAGGAATAGAGAAAAAGTCATTTGCCAAGTCAATGGCTGCATGTCAGGTACCAGGAGATGTGTTAATTTGCTCAAGCAATGAAACAACATCTGCTACAGCAGCTGTAATTAGAGTCACCACTTGATTAAGCTTATGGTAATCCACTGTAATTCTCAAAGATCCATCTGTCTTCTTTGTGGGCCAAGTGGGAGAGTTGAACAGGGATATGGTGGGAATAACCAACCCTGTGTTTTTCAAGTCCTTGATGGTGGCACTAATCTCTGCAATCCCTCTAAGGATGTGATATTATTTTTGATTTACTATTTTTCTAGGGAGAGGCTGTTCTAATGGCTTCCATTTGGCCTTTCCCACCACAATACCCTTCACCCTACCAGGCGGGGGGTGGCTCTGCCAGCTGCTAAGTATGTCTATGCCAATTATGCATTCTGGCACTGGGGAAAGGACCACAGGATGAGTTCAGGGAATCACTGTAAGTCAGACCTGAGCTAAAACTCCATTAATCACCTGACCTCCATAAGCTCTTTCTTTAACTGGAGGATCACAATGACATTTGGGGTCTCTGGGAATCAACTTCAGCTCAGAACCAGTATCCATAGTCTCCAAAATGTCTGACCATTTCCCTTTCCCCATTGCACAGTCACCCTGTTAAAGGCCAGAGGTCTCCTTAGGTAATGATGGGAGAAAGACTGACAGCATAAGTTTTCAGTAATGTTGTGAGATCCTTCCTCAAGACGACCCAGCCTCCCTTTCATTGAAGGGGTTCTGGGTCTGTAAACTGGCACAAGCCTAGAAATTGATTGAGGAATCGTGATTCTCTGTTTTTACAATTTTAATTAGTCTTCTGTCTATTCAACCTAGAATTTTTCTGCCTATATAAATTAAGAAGGAATGCAGTAGGCTTCATATCAATTTCACTTCTAGAAACACTATTAATAGTTAGTCAATACCAGAGCAGTACAGGAGTTGGAATATTCTGACTCACCCTTTGCCTCTGCTGTCCATTACAGTAGCTACTCCCACCTGGCCTATGATGGTTGAGTGCTGCCACTTGGTCCCTGCCACTTCACAATCCAATTATTCCCATTGTATTTACATTTTGTAGTTGAGTGACTGTGGTTCCCAGTTAGATCTGACATACAGAGAAGAGCTATTACAGAGCTCTTCAAAGACACAGATGTGGGAGGTGGAGCCAAGATGGCCGAATAGGAACAGCTCCAGGCTACAGCTCCCAGTGTGAGTGACGCAGAAGACGGGTGATTTCTGCATTTCCAACTGAGGTACCGGGTTCATCTCACTGGGGAGTGCTGGACAGTGGGTGCAGCACAGGGGGTGCAGCGCACCGTGAGTGAGCCGAAGCAGGGCGAGGCATCGCCTCACCCCGGAAGGGCAAGGGGTCAGGGAATTCCCTTTCCTAGTCAAAAAAAAGGGTGACAGACGGCACCTGGAAAATCAGGTCACTCCCACCCTAATACTGCGCTTTTTCAACAGGCTTCACAAACAGCACACCACAAGATTATATCCCACACCTGGCTCAGAGGGTCCTATGCCCACAGAGCCTTGCTCTTGCTAGCACAGCAGTCTGAGATCAAACTGCAAGGTGGCAGCGAGGCTGGGGGAGAGGCGCCCGCCATTGCTCAGGCTTGAGTAGGTAAACAAAGCAGCTGGGAAGCTCAGACTGGGTGGAGCCCACCACAGCTCAAGGAGGCCTGCCTGCCTCTGTAGGCTCCATCTCTGGGGGCAGGGCACAGAAAAACAAAAGGCAGCAGTAACCTCTGCAGACTTAAATGTCCCTGTCTGACAGCTTTGAAGAGAGTAGTGGTTCTCCCAGCATGCAGCTTGAGATCTGAGAACGGGCAGACTGCCTCCTCAAGTGGGTCCCTGACCCCCAAGTAGCCTAACTGGGAGGTAACCCCAGTAGGGGTGGACTGACACCTCACACGGCCAGGTACTGCTCTCAGACAAAACTTCCAGAGTAATGATCAGGCAGCAGCATTTGCGGTTCACCAATATCCGCTATTCTGCAGCCACCACTGCTGACACCCAGGCAAACAGGGTCTGGAGTGGACCTCCAGTAAACTCCAACAGACCTGCAGCTGAGGGTCCTGACTGTTAGAAGGAAAACTAACAAACAGAGGGGATATCCACACCATAAACCCATCTGTACATCACAATCATCAAACACCAAAGGTAGATAAAACCACAAAGATGGGGAAAAAAACAGAGCAGAAAAACCAGAAATTCTAAAAATCAGAGTGCCTCTCCTTCTCCAAAGGAATGCAGCTCCTCACCAGCAATGGAACAAAGCTGGATGGAGAATGACTTTGATGAGTTGAGAGAGGAAGGCTTCAGAAGATCAAACTACCCTGAGCTAAAGGAGGAAGCTTGAACCAAGGGCAAAGAAGTTAAAAACTTTGAAAAAAAATTAGACGAATGGATAACTAGAATAATAAATGGAGAGATGTCCTTAAGGGACCTGATGGAGCTAAAAACCAAGGTACGAGAACTACGTGACGAATGCACAAGCTTCAGTAAATGATGCGATCAACTGGAAGAAAGGGTATCAGCGATGGAAGATGAAATGAATGAAATGAAGTGTGAGGAGAAGTTCAGAGAAAAAAGAATAAAAAGAAATGAACAAAGCCTCCAAGAAATATGGAATTATGTGAAAAGACCAAATCTACGTCTAATTGGCGTACCTGAAAGTGACGGCGAGAATGGAACCAAGTTGGAAAACACTCGGCAGAATATTATCCAGGAGAACTTCCCCAACCTAGCAAGGCAGGCCAACATTCAAATTCAGGAAATACAGAGAACGCCACAAAGATAATCCTCAAGAAGAGCAACTCGAAGACACATAATTGTCAGATTCACCAAAGTTGAAATGAAGGAAAAGAAGTTAAGGGCAGCCAGAGAGAAAGGTCGGGTTACCCACAAAGGGAAGCCCATCAGACTAACAGCTGATCTCTTGGCAGAAACTCTACAAGCCAGAAGAGACCAGGGGCCATTATTCGACATTCTTAAAGAAAAGAATTTTCAACCCAGAATTTCATATCCAGCCAAACTAAGCTTCATAAATGAAGGATAAATAAAATACTTTACAGAAAAGCAAATGCTGAGAGATTTTGTCACCACCAGGCCTGCCCTAAAAGAGCTCCTGAAGGAAGCACTAAACATGGAAAGGAATAACCAGTAACAGCCACTGCAAAAACATGCCAAATTGTAAAGACGATGAAGGCTAGGAATAAACTGCATCAACTAACGAGCAAAATAACCAGCTAACATCATAATGACAGGATCAAACTTACACATAACAATACTAACCTTAAATGTAAACGGGCTAAATGCTCCAATTAAAAGGCACAGACTGGCAAATTGGATAAAGAGTCAAGACCCATCAGTGTGCTGTATTCAGGAAACCCATCTCACATGCAGAGACACACACAGGCTCAAAATAAAGGGATGGAGGAAGATCTACCAAGCAAATGGAAAACAAAAAAAGACAGGGGTTGCAATCCTGGTCTCTGATAAAACAGACTTTAAACCAACAAATATGAAAAGAGACAAAGAAGGCCATTACATAATGGTAAAGGGATCAATTCAACAAGAAGAACTAACTATCCTAAATATGTATGCACCCAATACAGGAGCACCCAGATTCCTAAAGCAAGTCCTTAGTGACCTACAAAGAGACTTAGACTCCCTCACAATAATAATGGGAGACTTTAACACCCCACTGTCAACATTAGACAGATCAACGAGACAGAAAGTTAACAAGGATATCCAGGAATTGAACTCAGCTCTGCACCTAGCAGACCTCATAGACATCTACAGAACTCTCCACCCCAAATCAACAGAATATACATTCTTCTCAGCACCACACCACACCTATTCCAAATTTGAACACATTGTTGGAAGTAAAGCACTCCTCAGCAAATGTAAAAGAACAGAAATTATAACAAACTGTCTCTCAGACCATAGTGCAATCAAACTAGAACTCAGGATTAAGAAACTCACTCAAATCCGCTCCACTACATGGAAACTGAACAACCTGCTCCTGAATGACTACTGGGTACATAACAAAATGAAGGCAGAAATAAAGATGTTATTTGAAACCAACGAGAACAAAGACACAACATACCAGAATCTCTGGGACACATTCAAGGCAGTGTGTAGAGGGAAATTTATAGCACTACATGCCCACAAGAGAAAGCAGGAAAGACCCAAAATGGACACCCTAACATCACAATCAAAAGAACTAGAGAAGCAAGAGCAAACACATTCAAAAGCTAGCAGAAGGCAAGAAATAACTAAAATCAGAGCAGAACTGAAGGAAATGGAGACACAAAAAACCCTTCAAAAAATCAATGAATCCACGAGCTGGTTTTTTGAAGAGATCAACGAAATTGATAGACCACTAGCAAGACTAATAAAGAAGAAAAGAGAGAAGATTCAAATAGACGCAATAAAAAATAACAAAGCGGATATCACCACTGATCCCACAGAAATACAAACTACCATCAGAGACTACTATAGACACCTCTACACAAATAAACTAGAAAATCTAGAAGAAATGAATAAATTCCTTGACTCATGCCCTCTGCCAAGAATAAACCAGGAAGAAGTTGAATCTCTGAATAGACCAATAACAGGCTCTGAAATTGAGGCAACAATTAATAGCTTACCAACCAAAAAAAGTCCAGGACCAGATGGATTCACAGCCAAATTCTACCAGAGGTACAAAGAGGAGCTGGTACCATTCCTTCTGAAACTATTCCAATCAATAGAAAAAGAGGGAATCCTCCCTAACTCATTTTATGAGGCCAGCATCATCCTGATACCAAAGCCTGGCAGAGACACAACAAAAAAAGAGAATTTTAGATCAATATCCTTGATGAACATTGATGGAAAAATCCTCAAAAAAATACTGGCAAACCGAATCCAGCAACACATCAAAAAGCTTACCCACCATGATCGAGTGGGCTTCATCCCTGGGATGCAAGGCTGGTTCAACATACGAAAATCAGTAAACGTAATACAGCATATAAACAGAACCAAAGACAAAAACCACATGATTATCTCAATAGATGCAGAAAAGGCCTTTGACAAAATTCAACAACACTTCATGCTAAAAAACTCTCAATAAATTAGGTATTGATGGGATGTATCTCAAAATAATAAGAGCTATCTATGACAAACCCACAGCCAATATCATACTGAATGGTCAAAAACTGGAAACATTCCCTTTGAAAACTGGCACAAGACAGGGATGCCCTCTCTCACCACTCCTATTCAACATAGTGTTGGAAGTTCTGGCCAGGGCAATCAGGCAGGAGAAGGAAATAAAGGGCATTCAATTAGGAAAAAGGAAGTCAAATTGTTCCTGTTTGCAGATGACATGATTGTACATCTAGAAAACCCCCTCATCTCAGCCCAAAATCTCCTTAAGCTGATAAGCAACTTCAGCAAAGTCTCAGGATAGAAAATCAATGTACAAAACTCACAAGCATTCTTATACACCAATGACAGACAATCAGAGAGCCAAATCATGAGTGAACTCCCATTCACAATTGCTTCAAAGAGAATAAAATACCTAGGAATCCAACTTACAAGGGATGTGAAGGACCTCTTCAAGGAGAACTACAAACCACTGCTCAATGAAATAAAAGAGGATACAAACAAATGGAAGAACATTCCATGCTCATGGGTAGGAAGAATCAATATGGTGAAAAATGGCCATACTGCCCAAGGTAATTTACAGATTCAATGCCATCCCCATCAAGCTACCAATGACTTTCTTCACAGAATTGGAAAAAACTACTTTAAATTTCATACAAAACCAAAAAAGAGCCCATATTGCCAAGGCAATCCTAAGCCAAAAGAACAAAGCTGGAGGCATCACGCTACCTGACTTCAAAGTATACTACAAGGATACAGTAACCAAAACAGCATGGTACTGGTACCAAAACAGAGATATAGACCAATGGAACAGAACAGAGCCCTCAGAAATATTGTCGCATATCTACAACTATCTGATCTTTGACAAACCTGACAAAAACAAGCAGTGGGGAAAGGATTCCCTATTTAATAAATGGTGCTGGGAAAACTGGCTAGCCATATGTAGAAAGCTGAAACTGGATCCCTTCCTTACACCTTATACAAAAATTAATTCAAGATGGATTAAAGACTTACATGTTAGACCTAATACCATAAAAACCCTAGAAGAAAACCTAGGCAATACCATTCAGGAAATAGGCATGGGCAAGGACTTCATGTCTAAAACACCCAAAGCAATGGCAACAAAGCCAAAATTGACAAATGGGGATCTAATTAAACTAAAGAGCTTCTGCACAGCAAAAGAAACCACCATCAGAGTGAACAGGCAACCTACAGAATGGGAGAAAAATTTTACAACCTACTCATCTGACAAAGGGCTAATATCCAGAATCTACAATGAACTCAAACAAATTTACAAGAAAAAAACAAACAACCCCATGAAAAAGTGGGCGAAGGATATGAACACACACTTCTCAAAAGAAGACATTTATGCAGCCAAAAAATACATGAAAAAATGCTCATCATCACTGGCCATCAGAGAAATGCAAATCAAAACCACAATGAGATAGCATCTCACACCAGTTAGAATGGCGATCTTTAAAAAGTCAGGAAACAACAGGTGCTGGAGAGGATGTGGAGAAATAGGAGCACTTTTACACTGTTGGTGGGACTGTAAACTAGTTCAACCATTGTGGAAGTCAGTGTGGCGATTCCTCAGGGATCTAGAACTAGAAATACCATTTGACCCAGCCATCATATTACTGGGTATATACCCAAAGGAATTTAAATCATGCTGCTATAAAGACACATGCACACGTATGTTTACTGCGGCACTATTCACAATAGCAAAGACTTGGAACCAACCCAAATGTCCAACAATGATAGAGTGGATTAAGAAAATGTGGCACATATACACCATGGAACACTATGCAGCCATAAAAAATGATGATTTCATGTCCCTTGTAGGGACACGGATGAAGCTGGAAACCATCATTGTCAGCAAACTATTGCAAAGACAAAAAAACCAAACACCGCATGTTCTCACTCATAGGTGGGAATTGAACAATGAGAACACATGGACACAGGAAGGGGAACATCACACACTGGGGACTGTTGTGGGTTGGGGAGAGGGGGGAGGAATAGCATTAGGAGATATACCTAATGCTAAATGATGAGTTAATGGGGGCAGCACATCAACATGGCACATGTATACATATGTAACAAACCTGCACATTGTGCACATGTACCGTAATACTTAAAGTATAAAAAAATAAAATAAAAAAAGGCACAGGTGCTGCTCTCACAAATCTTTCACAAGGCATTGGTCAAGGATCCATCTTCTGGACCCTCCCAGCTGGGATGAGTAGGTCCAAAGTGACTAGTCCACTCCGCCATCCCAGTCTCTCCAAGTCTTTGGATCCCTTCCTCTACATTAATCCAAGAGAGATCAAGCATTTCCTGCTCACTTACAATGGGCCATCTTTTAATCCATATTTCAGCTAACCAAGCACATAAACTATTAAGAACCTGTTTTAAGTCCCTGAGCTGCAACATTAAATGCAGATTCCCTACTTAGTTGACCCATGTCAATAAATTCAGCCTGATCCAACACTATGTTCCTTCCACTATTATCCCACACCCATAATATCTATTTCCAGCCTGTTCTCTAGGTTTCTGTTTATACAAATTAGAAAACTCAAGCAATTATTTTTGAGTGTAGCGCACCTCCTCATGGGTCACACTCTCAACCTCATCTCTAGGGGCCCACCAGGACTTTAGTCTAGTTATAGGTCTAGAAGTTAAGGAGGGTGTTGGGGGTGGCTCCTGAGGATAATCAACATTTTCTTGCCGGGCAACTGCCTGAGAGGAAGCCATCACTGTTGCCTTAGGCAACACAGTTTATCTCCTCAGACAAAGGTGGAAAGGCTAATGGCAGCAGGGGTTGGGGAGGGGATGTTGGCACTACTTGGAAATGGGAAGCTGTTTCCTCTAGCAAAAAAGATTCATTGGAGTTTACAAACTCAGTGTCCCCAGCTACATCAGCGTTCTCCCACATACCCCCATTCCAAGTTGCAAGATCCCATTCTTTTCCATTCAGTGCCCTCACTTTAACAGTAGACACCTGATGAGGCTGTGCATGCACTTTTGGTTGCAGATCAGCCACTTGCATGATAAGAGCTTGTGTCTGTTTTTCCACAATTTCAGCTCTTTCTCTACAGGAGATAAGACTCTCACTCAAGGCAATCTTAGAAGACTTGAGGCTCAGTATCTGCTTCTGAAGCCGGGAGTTAGAATTCCTGAGTTCATAATTTTCTTTCATCACTTCGTACAGTGAACTTAGGAGAAACCAACAAGCTTCATTATGTTCCTTGGTTCTCCACATATGGCCAAAGGTATTATGTATAGAGTCACTAAGCTCCTGCCTCTCAGGATTGGTGAATCAGTAGTGTCAAATGCATTTATTTTGTCTAACTCTCTAAACAGTTCATGCCAACGACTAATAGTGTTCTCCATACTATTAGAAGTAGAGTCCTTAGCATTTTGGGTATTAAGCACCGAACTCCAGAAACCCCAAAACCAATGAAAGAACTCCATCCTTAATATTCTGTTCCTCTAGAACCACTCCTTGTACCAAAATCTGTATTAGTCAGGGTTCTCTTGAGGGACAGCACTAATAGGTTAAATGTATATATGAAGGGGAGTTTATTAAGGAATATTGATCCACACAATCACAAGGTGAGGTCCCACAATAGGCTGTCTTCAAGCTGAGGAGCAAGGAAGCCAGTCTGAGTCTCAAAGCTGAAGAACTTGGAGTCCGATGTTCAACAGCAAGAAGCATCCAGCACAGAAGAAAGATGTAGGCTGGGAGGCTCAGCCAGTCTCATCATTTCACATTTTCTTCCTGCTTTTTAGATTCTAGCCATGCTGACAGCTGATCAGATGGTGCCCAACCAGATTAAGCGTCGGTCCGCCTTTCCCAGCCCACTGACCCAAATGTTAATCTCCTTTAGCAACACTCTCACAGACACACCCAGGATCAATACTTTTCATCCTTCAATCCAATCAAGTTGGCAGTCAGTATTAACCATCACAACATGACAAATAATTGGAAGGATATTTGCCAATGTAATCATTTTAAAGAGGATGTGATGGTCCAAGCTAGTAGACTTCCAGCAGTTCTCAAACACCAACCTGTAACTATTTTCTTAAGAAACACTGCTCATATCATAATATAAATAAGACTAACGTGGGACCAAAACTTCAATATTTTTTCACCTCTTATCATTATAGTATATGCATAGAAAATATACTCATTTGGAAGAAATGGGGGCATTTTTCTCACACTACTTTCAAGTGTTGTAAGGACATAACTATACCTCTGAGTTGCCCATGAGAAATAGAGCCTAAAGCTCTTTAGCTCAGTTTTACCATGAATACATATAAAAGAAAATGACATGAATCCTAGAGGAAGGCTCTAAGTGTGTTGGGAAATGCTTTTGACTTCTTTGGCACTAACTTTCTGATAAAATATTTTAGTGAGAGGTAAATTGGAAGTTCTGTTTAAATTTGAATCATTAAAGCTTAAGAAAAAATAAGAACAAAAGTAAAAATTGGCTTTAGATATATACAGAATGATTTAAAGTTGACAATTCAGATATATCTTCATTCTTTATAGAGCATCTCTTAGCCAGTTAGAACTGCTATAACAAATTACGTTAGACTGGCTGGCTTACAAATGACAGAAATTTATTTCTCACCATTCTGGAGGCTGGAAATCCAAGATCAGGGTGTCAGCACAGTCGGGTTCTGGTGTGGACTGTCTTCCAGTTGTTAACAACTGTCTTACTGTGTCCTCACACGGTGGATAGCAGAGAGGGGAAACAAACTCTCTAGTGACTCAAAAGAAAATGAATCCCATTCTTGAGGGCTCTGCCCTCATTATCCCACCTAATTCTAATTAGCTCCCAAAGGCCACACATTCTAATACCATTACACTCGGGAGAAGGGTTTCAGCATATGAATTTTGAGAGGATACACATTCAATCTGTAGCAGAGTAGATATTGTAATTGCTAAGGAAACCTGCAGAAAGTTAATAGTGGGCTTCATTTTCACAAGTGGGGCTTATGTTATTACCTGGTATCCTCTGTGAATCTGAGAAAAGAGCACAACTGACAACTGGAAACAGTGGTTGCAAATAATACACAGTTTTAGTTGGTCATAAAAACTTGAGATCCTTTTCACATTTCTGTTTTGTGTAATAAGGATGAAGATTTGTATGTGTATGAATCCACCTAATGGAGATGAAATCCAAACCTTTTGTTATTCTTAGCCTTAGAGCCTATTTGAACTTCTCTTGATATTGGATCGGTAGCTTGCCTAAGAGATGTTTGGGTCAGTTCTTGGTGATTCCTAATCCTGGGTGGCCCACTTTTTATACCTAATTAATATACAACATCAGTCAGTCCATCTTTTTTAGGCTATGACCTCATAACTTGTGGTTAAACTTCCAAGGGTATATATGACTTTCTGTAAAGAAGTAAATAACCATTTCTATCATAAGAAACTGATGAGATTATCATCATTATTTTATTATTTATAGTAGTAGTAGTAATTGCTGTATATTATATATTTATGTAACCAAATCTGAGGAACATCCTATTTTGTTTATTCAGAAATTCTTAACTGACCTCTAAGGAAGACCAGGGTGATTGTCCAACGGGGTCTATTCTCAGAAATTAACTTCTAACATGGACTGACATGTCCCTCCGGGTCACATTGGGAGCTCTGTTGACCTATAACAATAGACTCTGGCAGGAATACATGGGGCCCTAATCTCTGCAAATACTTTGTAGAACCTAAGGCATCATTTTTAAACTGAGAGGTAATACCAACTAGAGATTAAATATGGGGACATTAGAGCCCAACTAGCTGGGTTCAAATCCAGGTTCTCCACTACCTTCTCTGTCTTCCCACTACACTTCTTCTCTGAGATAATGTCTTACCTCTGTCTCTGGGGCTCACTGCGCTTCAGCTCTGCCAACCTTTCAATGATATCTTGAATATGCCACACAATTCTCTGCCCGAAAAATTCCCAATCTAGTTAATTTGAATTTGCTGTTCAATTTTCTGAAATGTTCTTCCCTTAGATATGGTCTTAGGACTCACATTGTATAGGTCTCAATCAAACAGTGTCTCCTCTTAATGGATTTGTCTGAGTACCCTGTGTAAATAGAACCCCATTATTTTCTATCCTTTTGTTTTCATGATTTTTCTGCATTTTATTTTCAAATATCTCTTAAACTGAATAATGTTCTAAACCTGATTGAACCTTCATATTCCCATTCTCAGATTACTTGTTTCTGGCTATTCTTCTCCACAGTTGCTTTTTCTTCCTAACATTCACCAATTCTTGACACTTCATTAAAAATAAAAGAAAAACAATGAGGGAGATGGTTTTTTTTTTTTTTTTTTTTTTTTAACCTGGAGCTTTCTAAGTATTCTGTAGCTGTTGGTTTTTAACAAATATTGGCTGAATGGATCAATAACTCTTAACACTCAATTCCCTTCTCCACCCCTCTACCCTCCAGATTGAGACAGAGAAAAGCAGTGTCGGAAAAGGTAGTTAGAGTTGCTAATTATACAACTCCATGGTCATATTTCTGTTCTTCATTTTACTTGTCCTGATAAATAATTATACTCTTAATAGTCTCCTTCTAGTAAAAACAGTTTCCTCAGTTGACTTTGAAAACACTACCACTGCACCTCTCTACTTTTTTTGAGGATGTATTGCTAGCCTATTTTATCAGGGTTTTTTTTTTTTCTTGTATTTTCCCTTTAAGTGTTAGTATTCCATAGGGTTTCATTTCCAGCAATGACTTTTCTCACTCTGCCTGCTCTTTCTGAGAAATGCCAACTACTCTCATGGTTTTAAATATCCAGTTATGCTAATAGTGCCTAGTTTCTAGTTCCAGACATACCATATAACTTTTCTAGACATCCTTTCTACCTGGATGTTTCATAGACTACTCAAATTCACTTGGCCTTAACTAGGATAGTTATACACTCCACCAATCTGCTTTACTTCAAGGTGCTCTCTAACTTACTTTGTAATTAAAACACATATCTATGATTAGATCACATATCTGTTGAAAGAAAGGAAGAAAAAAAGAAACAAAAAGGAAAGGAAAAAGAAAAGGAAAGGAAAGGAAGGGAAGGGGAGGGAAGGGAAGAGAAGGGAAGGAGGCAAGGCAAGGCAAGGCAAGGAAAGGCAAGGAAAGGAAAGGAAAAACAAGAAAGAAAAAAAGACACAGGAAAAGGAAGAATAAAAAGTTATATGGGGCCTGGCATGGAGGCTTATGCCTGTAATCCTAGCATAGCATTTTGTGAGGCTATGGCAGGAGGATCCCTTGAACCCAGGAGTTTGAGGCCAGTCTGGGCAATATAGGGAGATCCCATCTCCACAAAAAAAGATAAACTAAACTAAACTAAAATATTAGCCAGGCATGGTAGTGCGTGCCTGTGGTCCCAGGTACTAGGGAGGCTGAGGTGGGAGGATTGCCTGACTCTGGGAGGTCAAGGCTGCAGTGAACTGTGATCACATGACTGCACTCACTCCAGCCTGGGTGACACATTCACTCCAGCCTGGGTGACACAGAGAGACTCCATCTCAAGTAATAATAATAATAATATAGGAAGTTTTTTTTAATGAACATCTGTATACTCATTATCTAAACAAAAATATGTAGAATATTAAACTTCTACAGAAGCCCACTGAGATGTAATCAGTTTTCTGAATTCCATGTAAATTATCCCTTTGCTTTTGTTTACAACCACCACCTATGTATGTCTTCCAAAAGGTACATTACTAATTTTATTTCTGTGCAAAATATATAAATGAAGTCATACACTATAGTACACAGGATATACTCTTCAGTGACTTTATTTTTCCTTTCTATATTTTAGGATCAATTTATGTAAATACATATACCTACAGTTAATTCAATTGCACTGTAATAATATATCATGGTAAGAATTGATATGGTTTGGCTGTGTCCCCACCCAAATTTCATCTTGAATTCCCATATGTTGTGAAAGGGACCCAGTGGGAGGTAACTGAATCATAGAGGCAGGTCTTTCCCATTCTGTTCTCGTGATAGTGAGTAAGTCTCAGGAGATCTGACGGTTATTAAAAGGGGAGTTTTCCTGCACAAGCTCCCTTTGCTTACTGCCATCCATGTAAGACATGACTTGCTCCTCCTTGCCTTCTGCCATGATTATGAGGCTTCCTCAGCCATGTGGAACTGTAAGTCCAATTAAACCTCTTTCTTTTGTAAATTGCCCAGTCTTGGGCACATCTTTATCAGCAGGGTGAAAACAGACTAATACAGTAGAGTTGGTACCAGTAGAGTTTGGTATTTCTGGAAAGATACTCAAAAATGTGGAAGTGACTTTGGAACTGGGTAACAGGCAGAGGCTGGGACAGTTTGGAGGGCTCAGGAGAAGACAGGAAAATGTGTGAAAGTTTGGAACTTCCTAGAGACTTGTTGAATGTCTTTGACCAAAAGCCTGATACTGATATGGACAATAAGGTCCAGGCTGAGGTGGTCTCAGATGGAGATGAGAACTTGTTGGGAACTGGAACAAAGGTGACTCTTGTTATGTTTTAGCAAAGATACTGGTGGCATTTTGCCCCTGCCCTAGAGATTTGAGGAACTTTGAACTTGAGAGAGATGATTTAGGGTATCTGGCAGAAGAAATTTCTAAGCAGCAAAGCATTCAAGAGGTGACTTGGGTGCTATTAAAGGTATTCAGTTTTATAAGGTAAGCAGAGCATAAAAGTTTGGAAAATTTGCAGCCTGACAATGTGATAGAAAAGAAAAAATTCATTTTCTGAGGAGAAATTCAAGCCAGCGGCAGAAATAAGTAATGAGGAGCCAAATTTTAATCCACAGGACAATGGGGAAAATGTCTCCAGGGCATGTTATTGGTCTTCATGGCAGCCTCTCCCATCACAGGCCCAGAGGCCTAGAAGAAAATGGTTTCCTGGGCTGGGCCCAGGGTGCTCATGCTGTGTGCAGTCTAGGGACTTGGTGCCCTGTATCCCAGCTGCTCCAGCTGTGACTAACAGGGTAAAGGTACAGCTTCAGCTGTTGCTTCAGAGGGTGGAAGCCCCAAGCCTGGACAGCTTCCATGTGGTGTTGACCCTGTGGGTGCACAGAAGGCAAAAATTGAGGTTTGGGAACCTCTGCCTAGATTTCAGAGGCTGTATGGAAATGCCTGGATGCCCAAGCAAAAATTTGCTGCAGGGGTAGAGCCCTCATGGATAATCTCTGCTAGGGCAATGCAGAAGGAAAATATATGGTCTGAGTCTCCACACAGAGTCCCCACTGGGGCACCACCTAGTGCATCTGTGAGAAGAGGGCCATCATCCTCCAGATCCCAGAATGGTAGATCCACTCACAGCTTGCACTGTGCACCTGGAAAAGCCGCAGTCACTCAATGCCAGCCTGGAAAAGCAGCCAGGAAAGGGACTATACCTTGCAAAGCCACAGGGGCAGAGCTGCCCAAGACCATGGGAACCCACCTCTTGCATGAGTGTGACATGGATGTGAGACATGGAATCAAAGGAGATCATTTTGTAGCTTTAAGATTTGACTGCCCCACTGGATTTCAGACTTGCATGAGGCCTGTAGCCCCTTTGTTTTGGCCAATTTCTCCCATTTGGAATGGCTGTATTTATCCAATGCCTATACCCCCATTGTATCTAGGATGTAACTAACTTGCTTTTGATTTTACAGACTCATAGGCAGAAGGCATTTGCCTTGTCTCAGATGAGACTCTGTACTGTGGACTTTTAAGTTAATGCCAAAATGAGTTGAGACTTTGGGGGACTGTTGGGAAGGCATGATTGGTTTTGAAATGTGAGAACATGAGATTAGAGAGGGGACAGGGGAGGAATGATATGGTTTGGCTGTGTCCCCACCAAATTTCATCTTGAATTCCCACGTTGTAGGAGGGACCTGGTGGGAGGTAATTGAATCTTGGGCACAGATCTTTCCCATGCTGTTCTCGTGGTAGTGAGTAAGTCTCACAAGATCTGATTATTATTATTAGGGGGAGTTTTCTTGCACAAGCTCTCTTTGCTTGCTGCCATCCATGTACGACATGACTTGCTCCTCCTTGCCTTCTGCCATGACTATGAGGCTTCCCCAGCCACATGGAACTGTAAGTTCAATTAAACCTCTTTCTTTTGTGAATTGCCCAGTCTTGGGTATGTCTTTATCAGCAACGTGAAAACAGATTAGTACAGAATAAGCCATAATTTATTTATCAATTATATTGTAAATAGATTATTGAGTTGTTCCTCATTTTTCTGTTTGTGTGTTTGTTTTACTATTATGCAAATTTTGTTGCTTTACAAAAATTCTCATCTATGTCACATTATGCACATGTGCAAGAGTTTAACATACATACCTCGTAGTGAAATTTCTGGCTCATAGAAGAAGTACATGTTCCACTTTGCTAGGAATTGTCAAAATAATTTCTAAAATGTTTTTTTCAATAAAGAATTGCACCAGCAGAGAGAGAATGTTGTTGTTGTGTCAGCTTTCTGCCAAAAGTTGGTAATATCTGACTTTTCAGTTATCATCTTTTCCTTAAGGAAGACCTGCGTCTGTTTTGTATCTTAAGAAAACGTTTTTATTAATCCGATGACATACGTAATGAACTGAATGTTAAGTCCTTCCTAGTTTTATATGTTGAAGCTCTAACCACCAATGATGGTATTTAGAGGTGCGGCTTTTTGGAAGCAGGTAATTAGGCTTAGATGAGATTATGAGGATAGGGTCCTCATGATGGGGTTCATGCCTTTCTAGAAAGAAACTAGAGAGATTTCTCTCTCTCTCCACCATGTGAGGACACAGCAAGAAGATGACTAGCTCCAAGCCAGAAAGAATGCCCTCACCAGAAACCAAACTAGCCTATACCTTGATCTTGGATTTCCAGCCTCCAAAACTATGAGAAATGCATTTCTCTTATTTAAGGCTTTAAGCCTATGCTATTTTGTTGTGGAGCCCAAGCTGACTAATACACATACATATATTTTACTATATTGACATTGACCGAGTTTTGAACTTTTCATTTAATATTACTAGGATTAATTTTTGTTTATATGGAGTGGGTGTGCAATATCACATTTTTCACATCCATAACCCAAGTCCCAGCTTTTTAATTGAAATTCTGTAATTTCTGTACTAAGCTGCCATGCTATATCTATCACATTTTAAAAGTTCATGTATGAAGTTCAGCTCTTCTCAACTTAGATTCTATTTGATTCCTTGTCCTTGTTCTTTGTTCCTATTTTGTCTTTGTCTTTACTGTTTTTCTGTTTTGTTTCTTTTTGTGGTTTTAATTGAGCATTTTATGATTCCATTTTCTCTCCTTTTTTAGCATAACTAATTATACTTCCTTTTTTACTTTTTTTAGTGTTGCCCTGTAGTTTGCAATTTACATTTACAACAAATCTATACTCACTTTGAAATAATACTATAAAGCTTCATGTGTTGGTCAAGTGCCTTATAATAAAAAAAATAAGATCCTAATTTCTTCCTCCCTTTTCTTGTATTATTGTTGTCATTTCTTTCATTTATGCATAAGCACACATAAGCATACATATGTAATATGTATATATATAAATATATAAAATAATCAAATATATTGTGGTCATTATTTTAAACAGACTTTTATCAGTTGGGTTGAATAAGAAATATAAAAGTGTATATTTTACCTTGACACTTCCTTACTTGAATGCTCTTTCTTTATGTAAGTCCAGTTTTCTGACCTATTCTATTTTTCTTCTCTCTGAAGAACCTTTTAACATTTCTCGCAAGGCAGGTCTACTGGCAACAAATTTTCTCAATTTTTGTTTGTCTAAGAAAGTCCGTATTTCTCTCTCACTTTTGAAGGATAATTTTACAGGGTGTAAAATTCTAGGCTGGTGTGGGTTTCTTTTTTTTATTTTCTCAACATTTCAAATATTTTCCTCCACTCTTTTCTCACTTGTGTGTTTTCTGAGAAGTCAGATGTTATTCTAATCTATTCTTCTGTAGGTAAAGTTTGTTTTTTTTAAATTATTTCCTCTGGCTTCTTTCAAGTATTTTTTCTTCATTGATTTTCTGCATTTTGCATATAATATGCCTAGGTTTTTTGGCATTTATCTTTGTTGTTTTTTTCTGAGCTTCCTGGAACAATAGTTTGGTCTTTAACATTAATTTGGGGGAAACGCTCAGTCATTATTGTTTAAAACATTTCTTCTGTTTATTTCTCTCTCTCTTCTCCTCCTAATATTCACATTACACACACTTTATGGCTTTTGTAGTTGTCTCATAGTTATTGGACATATTTTTTCAATCTTTTTTTCTTTGCCTTTCAACTTTGGAAGTTTCTATCATGAGATCATTAGCATGAGGAAAACTCAGCAATTCTTTCCTCAGTCATGTCCAGTCTATTAATGAGCTCATCAGAGACATTCTTTATTTTATAGTGTTGTTGTTGTTCTTCAGCATTTCTTTTAGATTCTTTCCTCTTTCCACTCTTTTCATCTTTCTGCTTACATTGCCCATCTATTCTTGTATGCTATCTATTTTATCCATTAAAGCCTTCAGCATATTAATCATAGTTGTTTTAAATTCCAAATCTAATAATTTCAAAATCCCTGCCATATCTGAGAATGGTTAAAATGTTGTTCTGTCTCTTCAAACTTTGTTTTGCTTGGTTTGGGGGGAGTTTTCTTTCCTTTTATTATGTCTTATATATTTCTTTCTTTCTTTCTTCCTTTCTTTCTTTGGATAGCTGGATATGATTTATTAGGTAAAAGGAACTATGGTCAAGAGGCCTTCAGTGGCATGGTGGTAAGATGTGGGGAGAAAATCCTTGCTTAGGTCTGTCTGTTAGTGAGCCTGGGACTCTACACTGTGATCTTCACAACCGCTTCTGTTTCTGGCCTTAGGTGAAACAGGATGGCTAGAATGGGCTGAAGTTGGGTATCTCCCAGCCCCCAGATCAGTTAGGTTCTGACAAGACTCCAGCAGGTCTCCCAAAATATTTTCTCCTGAGGTAAGTCTTTGTAGAAAGTACAGAATGCTCTGGTATATTTCAGTATGGTTCCTTTTCCTCTCCTCTACTGGAAGCAGAAGGGATTTTTTTTCTCCAGACTTCGCTGGAAAATCCTGGTTGAGCTCTGAATGTAGAATACGAAAACTTTGGGACCTCCCTCCGTCAGGATTCCTCTGGAGTTTTAAATTATCAGACTTGTCCACACTAAGCTTTGAGAAATTCTTCAATTACAGTTTAGATTTTCTTACCCAAGCACTGGTTCCCATAGAGGTTTCTGTCTGTGGATTTCTGCTTTGGTAGATTGAGATTCTGTACATTTGCCTGTCTCTCCAAATTTGAAGATCAATGATTTTTCCCCTTGACTTCATTTATCTGAGAAATCTAAGAAGGATTGTTGATTTTCATTTGTTCAGGTTTTTCACTTGTTAGGATGGAGTGGCAACTTTCAACTCCTTACATGCCAAATCAGAAACCAGAAGTCCCCCAATGAATTTGTAAGTATTAACATTTTCTGCTGTAATAAACATTTTTTCTAATCTTTGTTAATGGTTAATATTTTAAATAAAGTTTTTGTTTCCATACAATAAAATTCACTGTTTTGCAACAGCTCTGTAACCGCCACCACAGCCAAGATATAGAAATATCTCCCCTCCAAAAATATTCAGTTGTATCCCTTTTTAGTGATCCTTATCATTGTATCAAGCTGTTGTGTACATCTGTAGTTTGTACCTCTTATTTGCTGTGTAGTATTCTGTTATATGGATGTACCAGTTTATTTACCTGTTCATCAAGTGAAGGATATTTGGGTTGTGTGCGGTTGTTAGCAATTATAAATGCTAACACTTATAAATGCTATAAACATTATTAATGAAGTAGAACTTGAAAAGCATTACCATTTGATAATAATAAACCACAAAATATTTAGGCATAAATCTAGCAAAATAGGAACAGGATCTATAAACTCAAACTGTAAATCTCATGAAAGAAAAGAGAACACCTACCAAATTGGGAAATAAAGTATTTTATATTATAAATATAACCCTGTAAGTATTCCATTATAAATATTCTAATATGTGATAATATATTATTGATTATAAATATTCTAATATTCAATGGTATAGTAAGAAAATAATTAACAATAACATATAGTATTTTTCAAAGAAGCTAGGTATTTGTAGTGTTCCCAACACAAAGAAAAATATTTTAGGTGATGAACATCCCAATTACCCTGATTTGATCAATACACGTTGTATACATATATCAAAGTATCACACATACCCACAAAATATGAACAACTATGATATATCAACAAAAATAAAAATAAATAAATATTTGTAGACAGGCTTTTGCATGAACATAACTTTTCATTTCTGTTGGGTAAATACCACTGGGATTGCTAAATCATATGTTAAGAATGTGTATAATTTTATAAGAAACTGCCAGTTTTCCACAGGAACGTGATAGCTTACCTTCTTACTAGCAGAGTATGAGCATTCTGGTTGCTGCTTATACTTTCCTGCACTTGGAATTATCCATTTTGTTGTGGTTTGTGTGTGTCTGTGTTTGGACATTCTAGTAAGTTAGTGGTGGCATGTAATTGTGTTTTTAATGTTCATTTTTCTAATGACTAATGATGCTGAGAATCATATGTAATTATTTGTCATTCATACACTGTTTTCTTGTGAAGTGTCTACACAAATATTTTGTCCATATTTTAAAACTGCCTTATTTGTTCTTTCCAAGCTAGGTTACTTGTAAATAGCTTATTCCAATCTATACTCTGTCTTTCAATCCTCTTAGCAATCTTTTTCAAAAGGCAGAGATCTTTATTTTGATGAAGACCAATTTATCACCTTTTTTTCTTTTATGGATCATAATCTATAGGTAGTAGCTAAAAAAACTTTGTCTAAGATGAGATTTAAAAATTTCCTTTTATGTTTTCCTCCAGAGGTTTTATATCTACAATTAGCTTTATGATCTGTTTTGAGTTGTTTTTTGCATAAAGTAAAACAAAGAGCTGAGGTTTTGGGTTTTGTTTTTATTCTTTTTGCATATATGTATTCAATAATTCTAACATGTTTTCCAAAAGATCATTTCTTCTTGAATCAATTAACATTGTTATTTTGTCTAAAAACAATTGATCATGAAAGAATGGGTGTATTTCTGGATTAACTATTATGTTATATTGAAACGTAGTTATCTTTTCAGCAAAACAACACTGTTTTATTGTTGAAGCTTTATAGGATGGCTTTAATTTTTTATCAGAACAAATTTTGTTCTTTTTCAAAATTGTATAGCTAGTCTAGTTTCTAGTTTATTTTTATCCCCATGTAAATTTTAGAATTAGATTTTTGACTTATGCACAAAAACATGCTGGGATTTTGATTGGAGATGCACTGAATCTCAACACAATTGCACTGAATTTAAACTAACATCAATATTCAGTATTCCAATTCATAAAAAGGCTGCATTTCCCAATTTTTTAGTGTTCTCTTTTCTTTCATGTGATTTACAGTTTAGTTTTAGAGATCCTGTTCCTATTTTGCTAGATTTATGCCTAAATATTTTGTGAGGTTTAGTATTATTAAATGGTAATGCTTTTCAAGTTCTACTTCATTGATAATGCATAGAAATGTAATTAACTTTTCTTTACTGACCTTATATCCTGTATTCTTGCTAAACTCATTTTTATGTTCTAGTGCTTATAGATTTCTTGGGATTTTTTAACATATAGAATCATATCTTCTGAGTGAATAATGATGATTTCATTTTTTAAGTCTTTAAGCTTTTATTTTATTTTATTTTATTTTTTGCTTCACTGTATTGATTAAGACCTCCAGTATAATGTTCAATAGGATTTGTGAGAGTAGACACCCTTGTGTCTTTCCCAAGATTAAGGGAAAGGCATTTAATTTTTCACCATCAGCTCTGATGTTAGCTAGAGGAATTATTGTTTGTTTTTAATGGGTTTCCCATTATTAGGTTAGGAACATTCCCTTCTAGACAAGCTGCTGAGAGTTTTAATCACAAACTGATCTTGGATTTTTTCAAATAATTTCTCTAATTCTCTTTGGAGGTTGTCATATGGATTTTCTTCTTTATTCTGCTCTTATGGGGAATCAGATTGATTGCATTTCTAGTGTCAAATGCTTTTTATTCCATTATAGGCTATCTTTTTGGTCATTATAGGCTATCTTTTATATATTGCTAGATAAATTTACTACTATTCCAATAAGAAAGTTTGTTTCTTTATTTACCATCAATATTGGATTGCAGTTCTAATTATTTATAATGACTGTGGTTTTGGTATCATAATACTAGCTGCAAAAAAAAACGTGTTGAGAAATATTCCACTCTCTTCTGTTTCTGGAAGTGTTTGTGTAATTAGTTTAATTTCATTAATACTTGTGTTTTTTCTTTCCTTCTATGTGCTCAGTATATAATTTATCCTTGTTTGTCTAAATTTTCTGAGTAGAAACTTAGATTACTGACTTGACCTGTAAAGTTTCTTCTTTTCTAAAATCGGAATTTAATGCTATAATTTCTTTCTAAAGACTAATTTAGCTGAATCAAACAATTTTGAAATGTTGAGGTTTTCCTTCGTTCCATATTTTTTAACTTTCCCTGTGATATCTTCTTTGACCCTTGGGTTATGTCTAAGTCTGTTGTTTGATTTTACATACTGCAAAATTTCCAGGTTTTTTGTTAACGAATTCTAATTGAATTGCAATTTGTTCACAGAAAATACTTTCTATAATTTTATTTTTAAAATATGTTTTATGTTTAGTTATATTGCCTAGAAAATGGTTTATCTTAATGAATGTTCCATGTGGTCTTGGAAAAAATCTTTTTCTACAATTGTGGAGTAAAATGTTTCATAAATGTTAATTAGGGCAAGTTGACTAATAGTGTTCTTCAGATCTTCAATATTATTGCTGATTTTCTGCATAATTGTTTTATTTATTGCTGTGAAAGAATAGTTGAAATATCCAAAAACGATTGTAGGTTTTTCTATTTCTTCTTTTAGTTCTGCCAGTTTTTGCACCACGTATTTTGAAGTTTTATTTTTAGGTGCATAGACATTAAATTTTTATATCATCTTTAAAATTTACCTTTTCATCATTATCTAGTGTCTTTTTATCCCTAGTAATAGTCCTTTTTCTGAAGTCTACTTTATCTGATATTAATAGCCTTCTAGTTTGCTTCCGATTTATTAATATAAATCATGATTTAGGCATTTATCCCTTTTGTAATTTGCTTAGCTTCTTAAATCTATAAATTCATGTCTTTTGCCCTTATCATAAATAATGTTACTGTGTATGTATGGATTTTATTCAGTCCCAACAGTCTGTTGGTCATCTATTCTTTTGCCAATACCGATTTGTTTTAATTACTTAATAAGCCTTAATATCTAGTAGTGAAAGTTCTATTAATATATTCTTGTTGCCCTCTCTCTCATGTATATTTATTTGTATGTGTGTCTGTATGTGTATACAGACTTTGTATATCAATTCACAGATATACAAATGCAAAATATTTGCTGAGATAACTAGTTTTTGTCTTTGTTTTGCCAAGTAGTATTGGTTGGACAGTCAGTGAAATGTTGTGTGAACGGAAAATATCTTGGGACCCCAAAATCACTAAGGAAAACTTAAGTTGGAAATTGCTTAGGGAAAACCTTCCTCTCGTTCTGTTCAAAGTCACTAAGATAGATACATACCTGATTGCCTCCTTTGGAGAGGCTAATCAGAAACTCTTGTTTGTCTTTAGTTAAATTGATTCCTAAGTATTTTGTGAGGTTTTATAACTATTTTATGAATGTTTTATTTTAAAGTTGTTTGTTTCTAGTATATACAAAACCAAAACTTTTTGTAAATTAAACTTGTATCTTTTCACCTTGCTAAACTTTTCTTTTTTGCTACATTATAATAGCCTCCCCTGCCCCCCATAAAATAGTGAATGAGAGTGGTAAAAACAAGCACCTTCACATCATGATCAAACTTCGATATGTTGCAATTAAAAGTGAGACTAGCTGTAACATTTTTTTAATTAATTTTTTTTGCTTTTTCTTGTTCTTTTATATATATATAAAATACTTTAAGTATTATAACTATATTATATATATAATATATATAAAATACTTTAAGTTCTAGGGTACATGTGCACAACATGCAGGTTTGTTTGAGACAAAGTCTCGCTCTGTCACCCAGGCCAGAGTGCAGTGGCGCGATCTCGGCTCACTGCAAGCTCTGCCTCCCAGGTTCACACCATTCTCCTGCCTCAGGTTCCCAAGTAGCTGGGGCTACAGGCGCCCGCCACCACACCTGGCTAATTTTTTTAGCTGTAAGATTTCTATAGGTTACCTTTGTTAGTTTTTATCTTGAGTGATTGTTGAGTTTTATCAAGTGGTTTTCCACAATTTTTGAAATTACCACCTGACAGTTCTGCATTATTCTGTTAGCCTTGCAAAGCACATTGATTATTTTCTAAATGAAAACCATCTTTGTATATTCGAAGTAAACCCCACTCTGTCATGCTGCATTCTTTTATATGTGTCTCTGAAATCATTCTGTTAATATTTTGTTAAAGAACTTGTAGTTGTATTCCCATAGACTCAAAATAGGTCTATAGTGGTCTGCAGTATATTTGAAATGTCTTTGTATTTTGAAGGTATAAAACATACTGTAAGCTGTTCCTTCCATCCCTATTTTAGGGAAAAAAAAATGCAGTTTTCTGTGTAAATTTCATGAAATTACTATTTATATTTATATTTTTCTGTGTTTTTAACAGTTTTTGAAGTTTCTGAATTTAGTTTTCAATTCTTATGTAGTTTATCTGTAAATTCTTGGGATTTCCTCCACATAATATCAATCTATCTTTAAATAATGACAGTTTTATTCCTTATCTAACCTACTATTTTTTTGTCTTGTTTCATACGTTGGACATGCAGAGAAATGTCAATGTGCTTTGCATGCTTTAAAAATTCCTTATAATACTCATATTAAATTGAGAACTTAACATGACTAGAGGCTTGAAATCAGTAAACAGGCTATTGCACCAGTCCAAAAAAGGTGATTATATGTTCCTGAATAAAGAAATATAACAAAAATATATATTTTAATACGAGAAGAAATGGGAAGAGAATGGATTTGAGAGAAATTTAAAAGATATACTTCATGATAATGAAATAGGAATGAGTTATTTGTGGACAGGTAATAAAGTCCAGATGACTGCAGAAGAGAATAGGGGACATTCATGTGAGAATAACTACATATTAAAATAAGATAATCATATTCTTGTAAAGGATGCTTTATTTTGAAATGAAGAAAGACAAATGTCTTTCAGTAGTGGTCAAATTCTCCAGTCACAAAATAGTTGAAACTGCAAAGGAAACATTTTAGCTTCAAATAAAATTATTTTCTTTATTAGAATATTTGTTTATAATATAGTTCAGTAAGAAAAGTGAGTTTTGACATAAATATGTTTTATTAATGTCTCTGGAACACATGTAGTTTTTCAGTTTGGTCTATACCTATCATGATAAGATTGAGAAAATTATGTAAACTGTCAGCCTGAACAAAAAAGGTATGGCAAAAATGTGATATGACAAACAGCATCCTATGATGGAACCAGAAAATGATAGCTTGATGTCTGTCTTTAGCACATGTGATAAAGAATGGGGAAACAAAAACATTACCAAACATTTCTCATCAATCTTGACAATAATTAGGTGCTTCTACCACAATAACGAGCTTAGTATTTTGGAGATGAGTGATTACTGGTAAAAATACAGTGTTTCATAATTTTTATAAGGAGTACAAGAAACTCAAACTAACCATTTAGTATGTGGTGAATATGCCTTTGAGTGATTTTTATATTTATTGCAATATAAACTGCAGGAGTATTTATGTGTCACAGTAGCAATAATGTAAGAAGATTAAATCAAGATTCCTACTCTCTCCAAATACTATAAAGATATCATAAACCTTAGATTATAAACAAAGTTGAGGTTAATATTTACCTTAAATAATTTAATACCTAACTTCAATAAAATATCTAAAAATTAAGCACTCAAACCTGATTGTATGAATATAGGGAATAAGAGTGAGTGTTCTAATATGAATATATTTGATATCTAATGAACACATGGCAATGTGAAGCAAAAAGGTAAAAAATTAATGTTTAATAGAAATAGTGATAGTTGGCACCATTTTTTATTGTATTTAAAATGAGTGTGTTCAATGTTTCGAAATAAATGTAATTATTACTATTGTTATTTCCCCCATGCCATTTATTGTTTTAGTTTAAGGAAGCTTCTTGCTCATTCTAGTTTAAGACCTTAAATTAGTGAACATGTTTTACAATTTATCTACATTAAAGTTACATCTATATGATGGTCATATTATCACACTTTTATTGCAAATTTTTAATGTGGAAAAAATAACTGATTTTCCAATGTTAAATAAACCTTACAGAACTGCTAGACTAACTGCTATGGCTATCTGAAGAAATTAGCAAATACTCTTCCTCCCAAAAAGTAGAAATCTTGGCAAAATTGTTAGAAATAACCATGTCAGTGCCATGAAAATTACCCAAAAACAAACATCAAATTTAAAACCATTTATCATGAAAAGCTGCTATGAATAGCAGGACATTGTAGTCTTTTTTATCAGAATTTCTCCTATTCCCTCTAGGTCGGCAGTGTTCCCAAGGCAATGCTGGCTATTAGAAATAATAGTCATGCTGCCAGGATAAATGGATTTGATTCGAGACAGATTGTGGAAATACATGAAAGTGGTTTGTTGATGAAAGTAGAAACCTCAGTAGAAAACAAATGAGAAACCTTCAGAGCTTTGCTAGCCTAAGTTTATGGAACTGGTTATGGGAGTGGAATACCAGTCAGATTTTATGGGGTAGTTATATGTGAGAGAGCCATGCAAGAGACAAATAAGTTCTTCCTACATCCATAGCTGACTAAGAAATTAGTCAAAAAAGAGATCCATAACAGGCCCACAGAAAGCAAAAAATCAAAGGTAGTGTATAAAATGGTCAAACTTCAAAGTGCTCACAAATCCACATACAAATCCAATGACAAAGGATGAAAAGCCATATAGACTTGAGATGTTTGACTATATCTGTTCAAATAATTAACTGATCACTCATTTATGCAGTCATAAGAGCAACCAGTAAGAAGTCAAGCAAAGTAAAATAAAAAATAATAAAACATAATTAAATACATAAGTGGCTACACCCCATGAGGAAAATAGATTCATTGTTTAAGACAAATTACAAAAATCCTTCAGAGAAATATATCAGAATCAAGAGTTGCTAAAATACATTATATAAATTTTTATTTTTCAACAAAACATGCAACATGGAAAGAAACAGTAAATTGAGACCTATACTTGGAAAAAATAAAAAGCAGGCAATAGAAACTGATTCCAAGTGGGCCCAGATGTTAGCTTAGCAGAAATATTTCAAAGTAGCTATTCTGAATGTATTTAAAGATTACACGACAGTATGAAGACAATGGTTCAAAAATGAGAATCTCAGTAAATGCATAAAAACTAAAAAATAAAATGAGAAATTCAGAACTGAAAAATATAATAAACAAAATAGAAAATTCACTAAAGAAATTTAAAAGCATATTTAAGATGGTAGAAAAACAACAATCAGTAAACTCGAAGATTAGTCAATGAGAATTATCTGGTTGAATAACAGAGAAAGAAACAAATGTATCAATTAAGAGAGTCTTAACATACACACACACACAAGTATATGTGTGTTTAAGAGTAACAGTACTAAAAACAGGGAGAAAGGGAATTATATTGGAGCAAAGTTTCTATTTTCAACAGAATTAACCTGAAGTACATTGTGATTAGTTAAAATATGTAATGCCATACCTACAGCTGTCACCACCAAAATTCATCTTTATTTAGATGAATGAGAAAGGAATGTATGAGGCCAGTTTCTCCCTGTTTCTACCTATGGTTTCTACTCCTTCTCACCTATTTATATTCTCTTGGGCTTCTTCAGAGCAGAAGTTAACTGCTGCTCTAAAGGTGATCTGGCAAATTGTACTCACCTGGTTTGGCAGATGTTTAAACTTACATTTTCTCAAATGGACCCTTTTTCTTGGGTGTACTTGAAATGTAGCTCTCCACCCAATCATTGGTGATCTCTCACTTGAGCTTTCTTTAGTGTGTGCAAATCATCTCCTCTTTCTGATCCTTCTGCATCCTAAGCTATATTTTTATATTATTTCTTTTCTGGTCTTTCCCCTCCAGGCAGTTCTCTTGGGCAGGATCTAAAACCCCTCCCTAACAAGACCTCATCTTCAGAGGAGCCAAGAAGTCACGGTCACACATACTTAAGATTTTTCAGGCACGATTCAGAACAAGTTCATCCCATACAACATGCTCCAAGAAACCCAAATACACTATCCCAGTGGCATTCCTTAGGCTTCTTTTTCTAGACTTGAGTATAGAACAAGGTATTTAATTTTTCCCATTGAGACATGGGAGACAATAACAGTCCCAGCAACCCAACAGCTCTCCAGAATTATCTTCAAATAGTTATCTTCTCTCTCTCACACGGTACCCTCTTTGGGGTTGACAGCTGAGCATTGCAAAACTGGTTTTTGACCATGTTCTGTTTTGATGATTCTGCCTTTTGGTAGCATATATAATTGGAGCTATGCTCCTCAGAACCGGACCAAAACTGAGGCAGCCGAACTCCCATTTTTAGCACTTTCCTATATTAGTGTTGGAACCCAACTTGGTCTTAAACTTTCTTACAATACATATTGATATATTTGTGCATAATGTTTAAATAGCCTTAACAATAATTCTGTTGATCTGTGTAGATCTCTGATCTACACAAACACTCTAATACCAGCCTCCATTAATAGGAAGTTTGGGATGACTCAGCCTTTATAAGAAAAAAAATCCTTGAATATTATTCCATCATTCATGCTTTGTTCTATTTCCATGTGTTCTTGATTTCTAATCTCCAATTTTCACTTCTATTTTGGGCCCCACTCTCACCCTTTGGGCTAATAAGAGATATAGCTTCTTTTCTTTTTACCATTTTTTAATATCTTTTGTAAGACATTATTTTCCACCAATTTCCTACCTCTACTGGCTTCAGATAAATTTGGGTAATTGTCCTATCCATTTGGGCACAGTTGTTCTCCTCCACTGAAACTGACCTGTTGGTTTCCTAAGGAAGGATTACAATTTATCCATTTGCATGCTAGAACTCTAATACCAATTTTGGCTTTGTTTAGCATTCCCAGATGGGCCCTAGGCACATGGGAGGAATTGATGAAATTGAACTAGTAATCTAAAACTTGGCACAACCAAAAGAAAATGCACTTACTGACCTAAAGACACAGTGAACATTTTTACAGTTAATAAAGATAAACTCAGAGGAAAAGGTTCTGTTCAGGTTATAAATTTTAGTAGTATAAGCATGAGAGGATATAGTCTGCTTTGATAGAAGTAAATATAGAAAGAATTGTGGAGATTATTTATCAGGAATAAAAAGATTAAGGAAAATGAGATGTCTATGAATCTATATACCTGAATATACAATTATATTTGATCTGATTGAAAAGAGAGGCAACTTTTTAACATACGAACTTTAAGTCCCTAATGAACCTGTATCACTGGAGCTATGAACAAATATATTGGCAAATTATGTATTGGCAAATTATGTGAATTGTCCATATAATTTAAATCAAAACTATGCATGTGTGCCTATAGTATTGATTTGCAATATCTGTTAGCTAATTTTGTTTCCTTTTTATCACTGAATAACTTGATGGATCATCTATAAAAGTAAAATACAATTACTGGGGAAATATTCATGCCACCTATATCCTATCAGGTCATACTCAATAAGTTTAAATTCTATAGGTAATATTCAAATAATACTCCCCCAAAATAGATTCTACAACATCTTATATGACTTATTTAGATGCATTATTTTAACTTTAAATAGTTTTTCATGTAATTCAGTTAGACTCAGAGTGTAATAAATAAATTATTGGTCAAAGAGCACAGAAAACTTCATAAGTCATTTGGGCACCTATCAGTTTACAGTATCAAAAGTGTATAAACAACTCACTTTCTAAAATACTTAGTAGACTACACAGAAGTTACTATATATTTTCTTCACAGATTAACATAGGAATGTGCTGCAATAGGCCTCTCTATTGTCATTTAGTCTCATCATTACTTAGCCAAATCCCAGATCACATGCCCCAACCCCCAATTTGATAGTACTTCAGACCCCCCACTGCAAACAAATAAACTAATAACCGTTTTTATCTTCACTTTGCAGTGCAGTTGCAGAAATCACTTATCTTTTACTAGTTCATTTGTTTTCTAGAGACAAACCACTTAATGAAATTTCAGAGAATTTTAAATAGTCAACTGTTCAGAATTCATCATATTAACAACTAGACCATTTGAGGTAGGAACCACAACCATGTTACTGCATGGGCCCTCCTCAAATGCCAAATCAATGAAGACTATCATTGATGATTGATAAATATATATTTGTTTAATTGATATTACACTGTACACTGTAGATTTGGCCAAAGGGAACAATGAAGTCAATGTCATCTCTCAAAATAAAATTATTGTCCTATTTTTTCAAACATCTCACTTTCTCATTTAATGGAAATTATCTTAACATTTATGTAATACACACCTAATTGAAGAAAAACCTAGAAACAAATAGTCATAATTTTTACTTGATATGTAAGTTAATCAACAGAACCTTAGAAATAAGTTATGAATCATTTTGATTTGACAGGGTGATATAATTAGATTTTGGCTATAATGTTGATTAATGCAGATGGTTTCTGGTAGAACTTTATTAATTAAAAACAAACAAACTTTTAATTAAATGAAATATTTTAGGTCCTTATTCATGTTAGGAGAAAGATAAAGATACAAAAGATAAAAGTTTCTATACAAACCAGAAGTGGACATTTTTGATTAAAAATATTTTCAAGAAAGTTATACCAAATACTCTCACTCTCTGCTTTTACTGTTGTCATTTTTAAAATGAAGAGCCTTAGGGAAAGGATGATGACATTTAAATAATAAAACTAATGTTTATTAAATATTTACTATGTTCAGGGCACTGTGTTAAACATTTTCTATGCATTATCTACTAGAATACAGAAACAAGGGTATGAAATACATTGTTAGGTATTTCAAATTGAAAATTAATCAAATTGTCTAAGGCTGACAGTAAATTTTGGAATAAATCCATGCTGCCTGACATTGAACCTGAGTTTTAACCACTGTTATAATTGTATAAGATAATATTATATTATAAAAACATGATAATGTAGAATTATATAATAAAAAACAGTATAATATAGTGTTATATTATTAAAACTTTATGATATAGTATTGTATTAGCAAAATAGTATAATATGGTATTATATTAAAATACTATTATAATAACATTAGAATTTAGTATTATAATAACATGACAGTATTATCTTAACACTTTAAATCTTATATGAAAACAACATTATAATATGGTATTATAATAACTTATAATGTGGTATTATATTATAATAACATTATAATATAGTATTACAGGTAGGTTTTACTTTGGTTCCTTATATTACTTATTTTTCATTCCGTCTTCACTTTTGGATGATCACTTACTATAGTACTATTGTAACATGGTATTATATTGTGATAACATTATAATATAGTATCATGTAATATTATATCCTAAAGAAATATACATATATATAATCATATATACATATGTAGATGAAATATATAATCTTGATTGTCTCCACAACAAGGCAAAAGTAGACTAGGCTTTAGATATATTTTCAACCAGGGATAAGTTTCATGCCAAGTAAGTAAACAGATTAAATTTTGCTGTAATGAGTTTTCTTATATACCATTGTTCTTCATGTTCTGAAGCAAGCCTTAGCAGCTTCATGTGAACATGACTAAGAAATCCAGTTAACAGCAGTGTCCTCCTGGAGTTCTCTCTTGAAAGTTGATATTCACAGCTACTATTTGCTAAACCTCAAAAATAATCATCCAACAGTGAAGAGAAGGAAGCAAAAACAAATGATAGAAGGAACCAAAGTAAAGCCTACCTATCTTTGCTGGGTAAATGGCATTTAGTGCTGTGTCTAAGACCTGTAGTGTAGGGAAAGTGATCAGACTGAAAATAAAGAATTGTGATTAGACTTTAACATATTGCTAGCCATTTAAAGAAATGTTAAAATGCTAGCCATTTAAAGAAATATGATTAAATCAGGCCAGCACATTCTAGAAAGAAAAGAATAGTTTGTATTTTCTCTACAAAATTACCTTTTAGAAATGTATTTGAGACTTCCAGTGTAGAAAAGATGACATAGACCCATGTTGCTCTTTTTCTCTCTGCTAAGCACAACTATAAATCTTAGAAATGATAAAGAGATAACCAAAGGAGAACTCTGAAATGGGTAAGAAGAAGAGAATCTGGTTTGGGATCCCAGGACTGGAGGAACAACAGTAGGATATCTTGCATACCACCACCCAACAGAGGAAGACCACCCAGACCTGACTGTTCTTGATCTCTATTTGATCAACAAGAGGCAAGTCAAATAGTCTCATTCCTCCCATGGACCAAATGGGAGTCTCTCTGATGACATCACGAGAGCCTATCAATACTACCAAGAGAAATCAGCTAAATGTATCTACAGAAATAAGCAGTTAAGAGAAGTATTTCCTGTCCTTACTAGGCCTGAGAAAGTTCTTTTCTACTTAGGGATACTCAGGCAGGCAAGTAGCACTGGCAAGGGGGACTCAGCCATAACAAGTGTCCCATCCCAGATGCCTCTTTGTCCCTGAGACCGTCATACCCTGCCACAGACAGTGGGGTGGGGGCAGGAAAACAGAACTGCCAAAAATGAAACAGCCATAACAAGCAGCCTGGTCCAGGGAAGTCTCTTTTTCCCCATGGGCCCAAGATCCTTGATATGGTTTGGTTGTGTCCCCTCCCAAATCTCATCTCGAACTGTATTCCCATAATTCCCATGTATCGTGGGAGGGAGCTGGTGGGTGATAATTGAATCATGGAGGCAGTTTCTCCCATACTGTTCTCATGACAGTGAATAAGTCTCATAAGATCTGATGGTTTTAAAAAACGGGAGTTTTCCTGCACAAGCTCTCTCTTTGCCTGCCACCATGTATGTAAGACGTGACTTGCTCCTTCTTGCCTTTCACCTTCTACCATGATTGTGAGGCCTCCCCAGTCATGTAGAACTGTAAGTCTAATAAACCTTTCTTTTGTAAATTTGCCAGTCTTGGGTATATCTTTATCAGCAGCGTGAAAACAGACTAATACAACCCTCCTCCCCCATTCAAAGATGTCCAGTTGGGGTTGTGGAAACAGTAAAGGAGAATCAGTCATATCTAGCTACTTGGCCTGGGAAGCCTCCTTGTTCTTTATGGCTTGCAACTCTCCTGTACTCCCTAGAGATACTTGGGCAATCAGGGTACACTGGTAACAGGGATCCCACCATACCACTTCCTCTCAGAGAGACACCTGGAAGCCAGGGGTGGGGAAATTCATCCTCCCTTCCCACACACACACTTTAGTCAACATTAGCAGGGACCAGTGAGAACTGCAGTAGCACAAGAGAAATAAAACAGATCTAAATAATACCATAAAGGCTCTGTAAATTAAATTGCTGCTAGAACTACAGCCTATAAGAGAAGGCTAATTCACATGATAAACAAAAACAAGGTGACTGTCTACTCAAATAGAAGTTATAAACAGAAACCAGAGTCTCCTAACACAATAGATAAAATGTCCAGCATATATTCAAGAATTACCCTTCATAACAAGAATTAAGAAAATTCACAACTTGAATGAGAAAAGATAGTCAACTTATAAAAACACTGACAGAAATCACGTTAGAATTACCTGACGAAGATTTTACGGCAGCCATCATAAAACTGCTTTAAGAATAAATTTCAAATTCTCTTGAAGCATATAAAACAAAATAGAAAATCTCAGCTAAAGAATAGAGGTTATAAGAAAATCCAAGTTGAATTTTTCAAATTGAAAAATACAATAACAAATTTTTAAAAACTTGTTGGGTGGACTTAATAGTAGAGTACAGATGACAAAGGCTACGAGCAGTGAATTTGACAGAACAACAAAATTCATCCATCTGAATAACAGGGACAAATGGAATAAAAATAAATGAATAAACAGAGCCCCTGGAATTTGTGGAACAATATCAAAAGATCCAACATTACTATCATTGGAATCCTCAAAAAGAAAAGAAAGAAAGCATAAACTTAGAGTATTTGGAAAACTAATGCCAGAAAACTTCCCAAATTTGAAAAAAGACACAAGCCTGTAGGTTCAAGAAGCTGATTAAACTTGAAACTGGGTAATCGCAAATGACAAGACACATATTAATTACACTTTTGCTAAGTAAAGGCGCACTGACTTCCAGCAAGGATGTAGAGCAAAAGCAATTCTCAAACATCACTGATGGGAATGAGAAACAGCACGGCCATTTTGGAAGACAGTTGGTAGTTTCTTACAAAGCCAAACCTATTCTTACTGTATCAGTCAGGGTTCTCTAGAGGATAGAACTAATAGGATAGATAGATACATACATACATACATATATATATACACACACACACATACACACGTGTATATATATATATTATATATATATAATATATATATAATATATATATATCATAGATATATATATAAAGGGGAGTTTATTAAGGAGTATTAACTTCCACAATAACAAGGTCCTGCAATAGGCCACCTGCAAGCTGAGGAGCAAGGAAGCCAGTTCGAATCCCAAAGCTGAAGAACCTGGAGTCTTATGTTCGAGGGTAGAAGGCATCCAGCAGGGGAGAAAGATGTGGGCTGGGAGGCTAGGCCAGTCTAACCTTTTCATGTTTTTCTGCCTGCTTTATATTCCTTGGCAGCTGATTAGATTGTGCCCACCCAGAAGAAGGGTGGGTCTGCCTTCCCCAGTCCACTGACTCAAATGTTAATCCCTTTTGGCAGCACCATCACAGGCACAACCAGCATTAATACTTTGCATCCTTCCACCCAATCAAGTTGACATTCAGTATTAACTACCACAGTGACCATGTAACTCAGTAACTATACTGGTAGATATTTACCCAATTGATCACAAATCTTATGTCCACACAAAAATCTGCACATTGATGTTTATAGAAGCTTAATTTATAATCTCCAAAATAATAGAGGCAACCAAGATATTCTTCAGTAGTTGAATGGATAAATTGTGCTATTTTTATACAATGGAATATTATTGAACAACAAAAAGAAATGAGCTATCAAAGCCATGAAAAGACATGGGTGGATCTTAAGTGAATATTTCCAACTAAAAGAAACCAGTCTGTAAAGGCTGTATAATGTGTGATTCCAATTATATGACATTCTGGGAAAAGTAAAACCATAGAGTTTTACTCTATAGAGTTTAGTTTAGAAAAGTAAAACTACAGAGTTTTACATAAAATGACTTAGTTGCCAGGAGCTCAAGGGAAGGAGGGAGGGTTAAATAGATGAAACAGGCCAGGCGCGGTGGCTCATGCCTGTAATCCCAGCATTTTGGGAAGCTGAGGCGGGTGGATCACGAGGTCAGGAGATCGAGACCATCCTGGCAAACATGGTGAAACCCCTTCTCTACTAAAAATTAAAAAAAAAAATAGCTGGGCATGGTGATGGGCACCTGTAGTCTCAGCTACTTGGGAGGCTGAGGCAGGAGAATGTTGTGAACCCTGGAGGTGGAGCTTGCAGTGAGCCCAGATCGCGCCACTACACTCCAGCCTGGGAGATAGAGCGAGACTCCATCTCAAAGATAATAAAATGAATAAATAAATAAATGAAACAGAGAATTTTTAGGGCAGTGAAACTATTCTGTATATCACAATAGTACTTATATGATACTATGCATTTTTCAAAACCCATAGAACTTTATAGCACAAAGATTGAACGTCAAAGCATGCAATTTGTTATAAAGCATTTAGGAGGTCAAGAGGAATCCTAAGATGGAATGGAGAATGTGACAAAGAAATTTACCTGTATTCAATGAAACAATCTCACTGAAGAGGGAGGGGTAAAAGTTGATGACCTGAGTAAATTTGAAATTAGTGGTGTCTGTAAGAATAAAGGCAAAATGAATTACACATAAATGCCATTGCACTGGTGTTGATAAAGTTTTTTCCCACAAGGGTACACAAGAAAAATTTTGTATCACATCCACAAATTTATATATTGAAGACCTAACCCACAGTATCTCAGAATGTGAATAAATTTGAAGACAGGGCTTTCAAAGAGATGAGTAAGTTTAAATGAAGCTGCTAGGGTGGGCCCTAATTCAATCTGGCGTGATTATAAGAACAAGAAACATGGATATATTTAGAGATAGCAGGGCACCCATGCACAAAAGAAAAATCACCCAAGGGACACAGCAAAAAAGCCACCCTGCAAGCCAAGGACAGAGGACTCAGGAGAAACCAAACTTGCTGACCTCTTGATCTTGAACATCCAGGTTCCAGAACTGTGAGAAAACACATTTCTGTTGTTTAAGTCATCCTGTCTGCAGTATTTTATTATGGCAGCCCTAGCAAACGAATACAACCACTGATACCTGTATACTTGAAATGAATAATTAAGTAAATGATGGTGGGAGACAGGTTTCTCATCACTGAAATAGGAGGTTACAGAAAGGCAAAGGGAAGAGGCTAGAATGATCCATGTGATATAGAATTGGAAACAACAGTAGGAATGCATGTTTGCTGAATACAGATACAGATATTATATATAGAAATACCTATAGACTTGTATATATGCATGGATTAGTATGTACACAGTATTTCCTTGCTCTGACAGAAGAGATCCCAGAAACATCAATACTCCAGAAAACTCAGAAGAGTTAGAATCAAAATCTTGGCTGCTAAAGCCATTTTCCAACAAAACAAAAAATAATTCTTGGGAGAAATGACTGCATGACTCATTATCAAATTCAATAATATAACAAAGTTGAAAACAAAATATGATAAAAGAGTCATACTATGCAAATATCAATACAAATGATTTTAAAGAGGTAATTACATTAATCTGAAAAACTAAACTTCAGAGCAAAGAAAATTACCAGGGAAGGTCATTGCATAATGAAAAAAAAAATCAGCCCACAAAGATCTAATGATTCTAGGTGTGTAGATATCAAACAAGAGTCTCAGAATACATGCATTAAAAACTGTAGGACCTAAAGGAAGCAATTGATAAGTCTATGCTTATAGTTTCAAATTTCAATGATCTCCTCTTGGCAATTCTGTAACATTTCTTTGGAGATATTATTAAATAGGAGTATTCAAAAATATCAAATATATAAGTTTTAAACTTGCTCATGTGTATTTAAAAAAATTATAGCATGTTTTCACCATCCTGAGATAAAATTAGTCAAGATCCAGGCATAAGGACCTAAGTACATGAGTGCCTGCTTAGATGTTTTTGTGAAATTGGAACAAAGGACTGCTCCTCAATGGTCAGGTATTTTACTCTGTTATGCAAGCATGTAATAATGCATGTTCTAGATATTTGCAAATTATGAAATAGGCCACTACTATCAAACAACTTCATTAAATCAAGAAATTATTTTGAGTAAGACACTATTGGAGATTGAGAATCTCCAATTATTAACACTGGATATCCTATAATTTAGATAAAAACTTTTAAAAAATGCAATTCAGTCTTTTAATAGAAGTGAAGAGTGGCTTGACCTAATGTGGCAAAACTAAAATAAAATAAATCACCTAGTCATCAGAGACAAAAGATTTATATTTATTTACATACTAGGAAACAGGGAATAGCCTGCCAATAAACATATTGATAGCGTCATCTGTGTCCAAATGTATGAATTTGTTACTCCTTTAAGTATTTTACGAAAGTAGTGTAGTGGCTCTTTTATTTATTATTTTTATAGTTATTAGTATTGATTAAAGATAATATATTGACCCAAGCAGATCAAAAAGGACAAAAAGCACCTTGAAATAAACAATACTTTCTTTTGACTTAAGTGACTTCTGTAGACACTAACTTTGCAAATTATTGATATTGGGTGTATGGATTGGTGTCATTATGTATGCTTATTGGATTTTCTTAATGACACTACTGTGTTTTAAGGACACCTCCAGGCACCCAATAAATACTACTGACTGGCCAAGTAACTGTTCTTCATTTATTCTCCTATTAGGATATATTTAGATCTGATTACTTCTGGGATCTTGTAATACAGTCATCTTCAATTATCCATTGTTCTTCCTGAAAACAACCAAATGTAGGCTTACCATATGTAAAAGTAGATACTAAAAGACTTATAGAAGAAAAATAAAGATTGAGCACTCATAGCAAAAATGTCAAAATAGTTTTATCACCAAGGTTCTGTAACTAATAAATGAACAGAAAGAAAAGAAATATTTTACTTAGTTCTCCATCACTCTGACAATTTTTATTGTTGTAAATACACTTTTTGAGTAGTTTATTGTTTTTTTCCAAAAATCTAACATCATATTTTTTTTGGAACCCCCTTGCTTTGGAAAAATTATTGTAATCCTTAAAGTTAAACAAACGCACACACATTCACAACACACACATGCACACACACACACACACACACACACACCCAGATTTCCATCTTGACCTATCTCTTTTGTAGTTGTGTTAAAATGGATTCATTACTATCCTATATTTTAAAAGAACAAATGCCTTACTGCAAAACTCACTGCATAATGATATCAGCTTTATCGGATTGGGCTGTGATCTCTATATTACAATACCTCATGCTCTGATAATATTCTCTAAACAAACTTAAAAATACATTCCCCTTATCTTTTCCCCAAAGTAGATATTGAATAAGTATTTGTTGACCTAGTTTTCTTTCTTTATTCTTAAACATTCACAAGAATCACTCAAATCTGGAAAAAGTTTAATAAGAAAAATTTACAACTTAAGTTTGCATGTACAATTAATTCAAGTTGTTTAGAGTCAGATTACAAATATTAGCTGTGTTTCTTAGTGGAATTTTTTTAAATGTGCAATACTATAATTTGACTTTTTTAATACAAATGAGCTTTATCTCAAAACTTTAATAAAAAATAATCAGAACTAGAAAAATGTAAAATGTTTTCATCCTTCTATATTTTAAATCATGTAATGGGTCATTTTTGTAAAGGCAAAATTGATGAAATCTACTTAAATTAAAATGTGTAATCCTAAAGATTTACTAAATCCACTAATCTAGTTTTCCCTCTTAGGAATATTTAGAGTGATCAGAAAGAACCTAACATATTTAAACATAAAATGGTCAGAACTTAGAATATATTGCATATTTATTTGATTCATTTTCATTTATACATATAGAAACAGATTATTTTTGTGTATTTTAAATAATTATTTCTCACACTAAAACAATTTGACCTTTAGTGCTTATTTCAATTATTGTCATTTTGACTTTAACTTGGAAAGATAGAGGATATACTGGTGTTACTACTTCATAAACAGATTTTAAGAGCTTGGGGTCTGAAGGGATATACTGTGGTGTGGTACATGTAATTCTTACCCCACACTTTCTAACTGCTTGGCCTTGGACAAGTTACTGAAACTTCTCTGGGCTTCAATTTTCTCAAGTAAAAATGGGATATGCTAATATTTACTTTATAGGTTTGTTGAATAGATTAACTGTATTATACTCAAAATACTTCTTTGAACCTAGTACACATTAATATTAGCTGAATAAATATATATTAACAAAACTATTAAATATATACACTTTATTGATGGATTGAGAATCTCCTATTATGATTTACCATGGTCCAGGCACTGTGACAACAACTATTTTACACACATTATCTCTTTTTTTAAGAAAAATTTTTGACAAGTAAAATTTATATAAATGTATAGCAAGGGCTCACACCTGTAATCCCAGCACTTTGGGAGGCCAAGGTGAGGGGCTCAATTGAGACCACGAGTTCAAGACCACCTTGGCCAACCTGGTGAAACCTGTCTCTGCTAAAAACACAAAAAGTCAGCTGAGTGTGGTGGCACGCAGCCATAGTCCCAGCTGCTTAGGAGTTGAGGCACGAGAACCACTTGAACCCGGGAGGCGGAGGTTGCAGTGAGTAAAAATAGCCCTCCTGCACTCCAGCCTGGGCGACAGAGTGAGATTCTGTCTCAACAAAAAAATTATATAAATTTATAACATACAACATAAATGTATAATTATTATGCTGTCATATATATATACATATATACATATACGTGTGTATATATATATATATGTAATATTTTAGTGACTAAATTAGAAGTTAGCAAGTCAGTTTATATTTACCTTCTCTATTTTTAGAATATGTATGTTTTCTTTTAAATTTAGCAATGTGTAGGAAAGATAACAAAAATTACTCTCACTGCTACCATTCAGATAGTTCTTTTAATTTTTTTAAAAAATAGTAAATTACACATATTTTAAATGCAAATGACAAAAATCAAAATTAAAAACAAAACCCCATCCTCTTTTCCTAAAGCTATTAACCCAAAAACTATTTTTTGTGTATTCTCCTAGAAAAATCTTACATATATAAAATATATGTGAAGACACTATATTATATTTTACGTTTTGTATGTACTGATTTACATCTTGCTTTTCACTTAATTGTATATATTAATATATGTCCACATACATGCATCTTTCTTTGTTTTTGTGGCTATATATTCCACATGTGTACACAGTATAGTTTTAAAACATTACAATAGGTCGGGCGTGGTGGCTCACGCCTGTAATCTCAGTATTTTTGGAGGGGCTAAGGCGGGTGGATCACGAGGTCAGGAGTTCAAGACCAGCCTGGCCAAGATGGTGAAACCCCGTCTCTACTAAAAACACAAAAATTAGCCGGGCATGGTGGCAGGCGCCTGTAATTCCAGCCATTCGTGAGACTGAGGCAGAGAATTGATTGAACCCGGGAGGTGGAGGTTGCAGTGAGCCGAGGTCGCGCCACTGCACTCCAGCCTGGGTGACAGAGTGAGACTCCATCTAAAAAAAAAAAAAAAATTAGAATAATATTGCATACATACATACCTGGGTACAATTTCAGAATACATTTATTAAACATCTAGCAGAATAGTTGTAGGGTTGAAATTTGTGTTGATGTTCCTTTGCATGTTTGGCAATTTTTGTCTGTTAATTGAAAATTATGTTTACAATATTGTGCAGAAAATGAATTCTGCCGTGTAATGCTTTCCTCTGAAGAGCACTGATTTTTGTTTTGCCGGGCAATTACCTTGGCTCGACTCCAAACTCTACTGTGGTTGTCAACAGTTGAAACTCTCCTCTTCTTTCCACCATTTCAAGTACCTGTTATTTTCATGGGACACCCTGAAGTCTTTGGCAGTTAAGTGATCAACCAAAGATTTGGAAGGATTTATACATAGATTTTTGGGGCTTCCAGTTCTTTAGGTCTCATCTGCCTACTATTTACCACATCACTTTCTAAGCACTCTAGAAGCCTTTATTTCAGATCTTCAACCTCTCAACCCAGTAAAATGACGAATTTCAGTTTAAGTTCCAGCTTCCTTTAAGTAAAAACTTCATAATCTCATTTTCTTTCCAAGATATTCTTCTTTCAAGTGTTGAATCTCCTCCATTTTTTTAATGGTTTGTCTAGGAGTATAATTTATATATTTGGAAAGGGCTAGTCTTGTTGACATTTCTTCACCACTATTACCTATTATGGTCCTTTTAGCATGCTAAAAGTTACCAAAACTTCTATTAATAGATTTTGATTAGGGCAAAGACAAAATTTTCAATGTATAATAACTATTCCTTAAATGATCTATTTTAATTATTTATTTTTCTTTTACTTTTATTCTTTTGCTTTGCAAATTCCTGAAAACTGATTCCCTTGAAAATATTTGTCTGGTTATGGCACTTAAGAGTTCAAACATATTTCTAAATTTACTCACCATTTCCCACCCCTGTTCACATCATTTATTCACTGACTCTGACCCAAGTGGCATTACAAAACAAGAGATGATTTAAAGCCTTGTTAACCAAACTATGGTCCATGGATCATGTTTTTTCTAATTGTAAAATCATATAAAACTCTTTGAGAGAATGGTTTAGAGCTTTCATTTATATGCAATCTTCAAAACTTCAAATAGACAATATACATACAAATGTCTATTTTACATTTTGAAGCATATAATTATAGATAAAACTATGAAGCAAAAAGAATACATTGTAGAAAAATATAACATTTGGCTGAAATTTTTGACATTTTTAGTTAGCTTATAAGCAATGTAGGCTAAGTTAGGAAATAACATATTTTGCTAGGAAGTAGTGCTAAAGTAGGAAGCATACCTTTTGCTCCCTACACATACATCACACTGTTATTAACTCATCTTCTGGTTGAATGTAATTTTTTTAATTTCTTGGTTAATTTATGAACCTAAGTATACTCAATAGTGAGTGAGATGTCAAATTCTGTCATAAAAGTACTCGTTTTGGATACTTCTTACAGTACAGGTGTAGCTTTTACTTATTAATATGACTCTGCAGGAATCATCATCATTTTAATGATCTTTAGAATGTGACAATTTACTCTATAATATATGTGTTATTACAGTTCCCACTAAGCTATCTGCCACATGATTGTCACTTAACAGAATGAAGGCAGAGGACACCTGGGGTTTCACACAATAAAATGAGCCTCTTAAATGGTAGATACTGCCTACTGAGGTAAAAACTTGAATATCATGCTTTTAAAGACACAGAATGAGAATACCAAAGTGAGGAGTGATTGAAATGAATGTAGCTGTATTATATTCTCTTCAATTTCTATCTGGACTTATTCAAGAATCTTTTAAAATTCTTTTTTGATTTTATTTTTCATCTTTGCTGAGATCTCTCAATTTGTAAAAGCTTAGGTTTTAAGTACCTATGCAAAATTTCGACTTAATCTGTATGATCCTAACAAAGAATTTAAAACGTGTATTGTGGTAAAATTCAGTCTGCCCATTACAAAGTGGGAAAATGACTGGAAAGTGGAGAATTACTATACAGATGTCAAGCTTTATTGCTCTACTGAAAAGACTAATGGCTCAAAACACCCAATCACATGGCATAATTCTTAACCAGTTTGTTCTTTCTCTTCTGATAGTGGCAAATTCCAGATGTCGACCAAAACCTCAGGAATTCATTAGGTTTGAAATAAGAAGGGAGTTGTGGCTTAACTCTTACACTTGTTTAAGTCATCCTTTCTCTGTGTAGATGCAGAAAATATTTTTTTTTCCTTTTTAGAAATTTAAATTTTTTTTCCTTTTTAGAAAATTAAATATTTCCATTATTACAAAGTAAAACCCATTATCCATACACTGTTTTTTCCCAGTTCTCTCTCTCCCACCCCCAATTCCTGACAACTGCCAATCTGTATGTTGTCCCTACGGATTTATCTATACTCTTTTAAAAATGTCCAACAACGATAGACTGGATTAGGAAAATATGGCACATACACACCATGGAACACTATGCAGCCATAAAAAATGATGAGTTCATGTCCTTTGTAGGGACATGGATGAAGCTATCAGCAAAATATCGCAAGGACAAAAAACCAAACGCCGCATGTTCTCACTCATAGATGGGAATTGAACAATGAGAACACATGGACACAGGAAGGGGATATTGACTAGTAACAGTTCTTTAATACGTTCTGAATAGTAGGCCTTTATCAGTTGTATGATTTCCAAATATGTTCTCTCATTCTGTAGTTATCTTTTTAGTTTCTTCAAAATGTCATTTAAGCACAATTTTTTTTTTCTTTTAATGAAGCCAAATTTAGCTGTTTTTGTTCTTTAATATTCATGCTTTTGGTGTCATATCTAGAAATGCATTACTAAATCCAAGCTCATGAAGATTTACCCCTGTGTCTTCTTCTAAAAGTTGTATGATTTTAGCTCTTACATTCAAGTTACTGATCCATTGTGAGTTAATTTTTAAATTTGGAGACAGATGGGAATCCAACTACATTCTGTTGCATGCAGATATTTGGTTCCAGCACGATTTGTTCAAGAAACTATTTTTCTCCCTATTGAATGGGCTTATAGCATCAAAGTAATGTCAGCCTGAAGGAAATAGTTAGGCAGTGTTCCCTCATGTTTGATTTTTAAAAAGAGTTTGAGAAAAACTGGTGCTAATTTTAAAAATATTTGGTGTAATTCATCAGTAAAGCCACCTAGTCCTGGATGTTTCTTCATTGGGGGCTATTGATTGCTGATTTAATCTCTTTACATGTTATAGGACTGTTGAAATTTTATATTTTTCTTGAGTCAGTTTAGGTAATTTTGTTTTCCTAGAAATTTGTGCATTTCATCTATGTTATCTGATGTGTTGGCTAATATTTGCTCATATAATTATTTTATAATCTGTTTTTGTTTATGTAAGGTGGTAGTAATCTTGCCCCTTTATTTGTATTGCTAGTAGACCTACCCTAGGTGAAATGCTACATAGAGCCCTTCAGCCTAATTTAAGTGCCACTGATGGTAACTTGAAGACTTGTAAAGTGTAAAGGAATAATGGTCATTGGTAAAGATAATTACAGAGGTAAATATAAAAATTAGTATGTGTTTTAAAGTTGTAACTCTACTTTTTATTTCCTATGTGATTTAAAAGACAGATGCATAAAAAGTTATAAATATATGTTATTGGTCACACAATGTATAAAGATGTAGTTTACAACAACAACAACATAAAGATAGAAGGGACAGAACTGAACAGGAGGAGAGTTTTTTATGTTATTGAAGCTAAGTTGGTATCAATCCAAACTAGGTTGTTATAAATTTAGGATGTTGATTGTAATCTCTATGGTAACCAAGAAAATATCTTTTGAAAATTCATAAAAGGAAATGAAAAGAGACTCAAAACAGTGCAGTACAAAAACAACAACAACTAAACACGAGAGATAATAGTAATGGAGGAAATGGAAGGCCAAAAAATGATTCAGGACATAAAGAAAAAAGGTAAAATGGCATAAGCAAGTTATTTCTTAGCAGTAAGTACTGTTATAAGTATAAAGGAATTGAACACTGCAAGCAAAGGGGAGAGATGGGCAGAATGGATAAAAACACATGATATAACTATATCCTACTCATCTTAGATCCAAATACACAAGTAAGTTAAAAATGAAAGAAGGGAAAAGATAATCATGTAGCTAGTAACTAAAAGAGATATTGATGGTTATACTAATACAGACAAAATATACGTTAAGCCAAAAAAATTATTAGAGGCAAAGAAGGACATACAATGTGACGAAAATGTTAACAACCATCAAGAAGATATAATAATTATAAACATATACACACCAAACAACAGAGTCCCAATGTAGCAGACATTAACAAAATTCAATAGAGAACTAGTTCTACAGTAATGGATGAAGACTTCAATACCCCACTTTCAATAATGGATTAAATATGTAGATAAAAGATTAATAAGAAAATATAGGACTTGATGAATACTATGAACCAACTATATCTAATAGAAATAAATAGAATAATTTACTCAATAAAAGTAAAATGTGCCAACTTTATGTATGCATAAACTGCACACAGAATCTTCTCCATAGTAGACCCCTTGTTAGACCATAAAGCCAGTCTCAATAAAATTGAAAAGACTGAAATTATACCAAGTATCTTTTGTGATCATGAAACTAAAACAAATGAACCTAGAAATTTTTGAAAAGAGAAGGAAAACTGTAAAATTCACCTATATGTGAAAATTAAGAACCACACTTGTAAAAAACTAAAGGGTCTCTTGAAGGAAAGCAGGAGCTCAGACTCTTAGAGCCAGCTGTGTCTTTGGACCCAAGGCCTGACCTAGGCTGCTATCCTAATATTGTAGGAGGGGCCTATCTTCCAAGCCCCACCCTAAGGGTTAGTCCTTGGCCAAATCTTTTGCCTTCTGGGCCCAGCCAGGCTTTTCTGACCAAATAAGCAATAAGAAGCTCTAAGCTGACTGAGTTGCAAGAACACTTTCTGCCCTCCCTTGGATCTCCACATTTTTCCAGATGGAGGAAGAGCATGTGCCACCCCCTTTCCTAACAGGCTTGTCCAAGTGCTTGGTGTGGGACCCATGACCAAAGCCCAGGATGGCTTGGTGGGAGTGTCCCTGCTGCATCTGCATGAAGCCCCTGCTTTCTAGGCCTCACTCCCATCAGAACCCTGCCTGCCCACCTGCAAATCCCCTACAGCAATGCCATTCCCACTTGCCCCAGAGAAGCTACTCAGCCAAACGTAGCCAGGGTCCATTCATGTGGACCAGAGCCCGCCTAGTCATTATTTGCTGTTGGGTTTCCAGTTTCACCGTGTGTTAGGGCGAGGGATGATTGTAAATTTGCTCCTCAAAGGAATCAGGCCAGACTCAATTTTGGAGGGCAAGACAGGGAGGTGGCCACTTTATCCCAGACTCTGTTCTAGGGCTTCCCACCATCAGCCCCTCCCACTTGAGACTGGTCTTTGGGAGGCAATAGGCCACCATGCCTGGTCAGCACGAATTCAAGCCATGCCAGGAATCTGCCTACCTGCCAGGTTCTGTTCTTTTAAGGTGCCTCTTCAGGGACACAGTGTGTCTCTCTGATTGGGCTTCTAAATCAAACCCTGATGTTCGTGTCCCTCTCATAGGGGGAGCTTTGGACACAGAACCAGTTTGGAAAAGGGTCAGGTAAGGGTTTCCACTCTGCACATTGTAGAGGGGACACTCTGTAGGCCCATGGGTCCCTTACTAGAGAGGTTGAGTGAATTTGCCTTCAGTTAACCTGGGACCTTCTGTTTAGCTTTCTCCTGCCTCCCAAAGATTTTAAGCATTTTGTAAATGTATAAACTCACCTCTGGTAACAGTGGTCCAGATGCTGCTTCGTGATAAAAGCATGGGAAATGTAAAGGCAGTCTTTCCCTGGGAAATGGATGCTATTCTACTCTGCTGCCCCTACCTGTTCCTGAGGCCTCATTTAGAAAGAAAATCCCCTCAGAAGGCTGTCTGGCACCCAGTGTCCTAGCCAGACCAAGTATATGAGAAAGGTAAGTCCATTTTCCCCTTCAGGTCTTCAGTGGATTACTTAACCACTGCTGTCCCTCGGTCCCTTTTTCCTAAACAGGGGTTTTGTTCCGTCTTTTTCTCCTTTTTTCTAAATGTCGGTAAATATCTACAGTCAGCCAGGGAAGAGGAGGCCAGAGGTCGGGCCAGCCGCCCCATTCTTTTAACATTGTAGGGCCTGCCCCTGGAGCGGACCCTCCTCTTTGGGCCTTGTGAGCTTTTTTGCTTATCATGTTCCATTTTGTGCCGCTTTCCCCCTTCAAGAGGCCATTTGGAGGGTAGGGGATCTGCTTCCCACTGTGACTGGGCTATGGGATTCTGACTACCTTGCTTACAGATTCATAGTTTGATAAATTTGTTGTATTCAAAAACTTGAAATGCAGGACGCCATTAAGTGTCTGTTTATATTTTTGGAATATTTGTATTACTTACAATTGATTAATAAAAGGGTGTTTAAAAAAAAACTAAAGGGTCAAAAAGGAAATCACAAACGAAATTTGAAAATATTTAGAGAATAAAAATAATAACATACCAAAACTTAGATGATCCAGTGAACATAGTGCTCACAAGGAAATGTATAGCAGTAAATGCATACATTAAAAAAGATAAAATATTTCTACCAAATAGCCTAGCTTTACTTCTTAAGGAATTAGTAAAAGACAAGCAAATTAAAACTACCAGAAGGAAGGAAATAGTAAAGAATAGAGTGAAGATAAATGAAAAAGAATAGAAAAACAATAGAATCAATGAAACCAAAAGATGTTTCTTTAAAAAGATCAATAATATTGACAAAACTTTACCTAGTTTGACAAAGAGAGAGACAGAGAGAAATAAGACACACAAAATCATTAATGTTCTAGGTTACATTTTTATAGGTGACAGACATATGAAAAGAAATATAAGGAAGAACTCATCCTAGTTTATGTTTTGTTCTATCATTCTACTTTATTTATTATCTCAAGCTTTGATATTTAGCAATCATACTTTAAAGACTTTAAAGTGTTTCTGAAATGTTAATGAAAATGTGCCCATTTAAAGAAGAAATTAATATTCCTTTTTTACTTTATTTATATATATAAAAGGAAAAGCACATATAATACAAATGCTTACACAACTTACCACAATGTTGTTTCAATCATGTGAAATCTTCTGGTTTCTTCTGTAAGATTTAACGAATGAACATCTATAAGAGGAGTTTACAAAGTACCCCAGTTCTTATTCTGACTGAGTTTCTTTCCTCCTTTTTATTATATATGCTACAAGGGTGCAAAACTTAAGTCAGGAAAATAGCTTACCTGTTGACAAGGAATCAGCAGGCTTGAATCTATTAATTCTTTAAGAGTCATTCATACATGTTTCCATTTTTTGTGTGTGGTTGATGGTGACACACTCAACAAAGTCTACCAATTAAAAGCAGCTGAAAAAGAAATGGAAGAACAATGTGGGTTCTTCCCTATAATAATTTACCTTTATTTATTCTCTATTCAAAATCTTGTTTACATAGTCTTGTTTAAATAATTTAAAGTACATATATTCTGAGCAAAATTAGAAATTAAATTACTATTCTTAGGGTCCAGGACAAGTTTGACAAATATGATGACAATGTGTTTAGAAAAAAATAATCCCCAGAACTCAATATCTAAAAGATTAATTATAAAACTTATCAAATGTTTATTTGATATTCTTTATTCAACTATCTGCAGCTTTTTCATTACAGAAGAATCAATATTATTCTTTAACATTTTCAAAATATTGTAAACATTTATTGAATAATTATGTTCTAAGATGTTTTTGTGTTATAGTTATGGTTTCTACTAGTTAAAATCAGATTCATTTTTCAAAATGCAGATAATGTAAATTTTTCATGACTTGAAATAGTTATCATTGTATTTATGGGACATACAATATAGAGAGTAGATGTACAACATTGTGCACTGTCAGTGCTATCAAAAGGTATGATTTAATGTGGGAATTGCTACCCATGTTTTAAATCTCAAAGTAGGAATTTTTAACTGAACAACCCTAATAATCCCAAATATTCTAAAGCTCTATAATCTCTAAAGCCCTGTTGAATTAATTCTTTCTTGTACCTGAATGATTTCTCAGAGTAAGAAGTTCAAATTATGGTGTGTAAAGTAGGGCTTCTATTATTTGTCTTAAAAAATCTCTACTTAGGCAGTTGCAAAGAGTCTGAAAAATGGCTGATTTCAATTTGAGTTGTGAGATCTCTCAAGATCTTGTTTCACCCAATGTACAGTAAGAATATTATCTGTCTTCCAGAATTGGTCAGAAAGGAAAGTAAGATAAAGAATATTAAAGTGCTTTGTATGCTATAATGCACTCTTGCCCGTGGACATCATGCTTAAGGGAGATTCTGAAATTTGGTGCACAAGTTGCTCTTTGTGATTTTATAGGAATGAATCACATGGCTTTCAGCCTTCGTATTTCCTAACTGAGAAGCTCTGCTTTTTTAGATCGCCCTTTCAGAAATTTCAGTCAAACCAAGATTTATTAGTGCTCACTATCTGCTGTGCACTTCACTGGCGGTTTATAATGCAGAGAGGAAGATAGCAGGATTTCTTCTTTACTTCCTTTCTAACCTTTTTGTCACTTATTCAGTGCTTCTAAAATTGGTCAACCAAAATTCCACTCTTGGGTGAAGATTGTGAATGTGAGCCTGAGGGAGAAACACTGGGAGAAAGCATGACCCAGTTTGAGGAGAGCATAAATAGTCCATCTCTCATCATCCTTCAAAAGAGCAATGAATATAACTGCCCACATTATTTTAAATGTGATTGTCCATTTTAAGAAAAGGTTTCTTTTTTTGTAAATATTTTGTCCAATAGTCTTCCTTCAGGCTTTTCCATATTATTGTATCTTTCTTTTTTTGCTTCCGGAAATAGAATGAACAAAATTCAGCTCAAATTAATTAGCTTTCTACTTTTACCTGTTAGCCTAGACAAGTTAATAAACTAACATACTAATAGGAAAGCACAGGAAATAAAAATGTCAGTAAATAAAAATTGAGTGGATAGAATTTTTTTTTTCAGGATATGAGTACAGCACTATAACTCCCCACATCTCACATCCATTCCAAGAGAAACTGTTTTCACTATTTACCTCCTAGCATTTTATTGCCTTTTTGCCTACATAGACGTGCTGGCAAGACATCATCCTCTGTAGTAACCAAAAAGATCTGTCTATCCTCTTACGAATATAGTGAAACTAAAAATGGTGTATGGATCAGACATCGATTCCACATGTCTGCATTTATAACTGTATAGAATCTCACCAGCAATGCAGACTTTATGATCATGCATACTTGAAGACTGTTATAAGTAAATGATTATTTTATCTTCTACTGAAAAGCTTAGATGATCTCACATTTTGAATAGTGGTTTGAAAAGAAGATGATCTAACTCAACTGGAAATCCACATTAGTGGTGAACTACTGTCTCATAATTTACCACAAGCACTAAGAATATGCTATGTATATGAAAGCACTGGCTAGAACACTTCCCATTTTGCAGTTCCTGAAGTTATTTTAGCTCAGTTGAGGAAGAGCCGAATCTCTGTAGCATGGCTCTGCCACATAGATTCTCCCAGGGGTTTGTTCCAACCCTTTACATTCTCTTACACTTCAGAGGTATGAGCAGAGAAACAGACTGGGAAATAAAAGTAAATATTAAATTTAACATCCTATCTGTGACTAGATAAATAAATCTATCCAAATAATGAGTTAGTTAAGAACTTTGTTGTCTCAACACCTATATTTGCTCATTAAAATTGTTAACAAACCCCACCAGGGTAAAAATACAACAGAAGGAAAACACGCAACTTCATGGAATGCTCACACTTTTTGTTTCCTTTTTTTATTTGTATTTGTTGCCTTGACATCCAACTTTAAATTGCTGAAGCCATTCTTCCCTAGGCAAAATCATTTTTAAAAGAAGAAGATGACTATAAAATCAGTAACTCCAAATTGAATGAGTAGTTTGATAGTACAAGTCAAGATTGCAAACACCAAATGCACCATTTGAAATAGAATAAATTTAGGTCATATCATTCTTTTCCTCTCCCATTTCCAAGGACAAGTCACTAGCTCCTGAACCTGTGCAAAGAGTTTACTCATTTACTTTACCCAGACTAAAATAAATCAAGGAAGGATACAGCTGCAAGTAGATATGAAATGGAGATCACACACATTTTGATAGAAATCAATTTAACATTTACCAGGAACATGCTTTTCAATAATATATGACCTGATACAAAGCACCTTCATGTTATTAACAAACTTGGATATATTAGAGAAATTCAGTATTATTAAATACTCATTAACAAATCCTAATCTTTTCTTTGTCAGGAATTTTTACTGAAATCCCTCCTACCTGCCTAATCACCAGGTGGCAGTGTAGTAGCACTCATCCATATCTGTCTTTGAAAAACTTCAATAAAGTGGCATTACAATGAGATTTTCACATAGCATAGGTAGAAGTGTTTGGGTTTTGAAATTTTTTAAGTGTTACTCCCCCCCAGTATTAAAATAGCCTTGCATACATTTTCATAAGTTCCCTTTTGCTTTGAGTACTATGTAGATAGTTATTTTCTCCAATTTTTTAAACTAGAAAAACTGAATATATATATATAACCTCACGGTTCTCTGTTGTCTTAGTTTTAAATAGGAACCTTTTCTACATCATAATAAGAAGCACATTATGTATTTTTTTCAACCAGCTCTTTTCAACAATTGGATTACGGCTGGGTTTCCCAAAGCTTCAACAGAAGCATATGCCAGCAGACTACAAACCTCGAAGACAAGAATCCTGACATTTCATTTTTCCTTATCTAAACTTCTCCAGCTGTCATTATGCCATCTGAGACGAGTTTTCAGTCTACAGTTCTATTCACTCTATCAATTTCTTTGTATTTGCACAATGTTCATTCAGCACTTTAGCCAGGACAAAAGAACCAATTTCAACATTTGGTTTCAGATACCCAGGGTTTATTACGTGCTTAAAGTATGTCTGGATTCTTCTTTTTGCAGATGGAAATTCAAAGATCCAGGTCATGTAATCTGATCCAATGCCAACTAGTGAGTGTGGGACATAACTTCAAACCTGCAGCATCTATGTTTACTCTCTGTTGGAATTTAATGTCATATTATCCACAAATACTTCCTGCTGTATCAGAAATAAGGTATTTGGGAATGTCTCCTAAACCCTCTATATAATCTTTTCCAATATTAGAGTCAGTAGAAATCCTCTGTTTTTGAGCTGCAGGTGTTAATTGGGAGGTAGAAGAAAGTGACTTTTACTGCAAGAACTGGGATTAAACTGCAGTTACATTTCTTGAAAAGCTGACTACACAAAACCTGGCTAAAAACAACGACAACCTAAAGGAGACACTCTATGACCCGATGAATGGCTGGAAGTCTTAGCAGGCTGAATTAAAAAATACTTGGAATTTTATTTGGAAAACCTTCCTTCTGTAGTGAGTCCACCTCCATGTGCTTGATGCAGTTGACACTTACTACCCTGCAGAAGATTATTCAGCCTGTCAGCCAATCTAGAAAATAAAATAATCACAATCCATGTTTGGTGGTATAGTAACTATTAAGTTGATACGGGAACATTTTGCAAAACATGTTAAAATTAAGTTAAAATGAAAGTGGCTCGAAATTAGGATTGTAAGATTTTGCATTTCAATTCAGTTTCCACAGCAATGTTTGGTTGAACTAAAATTCTAAATATGTTAGGAATAAGCCTCTGCTGTACATCATTATGTTCAAAGTTCTCTGTAGCTCCATTTGTGAAAACAAGTGGATGAATAGGTATACATTTTAAAAATATATCTTTGGGATAAAAAGCCTTTTTGAGTTCTTGGTTTTCAGGATGTTCTTTCTGGTATTCTTAAAATAAATGCTTCTATAGTATTACAAAGATAATTTCATTAACCTGCTAAAATGGGAATGTATTTATAGCTACAAGGTGAAAAGTATTATTAATAATAATTTCAAGATGACAGATATTAAATAGTTCAATTATTATTGATAATAAGATTTTATATGAGTGTGTTTTTATTTTCTATTTTAGTTATAAGTAAATCATAATATTCTTCTAAAAATGGTCTTTATCAAAATTATTTTAAAATGTTTCATTAGATAATAAGCAATGCCATTACATGGATTTTTCTCTCACTTTTTAATATAAATTAACCAATCAGCATTTCTAGATATCTCATAATTTGATAACTAGAAAGGTCTTTGGAGATACCTCAGAATAAAATATTTATTATATAAATGAAGAAATTAAGACCCAGTGAGGTTAAGTGACATCTAAAAGGATACAAAAAATCAATGGCTAAATAGGGCCAGAACTCAAATCTCCTAAGTACAAATGCCTTCTGTATAAGTTTTCTCTCTCTCTCTTTTTTTTTTTTTTTGGTAACACCTTATGTTTAATTCCATTCATATTTTATATTTTATATGTATAATTTCTAGTGAACTCACTGCATATCACTGTGTAAAATTTAAGGCACACATTTTTCTTAATATTTTCTTAAGAAAATTTATCATTCTTGACCATTCCTGAGAGCAAAATAATTGACTAAGAATAACAAATGTTGAGACAAGCAAGCCTACGTTCAAATCCTAACCATGACTGTAACTAACTATGGACAAATTATTTAACTTCTCTGAGCTTTAATTACCTCACTTATATAATGGAAATATGACTTCATCCAGGCCTGTGGTAAAAATTAAATGAAATAACACATCTAGATGTCTGCATTTAGTTATAATAGTAGGAATAATAACAACAATTATTATTATTGTGAACATGTAATAAAGTTTCAGTTGACCTGTACTGGGTTAAAATGACACTATAATCTTTTTAACTTTTTCAAAACAAAAATTCTGATTGTAATCCAGTAGTTAGGTAGCTCTAACTTTCAGTTGACTTACATACAATCTATAGGCATACATTTCTTTAAGTGAAGATCTATAAATCATTATTTGCCCCATGAATTAAGAGAGAATGCTGCTGTTCAATACCTGAGACCAACAGAAGTTAAAAGAAGCTAAGAGTCACATAGCAAATCAGTGGTCGAGTTTGATCAAGAACTTCAATCTTTTTGCCTCTGATATAAATGGTTTTGATACTTCTCTATATCAGTGATTTTCAGCCTGTTCTTAGAGAAATCCTAGTAAGTTCTGAGGTATCCCAGGGACAGAGAATGGAGACCAAAAAGCTGCCAGATGATGGCTGAAATGACAAGATTCTGAGTGCCCTCTCTGCTTGTCAGCTAGACCAGCTCTTCTTTTATTGATCATTTGTATTAAGATCTTGCATAATATATATGGATTCTTCTATTTTACAAAAGTTTACCATACTTATTTTCTTGTAGTACTAACATTTGAAACATAAGCATAGAAAATTTTGATACTGAAACAGGCACTGGAAAGAAAGTTAGAACAAAAAAGAAGAACAAACTATTTATATGTTTAATGTTTAATTTATGATTAAACATAAATTTATTTTAAGAACTACCTTTCAATAACCTAACGATCTTAGCATAAATATAAATAAAATTATTCATATATGAAAATATGTCTTTCATAAACATAATGTGCTAGATATTTCTAACAGAAAAGAGAAGGCAATTTCTTACTAACTTGTAATGCTTGAGCTGACATTAGAAAGTCCTTTGAAAAGAATACAAGAGTTTAGGTATCAATAAAAAAAATCCACAATTGATTATGTCTTTGTAAATCACTGAGAAAACATTCTATATATTACAGCCTTACTATTCCAACAGAAAAAAGAGCAGAATTATATGTTCCATCAAGGGCATAAACATACTAACTTTGAAAAGATAATGTACATGGATAAATGGATGGATTGATAGATGGGTTAAAATATTCAAATTGACCAAATAAAGTGTATAAACTTCTTAATATAAGAGTTTTCATTATTTCATAAAAATGTTCTTGTTGGTGTTGTAGTCTTATCCAAAAGATGTCTTTGATTACTAAAACTATAAAATCCTATTACATCATATTTTTCTTTAGAAATATATGAGGGTCCTGAAGAGACAAACGTCAGTCTATCAGTTTATTATCAGTTTGGGTCTTAGTTTATTTTCATTTATATTAAACAATTCTGGAAAAAAATAAATTGTAAATTTGTGTGTTCAATTATAAGTGGGTAGTGTCATTGAGAAACAGTTTATCAAGAATACCCAAATATTCCAATATAATCTCAATTACTTCTCTACAAATTTGTTGTCATCTAAAGGATGTCAGAAAGTGACACAGAGCATGCTGGGAAAGTAATCATTATCTCTTCGTCACTATGTACTTCTTCTGCTTTTTACATTTTGTATGTTTTAATTTAGAGAGAAAGCTGTAGCTCTTTCCCTGAAATTAAAAATGTGTTTGGGTGAGAAAATAGAAAAATACATTTAGAGATCATAATTTGTTTCTCTCTCTCTCTCTCTCTCTCTCTGTGTGTGTGTGTGTGTGTGTGTGTGTGTGTTATACACAGTAAAAGTTATCATAGGAATGAAATGTTATAAAGTATAAGGTTTAGCCAATTTTTGTCCTTCAGAAAGACAGAATCCAAGAAAGATATAATTTTCAAATATTTTAATGAGTGTGTTGGCATTACTTTGAGAAGCATTTATCTTCTGGGTGATATAATACAAATATGTTTAATTCTAGCTAGTTATCCTAATACTGTTTGGTAACTAGCAGTTAGGTGGCCTTACTAACAGCAGGTGCCTACAAGTTTCAGAAGAGATAATATTATGGTCACTTGTGGGACTGTGTAAGAGGAGAGAAAAAGAGTCAACAAGTGCACTGAACCAAATAGGTAGCTTAATAGCAGGTATTCCAAACAATGTAGCATGAAAATGTGAAACGACACTGATGGAAATGCAAAGGGTTCTTAGACTATGAGTGAAATTTAGAATTGTTCTTTTTACCTGCAAAATCAAATGGATTTTCTACACAGTGAGATGCTATCACTATTGGTTTTAGTAATTGTCATTACCCTGCCCAAAGCAATGATGGCAACACAATAGAACTTATGTTGCCAAGGTATGGCTTAGAACTTCACATAAACACCTGAAACCATTGATTCCAGTTACTGAGAGAATCACCATTATTGTGGTACCATAACCTTACCTAGAAGTATTTTTTAACATCCCCCAATCTCTACTTCTGCCTTCATTTTCCATCAATTACAAGTTCAATTAATTTTACTTTTCTATATCTATAAATCCTATTCACCTACATTCATCTGTAGAGATATTATCTTAGTTCAAGTTATCGTTATGTCTTCAAAATCATAGAAGGCCTTGGAGGATCTGAACTCAGTCTACTTGTCCATGCACAAATATTCGCACCTGCATCCTCAGCCTTCTTTGTGTATCCCAATTAGTTCAGATCCCACAGGTATATGTTGTAATAGCAGTCTACATTACTTCATATCTAAGGACGAATTACTTGTGTGTTATTTAACATACCATCCCCAACAGAATGCAGCTCACTGTATGCAGGGACAATGTCTGCCTTGTTCACTTCATTATCTTCAGTAGATTCACATAGTACAAGCTCCAGAAATAATTGTTTATTCAATGAATGGATGATGTCTTTATAAAGAGGATAGTTCTATGGAAGTATATTATAGATACGAACTTAGGAACATAAAAGCTAGAAATTAATTTCTCATTTACTGAACACCTCCTAGAAATAGAATTTATTTTTAAACAACATGAGAGGTTCAAGGTAAAAAAATATATAATCTTTCTTCACATTAATGGTTAGTATACAAAATTACTGTGTTCCAATAGCTTAGAGAAGGTTAATATTATTTCCAAGGTTCATATTTTGTTTTTTTAATTTCTTATCAGTTTCTTCATTAACGAAAGGCAGAGAATGACTGCTTAGTAAAAGTGTTCTGATGATTAAGTGAAGTTATATAGGAAAAGAACCAGACTGATAATAGATATTCAGTAACTGTTCATTCCCTACTGTATCAGAATTACTTAACCAGGTCAGGTGCGGTGGCTCGTGCCTGTAATCCCAGCACTTTGGGAAGCCGAGGCAGGTGGATTACTTGAGGTCAGGAGTTCAAAACCACCCTGGCCAACATGGTGAAACCCTGTCCCTACTAAAAATACAAAAAATTAGCCAGGCATGGTGGTGTGTGCCTGTAATCCCAGCTACTTGGGAGGCTGAGGCAGAAGAATTGCTTGAACCTGGGAGGTGGAGGTTGTAGTGAGCCAAGATCACGCCACTGTACTCCAGTCTGGGTGACAGAGTGAGACTCCAACTCAAAAAAAAAAAAAAAAAAAAAGAATTACATAACCACATTTGGCACATTACCCCTTTACTTTCTGATATTTTATTCCACAGTAAAAGAAAACAACAATAAAAACCTCAGAAAGAAACTCATTTCTTTATGGAGAAGAATTAGACTACTTGTTTAGTAGAATCTGATGAAATAAAATAAAAAATTATGCCTTCCAAAAGGAAAAAAAAATCCTGGAATCTTTCTGTCTTAAACTGTTTTTGTCTGAGAGCTTATTAATGGGTATATGAAGAAATAAGGAGGTGATATTAAAGAAACATTACAAATGAGCATATCTGTTAGTATTGTCTATTATTTATATACTAGACAATTTAGGGTTCAATACTTTTTTCAGTCATATTTTGAGAAAAAATTGTCGATTCAAGAGAATTGTTTAATTAATGAATATCTGAATACCAAAAAGTGATGAGAACCTGAACTTTGCATAGGGAGTGAGAAAAGCATGAAAAGGATTAGTGGAGGGGGAAGAACAAATCAAGGATACTAGGAAATTAGAGTGAAAACCTATATTGTCTTTAGAAAGATACTTGAACTGAAGTCAAAGTAAAGTGAGAATCAAATGCTAATTTGATTTAGCACCAAATAGCAGTAATAACAGTGTGAGTGTGTAGGGGATATATTTCTCCAAAACGATTTCTGATTAAAGCAATAATAATAAAATTCTTAAAAGAAAAATTGCAGTATGTTGCATTGGGGAAACTGCATTTATTTTTCAAACCTCAAAGATAGAAAAATGTTAAATAGAATGTAAAAACAATAATTAAAAATATTCTGATTTCCAAAATGCTCAAATTACTTGGACACTCTTGTTCAGCTCAATTTCCTCCCATGAAAATGTACTTAGATGATTGAGAGTGTTAATACTTATTTTAACATATCAACACTCTTCCATTATATTAATTTCTATCTCACTTCTTTCTAGGGTTGTTAGAATCAACTAGTAGGTAGTATGAACTGTCAGAAAAGGAATTTTCTCATGCCAACAGGTTGAAGTGGTAGGTGGCATACTTACCCATGGAACACTGATTTTGTTTTAGATAAAAGGAAAGGCTATACTTTATTTTTCAGACGCAATACCAGCCAAAAAAAAAAAAAGTAAATGAGATAAAAAAGGTGCAGTAAGTGTGTGTTGATAGAAAGGTTGAGAAAGAGGCAATAAGAAATAAATGGAGAAATAAAGAAAAGTTTTTAGATGTTACTCATCTGAATTTCATATTTACTGATTGTTTGCATGTCAATTCAAGACATGGCCTGAAGTTTCCATTTTTATTTTGCTGAATCTCATTTGTACCAGTTCAAATTTCAACCTCCTCAGTATTCTCTATTTGACTCTTTTTACCTATAATAGGAAAAAAACTCTCCACTCTGAAAGGCTTTCTATTAACCACTATACATTTAGTCCTGAAAGTCAATTTTCATATGGTTCTCTTTTATTTTTTATCACTATCATATGATAGTTGTAATGAAAATAATTTGAGTATCTGTTTGCTTGTCACACCTTTGTTCAGTAATTGTGACAACAAATTACTTTGGAGAGAAATTATTAAACTGATAAAGTGGTCACTTCAATGGAAAAATTGTTCCATTACCTATTCTCCATACAAAAATGTTATCAAAATGGAAAAACAAATTCACTAACCATGACAATATAATGAATTGTCTTAAACATATATACTTTGTATGCTGTGAATTCTTCTTGAATCATGAGGTTTTTAAATGAAAATAGTCTTGTCAACCAGGGCCAAAGATTTTTCTCAATTTGAGGCAATGTGATCGTGTTGAAATGTTTTACTGATTTTACCCTTACTATTTTAACTAGAATCTTAGACTGTATATAGATTATAAAGAATGAAATAAAAAGTAAATGCATTTAGAAAATCTGTAATGAATTTGAAAGAGGAGGTAGATATGAAAGAATAAAATAAAAAATATTTGCTCAGTAAATATTAATCACAATTTATACATATTGCTTTATTCATTTACTTAAACATTATCTAATGCTCCCAATATAAAGTCCATATATGGGCTTTGATTTTGTTGTGCTCCTGTATTCTCAGCATATCCAAGGTATTCAATAAAAAATCTGTTTAATAAATATATACATGCCTACTTTTAGAAAAAAATAAAAAGACTAACTTTTTGAATTTGGGGTTACATCTGCATATATATTGATGGGTGTGTATGTTAAAAAATAGTCTTATTTGTCTTGGGAACCTATTTGATTCTGAAATCAGAAAGCTAAACTTGCTAACTGGAAAAGCCTCACTCAGCTAAAACTGATCCAATTGCCAGGTCTCTTAATTGAGTGCATTTTACCATTGGCTGGATAAAGTTAATCTGTAATTTAAAAATGTAAAACACAAATGGAGTAATGAAGTAATTATAGGATATATTATAATTATGTTTTGCATAAAAGTGCTCTTTTTGCTTAAATTCTTCAGATAATTGGCTCAACTTTCAAATTGATTTTGTATATATAGGTAAAGCTGAAAGAGTTCATCCCCAACTCATGTGCTTAAACCCCCAAGTGTGAAGTTCTACATGTCTGCTTTCCTTCCGATGCCCTCAATTAGTTCAACCAATTTCACCTTGAAAATATGTTGATCATGCTCAATTCTTTTCATCTCCACTGCTAGTCCAAACCACCAATATTTTTCTGAGCTAACTGCAGTAACCACCCTGCTTCTGCTCTTGCCCACCCCACCTCTTCTCCAAACAGCAGCTTGAAGGATCATGTTTTTCAGAGTCATACACTTATGCCATCCCTCTACTTCAAAGAGTTCAGTGACTTTCAATCCCACCTAGAATAAAATCCAACTCTTTACATGGTCGATAAAACTTTATATGATCTATATCTCTCTTCGGTCATAACTTCAAACTCCAGCACACTGTGCTCTAGCAACAGTGGCCTTTTCTCTGTTCTTCAACAACACCAAGTTCTTCCCTATCAGAGGGCTCTTACACAGGTTGTACCCTTAGCTCACCAACTCCGCTCCCATATATTCACATGCCTGGTCACTTTAGCATTCAGAGCTCAGCACACTCACAACCTCTGAGAGGTCTCTCCTGACAATTCTATCTCAAGAAGCCCACATCCTCATTTATTCTCTAGTCCAGGGACTGGCAAACCATGACCCCAGATTCAGCTGCTTGTTTTAGTAAATATAGTTTCATTAGAATGCAACTTTGCAATTTGTATGTGGCTGCTTTAGTTCTACATCAGAGTGAAATAATTTTGACAGGGATCATATGGACCACAAAGCCTAAAATATTTGCTACTGGGCACTTTAAGAAAACATTTGCCAACCAGTGCTTTATGCCACAACTCTGAACACAGTTTGACAGTATGTTATATTCATATGTGTTTGTTCACTGTGAGTTTTATCAGAGCAGAGAATTTTCTGTCTTATTTGAGTCTTAATCCCCAGTGTTGGGCACATTTCCAGAAACATGCAGATTTTAAATCAATATCTTTTGAATCTTGAATGAACAATATTAGAAAAGATTTAGATTTTCAGATGACTGGTAGGTTGCAATATTTGTCAAAATACTGGCTGCTTCTTTGTAGGTGAAGGCAGTTTTGTACTTCAGCAAAACCATGCCTGGCCATATGACTTGTGTTGTGCCCTCTGGGGAAGGATTAGATCTGATATGGTTTGGCTGTGTCCCCAAGAAAATCTCATCTTGAATTGTAGTTCCCATAATCCCCACATGCTGTCGGAGGGACCAGGTGGAGATAATTGAATCATGGGGGCAATTTCCCCCATCCTGGTCTCTTGATACTGAGTTAGTTCTAGTGAGATCTGATGGTTTTATAAGGGGCTCCCCCTTCGCTGGACACTCATTCTTCTCTCTCCTGCCACCTTGTGAAGAAGGACATGTTTGCTTCCCCTTCTGCCATGATTATAAGGTTCCTGAGGCCTCCCCAGCCCTGTGGAACTGAGTCAATTAAACCTCTTTCCTTTATGGATTACCCAATCTCAAGTATGTCCTTATAGCAGTGTGATAATGAGCTACTATAGTAAATATCTTTTTCCCCAATGCTACTGCTGTTGAACTCAGAAAGGCCATTTGTCTTGAGGTGGCAAATGAAAAGCGGGTAAAACTACTAAATGCGGATTTTTTAGCAGAAACTGTGGGAGTCACTTCTTGGTTCACTAATACGTTCTTTTCCCTTTACCATTATACCTGCAGCGTCCAGAACAGGAACTACTTCGCCATCTTGGATCCTGGAGGGAAAACCTGGCTGAAGAGACTCATTTTAGAGATATTACAAGAAGGAGAAATCATCTTTGTTACTGTAAAGTGCTGATATTTGGGGGTTGTATGTTAACACAGCCCAACCTAGCCAAAATGTACTGATATATGTCGTATGTGGGATATGGCAATGATAAAAATAGAATGGTTTTCAGGTCAAAGGAGTGTCTTCTAATGATGTAGACATGTTTTCTTGTTACAGCCTGGGGTGTTAAATGTATCTTTACTAATTGTTCTCTCATATCTCTTGTGATTGAGAACAGATGGCTGTGATGATTTTCAGATGATGTTCTGATGATCTGGGAAACATTGAGCAATCTTTAATCATCTTGAAATTTTTAAGAAATAATTTCTTATTTATCAAAAAAAATGAGCTGCAAGATGTTTTTCCTTCAAGAATGACTTAGCATAGAAAGCACCCATGATTAAGGCTAACAAATAAGACAGTACAATTTAAGTATTCTGATTTCAAGTGCATTTTCTTTCCTAGCAATGTATAAAAATCTGTCTTGCAAAAATATAAATTTTGAATATCAAGCAGTTACTGAATAAAAGATCAGAGACAGGCAGAGTTCAATGTTATAACATTCAAATAGATACATGTAAAATTAAAATTGTAATTTGAGGAAAAGTATTTAGTAAAAGTAATTAAAGCTTTACTCAGTAATATCTTCAAGGTTACTCTTTTGTCAGAAAAATATGTATAATACATTGAAAAACACATTATGTTTTTGAATTTAAAGCTTTTTTCTTATCATATAAATAAGTGGAGATAATTTGAAATGTAAAGTAAAAAAGAAGGCTGGGTGTGGTGCCTCACGCCTGTAATCCCAGCAGTTTAGGATGCCAAGGCGGGGGAACACTCGAGGTCAGGGGTTCAAAACCAGCCTGACCAACATGGTAAAACCTGTCTCTACTAAACAATACAAAAATTAGCCGGATAGGTGGCAGATGCCTGTAATCCCAGCTACTCGGGAGGCTGAGGCAGGAGAATCACTTGAACTTGAGAGGCAGAGGTTGCAGTGAGCCAAGATCGCACCACTGCACTCCAGCCTGGGTGACAGTGTGAAACTCCATCTCAAAAAAAAAAAAAAAAAAAAAAAAAAAAAAAAAAAAAAACAAGAAGAGGAAGAAGGAAGAAGGAGGAAAGAAAGCCATATATGAATTTATTGACTCAGAAGTTTTTGACCTCACTCAATATTTGGAGCCAGTTGTTTGGTCTGTCTATATTATATCCATGGCTATATCTGTCTAGGGTTTTATAAAATTTAGATCATACATTATAGACAACTGTATATTCTGGATGTTTTGTCATTAGGAGTGATTTCTTTTTCTCATATATTCTTAGAAAATATATTTTACTAGTTTTATAGTAATTGCCATAAAAGAGAAATTTACTAAATCACTGCCCTATTTAGACACTTTTTTTTGCTAAGGTGCTATTAAAAACAATTATTTCCCCTTTTTAGTCACATGAATGTTATTCCCACTGTGTGTGTTATTGAATGACTAGACTACTGATTCATATTGATAAATTGCTGTCTAGAAATTTATTCCAATTTTCTACCCATCTTGTATATGCATAAAAGTATTATTTTAATATATATTCATGAGAGACATAGATTTTGCTTTCATTTCTACATTTTGCTGGCTTTTTAGTAAAAAAAAAGTTTTCTTTTATTGTATTTATGTATATTCCTCCTACTTTTTCCACTAATCTGTCACATTGCATTCATCAAATACTAAAGTCTTCTTTGTAATAAGGTCTAATTCTGTGTTTTCTATTGTCTCATTGATCTATATAGACCATAATTGTCTATATTATGGATCCTCTATTTTTAGATTATTTTTCATTTAAATAGTGATAATTGTAGTTGAAGTTTCTTGAGCTCTTAGTATATGTTAGTAATTCGGCTAAGCATACAAATCTAACGTTACTAGTTACATACATTAGAGTGACTTTTTTCCTCAAGGGATTAAACTTTCATTATTATCTAATGACCTACTCTTGGTAGTATTGTCTTATAAGTTAAATTTTGTATACTAGTGACATAGTTAAACAAGTTTGTTTTCATGGTAAATATTAGCCCAATTTATCTTTTTTATATTTTTACTTACAATAAATCCTTGCTATTTTGTTTTAAGTTTAGGCCTTGAAATCAACATATTGCTAGATTTTTTAAAACATCCAATCTAACAGTCTCTATCTTTGACTGAAAAGTTCAGTCAATTTTTGAGTATTATTATTATAATTCATATTTTTAGGATTTTTATATTATGCTAGTGAACTCAGGGTGTCCTTCTTCTTGCTTTTTAAAAAAATTCTTCATTTTTAAAATTTATCTTATATTTTTTCTATTCTTATTATTTACTCACTAAGAATACAGGCATTATTTCTAATAATATTAACTTTGCTATTTTCTTTATTGTAAATATAAATAAGCAATATGCAATATCTTAACTCTTCCTCAAAGCCCAAATTAACCCCACAAAGCAGCATAATTTGTTATGTATTTGTATTAAAATGCTCATTTGCCCTTTTGTGTCCATATTCATTTTCTCACATTTTAGATGGTTCTTGGATCATTTTTCCACTTCTGAAGTACACGAATGAGTAAAAGTTCCATTAATTTATATCTCCTTGTGTAAGTTGTTTAATTTTATGTACCTATTAATGTCTTTACAATCTTGGACATAGAGTAGATCCCAATTTTCAGTCAACAATTATTTTCTATTAAATCCTTACAGATATTATGCCATAATCTTCTGGCTTCTATTATCTGTAAGAATCCTGCTATCATTCTATTTATTCCTTTATGGGTGGTTAGCTTGTTCTTAAGATTTTTTTTTTTCTGGTTGCTATATTGGTTTATTATACCTCTAGGGATTTCTAAACATTTTATTTACATTGCTTGGGATATATCACGCTTCCTCATCTGTGGATCCATCCTTTTCACCAGCTAAGAAAACTAGCAGCCATTATCTCTTTACATATGTTCTTTCAGTAATCTATTTTCTCCTTCCAGGACTGATCAGATATATGCCAAATATTTCATGCAAACCTGTTCATCTCTTAATTTCTCTTTTGCAGATTCAAACTCGTGTTTCTTTCCTTGTGGAATGTTCAGATAAAACTCTCTGTTCACTAATTTTCTACTCAGCTGTGTCTAACTCACTGTCACTTCCACTGCTTCTTTTACAACAATTTTATTATTTTTTCTAGCTTTTAGTTTTTGTCAATTTTCCCTATTTATACCTTACAGCCCCTTCTTTTTACATTTCAATGACTATATCCTCATTTACTTATACTTTTTGTACATAGCTAGTATGTATTCTGTCTCTAACAATTCTAGTATTTGTAGCAATGCAATCTTTGGATATCTAAATCTCAGTTGTTTTGTTTTGTTTTGTTTTGCTATTCTCACTCATAGTTTAGCTTTTACTGTGATAATGCATTGTAACAAATATCCCCAAATTTAAGTGGCTTTAAAGCAACAACTATTTCTTACCATTTGACCCAGAAATCCCATTACTGGGCATATACCCAAAGGATTATAAATCATGCTCCTACAAAGACACATGGACACGTACGTTTATTGCGGCACTATTCACAATAGCAAAGACTTGGAACCAACCCAAACGTCCATCAATAATAGACTAGATAAAGAAAATGTGGCACATATACACCATAGAATACTATGCAACCATAAAAAAGGATGAGTTCAAGTCCTTTGCAGGGACATGGATGAAACTGGAAACCATCAGTCTCAGCAAACTAAACAAGAACAGAAAACCAAACACCACATGTTCTCACTCATAAGTGGGAGCTGAAAAATGAGAATGCATGGACATAGAGAGGGGAACATCACACACCAGGGCCTGTTGGGGGTTGGGGGGCTAGGGGAGGGATAGCATTAGGAGAAATACCTAATGTAGGTGATGGATTGATGGGTGCAGCAAACCACCATGGCACGTGTATACCTATGTATCAAAACTGCACATTCTGCACATGTACTCCAGAACTTAAAGCATAATAATAAAAAAAAAGCAACAACCATTTCTGTCATTTTTGGAGGCCTTATCTGTGTAGTTGTGTGCTGAGGCTTTGCTTTAGTATGTTAGCTCTCAGCCTTCTCCAAATATCATCTTATTATGGAAATCTAAAATGTGATTCTTTGGAGTGTGGCCTCCTTGTGATGAAAGGAGAGAATTTAAAGAAGCTTGCAATGTCTTTCGCTTGTCTTTGCTTGGAAATCTGTCAGTTCGTATACATTCATTTGGCCAGTGCAAGTCATATGGCTAAGCTCAACATCATGGAGCAGGAAACTGTACCGAGGATGTGAACATCTGTAGACAATTTTCATATGTATGTTTTCACTCAGAAAACAGGTATACACAAGTATGTTTTGATTTAGCCAGCTATATTCCTTCTTTTCTCTTATGAAAACAGGCTATCTGTTCATTTTAGCAATCGAAATTTATTACTACATATGAATCACAATCTATTATGAAGATTACTGTCAAATATGCAAGGTCAGTTAGTCATAGTAAAAAGAAATTTACAAGTTATCAATATTTATAAAGAAGACTAAATTGTATAGTCGATGATGGCAGTGTGTCTTGTTGCAGAGAGTCTAAAAACTCAAATGCCTTCCACCTTTGTCATGTATCAACTATGTAGTGAATTGGGTCAAATATCCTCACTTAAATAATAAAATTCAACAAAGCTATCAAGTAATGTATTCCTTTGATGTTTGAAAACATACAAGCTTATGTCTCTGTAGAAATATCAGGGTAGGGCCAGGTGCAGTGGCTCATGCCTGTAATCCCAGCACTTTGAGAGGCCGAGGTAGGTGGATCAACTGAGATCAGGAGTTAGAGACCAGCCTGGCCAACATGGTGAAACCGCGTCTCTACAAAAATACAGAAATTAGCTGGGTGCAGTGGCGGGCACCTGAAGTCCCAGCTATCAGGAGTCTGAGGCAGGAGAATCACTTGAACCCGGGAGGCAGAGGTTGCAGTGAGCCAAGATCGTGCCACTGCACTCTAGCCTGGGCAGCAGAGAGAGACATCATATCAGAAAAAAAAAAAAAAGAAAGAAAGAAATACCAGGCCAGATCCCGACGCCCACTAGCTCTCCAGATACCAGATACCAGAGGAGGAGCAAATGTGGGTTAGTAAACTTCCTCTGTTTTCATAAAACAAAAATACTTTAAATAATTTAAAAAATATTGAAAGCATGTGTTTAAGACATCAAAATATGAATTTCAAGGTATAATAGAATAAGTAATATTAATAAATTTCTGTTTATAATTTTTAATAACCTCAACCCATCATCATCATTTTTTTTAAAGAGACGGTAATAATAATAATACTAATGAGTACAATGACTGAGCCTCAAAGTGCCTAGTGGATAAAAAGTCCTCTTTATCCACTTTATCCAGATGAAACTTACGTTAGGTCTTAAGGAAAAGTCATTGTTCACCAAATGCAGAAATTGAAGACATTTCAATCAAAGGGAAAATATGTAACATAAAAACTAAACAAGGTCTTGAAATTAACTGATGTGCACCAGCAATATTGTAAAGTTTAGTGTCACTGGAAGAACTGAGGGAAAACATTTAAACATATTCAGATGATTTCTAGCTTCTAGTTACTTGGCAATTTCAACCTACTCTTATAAAAGAAGTGTCATACATTTAAAGCAGTGTGTAGAGGGAAATTTATAGCACTAAATACTCACAAGAGAGAGCAGGAAAGATCTAAAATCGACATCCTAACATCACAATTAAAAGAACTAGAGAAGCAAGAGCAAACACATTCAAAAGCTAGCAGAAGGGAAGAAATAACTAAGATCAGAGCAGAACTGAAAGATATAGAGATAAAAAAAAAAACCCTTCAAAAAATCAATGAATCCAGGAGCTGGTTTTTTGAAAAGATCAACAAAATTGATAGACCTCTAGCAAGACTAATAAAGAAGAAAAGAGAGAAGAATCAAATAGATGCAATAAAAAATGATAAAAGGGATATCACCACTGATCCCACAGAAATACAGACTACCATCAGAGAATACTATAAACACCTTTTTGCAAATAAACTAGAAAATCTAGAAGAAATTGATAAATTCCTGGACTCGTACACTCTCCCAAGACTAAACCAAGAAGAAGTTGAATCTGAATAGAACAATAACAGGCTCTGAAATTGAGGCAATAATTAATAGCCTACCAACCAAAAAAAGTCCAGAAACAGATGCATTCACAGCCGAATTTTACCAGAGGTACAAAGAGGAGCTGGTACCATTCTTTCTGAAACTATTCCAATCAATAGAAAAAGAAGGAATCCTCCCTAACTCATTTTATGAGGCCAACATCATCCTGATACCAAAGCCTGGCAGAGACACAACAAAAAAAGAGAATTTTAGACCAATATCCCTGAGAAACATCGATGTGAAAATCCTCAATAAAACACTGGCAAACCAAATCCAGCAGCATATCAAAAAACTTATCCACCATGATCAAGTCGGCTTCATCCCTGGGATGCAAGGTGGTGCAACATATGCAAATCAATAAATGTAATCCATCACTTAAACAGAACCAACGACAAAAATCACATGATTATCTCAATAGATGCAGAAAAGGCCTTCGACAAAATTCAACAGCACTTCATGCTAAAAACTCTCAATAAACTAGGTATTGATGGAACATATCTCAAAATAATAAGAGCTGTTTATGACAAACCCACAGCCAATATCATACTGAATGGGCAGAAACTGGACACATTCACTTTGAAAATCCGCACAAGACAAGGATGCCCTCTCTCACCACTCCTATTCAACATAGTGTTGGAAGTTCTGGCCAGGGCAATCAGGCAAGAGAAAGAAATAAAGAGTATTCAATTAGGAAATGAGGAAGTCAAATTGTCCCTGTTTGCAGATGACATGATTGTATATGTAGAAAACCCCGTCATCTCAGCTCAAAATCTCCTTAAGCTGATAAGCAACTTCAGCAAAGTCTCAGGATACAAAATCAATGTGCAAAAACCACAAGCATTTCTACACAAATAATAGACAGAGAGCCAAATCATGAGTGCACTCCCATTCACAATTGCTGCAAAAAGAATAAAATACCTAGGAATCCAACTTACAAGGGATGTGAAGGACCTCTTCAAGGACAACTACAAACCACTGCTCAACGAAATAAAAGAGGACACAAACAAATGGAAGAACATTCCATGCTCATGGATAGGAAGAATCAATATCGTGAAAATACTCATACTGCCCAAAGTAATTTATAGATTCAATGCCATCCCCATCAAGCTACCAATGACTTTTGTCATAGAATTGGAAAAACTACTTTTAAGTTCATATGGAATGGAAAAAAGAGCCCTCGTTGCCAAGACAATCCTAAGCCAAAAGAACAAAGCTGGAGGCATCACGCTACCTGACTTCAAACTATAATACAAGGCTAGAGTAAAAAAAAAAACAGCATGGTACTGGTACCAAAACAGAGATATAGACCAATGGAACAGAACAGAGCCCTCAGAAATAATGCTGCACATCTACAACCATCTAATCTTCGACAAACCTGACAAAAACAAGAAATGGGGAAAAGATTCCCTATTTAATAAATGGTGCTGGGAAAACTGGCTAGCCATATGTAGAAAGCTGAAACTGGATCCCTTCCTTACAACTTATACAAAAATTAATCCAAGATGGATTAAAGTCTTAAATGTTGGACCTAAAACCATAAAAACCCTAGAAGAAAACCTAGGCAATACCATTCAGGACATAGGCATGGGCAAGGGCTTCATGACTAAAATACCAAAAACAATGGCAACAAAAGCCAAAACAGACAAATGGGATCTAATTAAGCTAAAGATCTTCTGCATGGCAAAATAAACTACCATCAGAGTGAACAGGCAGCCTACAGAATGGGAGAAAATTTTTGCAGTCTACCCATCTGACAAAGTGCTAATATCCAGAATCTACAAATAACTCAAACAGATTTACAAGAAAAAAGCAAACAACCCCATCAAAAAGTGGGCAAAGGATATGAACAGACACTTCCCAAAAGAAGACATCTATGCAGCCAACAGACACATGAAAAAATGCTCATCATCCCTGGTCATCAGAGAAATGCAAATCAAAACCACAATGAGATAGCATCTCACACCAGCTAGAATGGGGCAATCATTAAAAAGTCAGGAAACAACAGATGCTGGAGAGTATGTGGAGAAATAGGAAGGCTTTTACACCGTTGGTGGGAGTGTAAATTGATTCAACCATTGAGGAAGACAGTGTGGCAATTCCTCGAGGATTTAGAACTAGAATTACCATTTGACCCAGCAGTCCCATTACTGGGTATATACCCAGAGGATTATAAACCATGCTGCTATAAAGACACATGCACACGTATGTTTATTTCGGCTCTATTCACAATAGCAAAGACTTGGAACCAACCGAAATGTCCATTAATGATAGACTGGATTAAGAAAATGTGGCACATATACAACATGGAATACTATGTGCCATAAAAAAGGATGAATTTGTGTCGTTTGCGGGGACATGGATGAAGCTGGAAACCATCATTCTCAGCAAACTATCACTAGGACAGAAAACCAAACACCACATGTTCTCACTCACAGGGAGTAATTGAACAATGAGATAACTTGGACACAGGGCAGGGAACATCACACACTGGGGCCTGTCAGGGGGTAGGGGGCTGGGGGAGAGAGAGCATTAGGAGAAATATCTTATATAAATGATGAGTTGATGCATGCAGCAAACCAACATGGCACAGGTATACCAATGTATCAAACCTGCACGTTGTGCACATGTACCCTAGAACTTAAAGTATATAAAAAAAAAAATCTTCAAAATCAGGCCAGACATGGAAGCTCTCACTTGTAATCCCAATACTGGGAGGCCAAGCTGGGAGGATCTCTTGAGGCTGAGAGTTTAAGACCAGCCTGAGCAATATAGCAAGACCCCCTCTCCAAAAAATAAAATATCCAAAATCAATAATTGAAAAAAAAGGAGTGTCATAAAGTTGATTAAATAGAAACAATTTGGTTAATATCTTTCATATAAATGTACATCCTGTCATACTCTGCAAGAATGAAATTTTATTTATAAAAGAATATAATGGAATTTTGTTTTCAGTCACTGAAATTATCTAGATGTCTACTTTCTAAACTCTTTTCTTTCTCAGATTTTTGGAATTCCATGGAAATACCTTAGGCAAGGGTAAATAAGGGAAGGTGAACAGGTTGGTCCCAATGTCCAAGCCTTCTTTCAATCAGGACTTTTCTGCTTATAATCAGGTTTATAATCCACTAATGACTTTATTTGAGAAAAATAATGTATCTATCTAAAACATAGGTCAACTGAATATTACTGTGCTAGATACTCTTTGATGCACAAGAGAAAAATAAAAGTAAAATTGTTGTCTGCTTCTACCCTCCATTAACTGATGCCAAAAGCCAAGATAAAGCAGCTTCCTCTGAATACTAAAATACATGCAGTGCTTACAGGGTATCACCATGAATGAGTAAGGAAGAGGCAGTGCTGCCTCAGTACACACCCTAGCCTTCTGAGCAGCTTTCACATTCTCCACCAAGACAGATTTTTAATGACTTTGTGAGTCTCCAGAATCTGCATTAGGCTTAGGCATTAGGCAGCAGCTGCTGGCTACTGCTGAATGATTATCCATTCAAATGGAACAGATTGTAGGGAGGTGTGAAGGGAGGCTTTTTCCCCACAGTCTGCAAGCCAGGAGAGAAATAGGCAACAAGGTTTTATGATACTGCTTGGCTTTCCTCAAATCCTTCTGAGTATAGATAGATGTAAAAAGTGTAACAGTAAAAATATGCTGGGGGAAAAATAACCAACATCCAACTTCTAGAAATAATGTAAAGATGATAAAAGTTTCATTTTTTCAGCCCAGTTTGCTCTCCTACATAATTTTTGTGCTGATGGTTGAATTTTGTTATCCTGTTCAACTAGATAAGGGGCAAGTGAATATATGAGCACACCTTTCTTCACAATGGATTTGAGCTATAGAAAATATTGAAGTGGGCGTTATATGATTTTTCTAAGGACCCTTTTTAGGAGTGATTTAATTATGATGAAAAATTGCACAGCTGTTGCATAGAGCAGAATTTTGAAAAGTGACCACTACTGCCTGATCAGCAATTAAATATAAGTAAAAGAAAATGCCACCTTCTTCCTACTGATTGTATATTCACAGATATCTTTCAAATTCCATGACTGTAGAGATCTATGTTCCTGTTTCTTGGTTCAGATTTTGCCACCATGACAAAAATAAAGCGAACAATATTTGAAATATGCTAATAATTTTAAAATAAAATATATATGGCAAAAATATATATGTCACATCTTCATGTAATTCTTCCTGAAAAGAGAATTTTTCAAATTATTTTTTAAAAAGTACTCTATAGATTAAATACTTTGGGGGAATGCTAAATTAAATAGTTAAATTCCTTTCTACTGCAAAAAGTTTTTCAGAGCTTTAGTTGTGGATCTGTGAAGAGATAATATAGTAGGCAATTGCCCCTCTGTTGATTTTATTACAGAACTATATGTCTGTGTGCGTTTGTGTCTGTCTGTGTGTGTGTGTGTGTGTGTGTGTGACAGAGAGAGAGAGAGAGAGAGAGAGAGAGAATGTAGAATATGTAAAATATCTTAAGGAATACAAGTTTTCCATAGAACATAATTTGGGAAAATAGTCTAGAGTGTTTGTGGATACCTGCTGCTTACTGACAATACTATTTGTATAGACACACCGTTAAATGGAATTACTTACAAATACTCTACTTGCCTCCTTATCTTCAGTTATGGTGACTACAAACGTTATTCATCATTTATCAAAACATATTGGTCATGAAATCTTGAGATGATAAGGTCTTGAAACCACCCTGGTTTTTAAAAATGGTCACTTTAAAGCTAGTGATCATTTTCTTAGGAACATGTATGTGCCGTCAGAGGTTTTCAGATCTCTTGAAACTTCTCAGTGTACAAATAGAAAAAGGGGATATTTACAGAAATTCTGAGAAAAAAATGTAGGTTATAAAATGAAAATCTGGGTGATCCTGAGAACCATTCAAATCTAAAAGTGTCAGATCTATGGACTCCTTTTCTGTAGCTAGAGGAAATTTGAATGCTTAACTTTGAGAGTACTTCTGACATCACCAATGAAGGAAGATATGTCTTCTGCATGCAAAAAAAATGCATTTTCCATGGGATACTCCAAAAGTCAATTTTGTGAATAGAGTGTGCTATTAGTAAGAAACCTCAGAAGATATTAGAGGTTAAGGAGTCTTGTATGGCCTAGTTCAAGAACATTACTCTCATTTATGAAATTATTTCCATGAGGAAAGGTAGTCCTATTATAAACTTTATAACAACTTTTGCACCGGAACCTATGTACAAAATAAGGACACCATGCAAAATTTATTCTCTAAGATTCACATTAAAATAGAAAATCTTTTGGGTATATGAGTTTGCATGTGTTCTAACAAAAATGACAGAGAAGGGAAAATTAAAGATGCATAGGAAAGGGCTTTGATTATTTTACTACGGTCTTTGCAGAGGACCCGTGACATGAAATCTCCCAAAAGCTGAAAAATTTCTGGTTTAAGAATATTTTAAAACATTGTATAGTATTTTGTAGATTGATTTTCAAATAATTAATCTGTGAACTTGTAGATTCAGTGCAAGTTAGGTAGGGCATAAAAACTGCATGATGGTCCAGGTCATGTGAAACTGGATATGACTGTAAAAGATATGTCAAAAAATAAAGGCTTTTACCTGGGTTTCATAGTTTCAGCATTTTTCCGAAAGAATTTCATTAGATGTAAAGAAACAGATCATAGAATACATAAAATAATTTTGTTTTCAAGGAATTCTTTTAGCTAGTGTTACTAGCAATATTTGTTTTGGTACAAGAGAAAGAAATTTTTATTTATTTATTTTATTTTATTTTTTGAGACGGAGTCTCACTCTGTCGCCCAGGCTGGAATGCATTGGTGTGATCTCGGCTCACTGCAAGCTCCACCTCCCGGGTTCACTCCATTCTCGTGCCTCAGCCTCCCGAGTAGCTGGGACTACAGGCGACCGCCACCACACCCAGCTAATTTTTTGTATTTTTTAGTAGAGACCGGGTTTCACTGTGTTAGCCAGGATGGTCTGGATCTCCTGACCTTTTGATCTGCCCGCCTTGGCCTCCCAAAGTACTGGGATTACAGGTGTGATCCACCACACCCAGCCACAGATATTACTTTTTAATGACAAGTAATAGAAACCACATTGAGGCTGCTGGCTTTCAACCCAGATTGTCTGGGTTCTTATCCTTTTGCTATCGTTTACTATCTGTGTGACCTTGGTCAAATTCCCTGTCCATTCAGAAGTGCTTCATATTCAATAGGAGTAACAGCAGTTTCTTACTTAATATAGTTGTTGTGAATTGTCAATGAAAACACATTTTAAGCACATAGAACATAGCCTGGAATACAGTAAAAAGTGATGTGAATTTTGACTAATATAATGGTACATTACCAGATTGAAGATCAGCTGACTCCAAAGTGTTTGTTATTCTGTTTTTGTAGGGTTCTTTCCCTGACTTCCTGAAGAGTTTAGCTTTATTTCCAGTGATAAAATATTCCTCATAACAGCATGAAGACATTTAATAGATGTGGCTCCCATTAAATGATCAGTGAACTGTTAACACAGCATTTTTGGATTCTGTTAGTATTACTTTTATATACCAAAATAGTTGCTCCCCAGATTGCAATAATTGTGTGGCTTCATGTAGAAAAATAGTTTAGCTGCAGTAAAACACAAATATCACTTACACATAAAATTAAGCTACCAATTACATCCCTAAGCAATCCTGTTAGTGATCTGATACACTAGGCTCACAGATCACTTACATAGTCTATATTTGAAAAGGGATCTATGGAGAGTCTTCACTGGCATCTGATAGATAGCAACGACATAGAATCAGTCTAGGTGCCCATCAACAGTGGATTAGATAAAGAAAAACGTGGTACATATACACCATGGAATACTATGCAAACATGAAAACAAAATGAAATCATATTCTTTGCAGCAACGTGGATGCAGCCAGAGGCCATTATCCTAAGTGAATTAATACGGGAACAGAAAACAAACCAAATACCTCATGTCCTCCCTTATAAGTGGAAGCTAAACATTGAGTACATATAGATGTGAAGACAGGAACAATAGACACTAAGGACTACCAGAGGGAAGATGGAGGGAGTGGGTCATGGGCTGCAAAACTACCTTTTGGATACTATGCTCACTACCTGGGACATGGGATCACCCATGCCCCAAACCTCAGCATCATGCAATACACCCATCTAGCAAACCTGAAGATGTTCACACTGAATCTAAAATTAAAGTTGAAATGATTTTTTAGAAAAAAAGCCTGATATGATCTATTTTAGGGAACTCTGAAATCTGTAATTTGACCAGAGTGCCATCAGATGCACTTTGTTCTGTTATCAAACAATTCAACACATATGTACAATTCAATTCAATGTATTAGGAAGCAGAGGAGAGCAGTACCTGCCTTTAGAGGGCCTCCTTTAACAAGAGTCAGGCCAGAGATTGAGACAGTAACTTACATAAACAGAACCAGTTCTAGTAAAAGATGCACCAAGAAGAGCCCTCCTGACTGTATCACACTCCAGCAATTGCCAAAAGAACATCAGAGCATCAGAAATGTCTTAGTTGCCATTGACATCCCTGAGAGTGTTTCATTTGAAAACCTACTTCATATACAGTTAGGAAACTAAGCAGCAGCAGCAGACATCCTTAACCACTTCTGGCTCAGGTGCCATGGGAATCCTGCCTCATTAGGAAGATCAGTTAATTAATCTGTGTCAGTGGGATACCTATAACATGCCCGATGCCAAGGACAGCTTAGTATTGCTCTATTGACTAAGAATTACCAGGCTTAAACCAACAAGGAACTCATCATCTTTGGGACATCAGTTAGGAATGACAGTAATCCATCCCTCTGCAATTCTATGTCAGAAAGATAAGAATCTTCAAATACAGATTTAGAATTGTAGAGCAAATGGAGTTTAAATGGAAAGGAGCTAACATTACTTCAATGCTCTTATATTATGATGAAGGAAACTGAAATCCAGAAAGCTGATTACCTAAAACAAACAAACAAACAAACAGAACAAAACAATCCTTTAATGAAATAGACTGGACTAGATTCCAGGTATTCTGGTTCTCAGGCCAAAGATAGAAACTTCATTGTTTCCTTGATTCTTGCATCTCTTAATTTCCTCATTTATTTCTCTCTTTCTTAATATATAATTCAAAGAAGCTGAATTTGGCAAGCCTCAGCATCTATAAGAAATTGCACATCAGACATTTTTGTTTCTACTATTCATCCTGGAAACCAGCATTTGTGACCATTATTGTTGTTACCATTAGACGTTCAGCAGGGCAAAAGAAATTTTCCTGGGCTAACCAGATAAAAAACAATAACCTGAGCAGAGTGTATATTGCCCAGAATGGTACACAGTTAACTTTTAATAATTACCTTCTTCTCTCTGCCCTTTCCTTGCATTGCTGCAAATGACTCTGATTTCTCCTTTACCTGAAAGTTTTCACCTAGAAACCACCCATGTATTTAAAGTTACTTATCATCATTCAGGGAAAAGATCTAAAGAGATGCTGAAGGCTTGTCTATTTTCCCTCTAAAATATGCTTTCTAATCTCTTCTAAAGTATTGCCTGACAGGGCCATTGGGGGCTGATTCCTAACTTTTAGCCACAGTCTCTAAGAATTAAAATATATCCTAGTTAGATACACATTTTAATTCATCGAATTTTACTTTGCCATACTCTCTTCATAATTTTTGAAGTAAAACACTACAAAGAGATTGTACATCTTTAAATGTCTTCCATCAGCCCCATTCTTCTCCCTCTACATGCAGAGGAAATCTAACTGGGGTATTTCATGTTTTTTTAACAAGTGTTTATGTTATTACTTTATCTGTACATATTCTTAAATTATGTATTATTATTTGCATGTTTAAACTTTGAAACATTCTATCATTTTGTATTGGATATTCTTCTATATTTGTTAAATATTATGTTTAGCAATTTACCAGTGCTGACAGATGAAACTTTAGTTCACTGGCTGCTAAATATTATTTTACTATATGAACATATCACAATTTATCTTTTCTTCTGTCCATTGATGTTTTAGGTTGCTTATAATTTACTCCTATTAAAGATAATACTTAGTAAAGATTTTTCTTCATTTTATATCATGTATTTAAATGAGAGTTCCTCAAAGGTTCACATTCAGAAATGAAACTTCTCATGCGGTAACTGCTTAATTTCTTCTTCGACGTTACCATATCCCGCCAGACTGTTCTTCAAATCGTTGTGACAACTCAAACAACTGCCAACATGTCATGAGAACTTTTTTTGCCAGACCATCTGAGCAACAATTGTTATTGTCAACTTTTTAATTTTCACCAATCTGATGGGTATAAAATAATGCCTTATTGTTTGCATCGGCATTTTATGAATAGCTATTAAAATGAACATCTGTTCAAATGTTTATTAGCCTTTTGGGTGTTCATGTCTGTGAAATACTTGTTAATTTCCTTTATTTTTTCTATTGAAATTTTTGCCTTTTTTTTATTCCTTTAGAGTAGTTCTTTATATATTTTGGATACCTACTCTGTGTTTGTTACGAGTGTGGCAAATCTCTGCTCCGAGGCCATGGTTTACATTTATGTTTTGTTCATGATGTGTATTGATGTCCTGTGTACTTTTTGTTTGTTTATTTGCTTGGCTTTATGTATATCAAAATGGATCAATATTTTCCTTCCTTGGTTTGTAGTTATTTTGTATTATGTAATAAATTCTTCTCTCACCCATTGTGTAGAAATTATCCTGGGTTTTTTTGTGCATGCTTTTCTTTTAAAATGTTTCACTTATATTTCCATTTTATCTAGTGGGATTAACACATACAGTACAATTTTTAATAGGCTCTCAAGGGGATAGCTACACAGTTCAGCATTATGAGGTAATGTTTTGCTATATTCTTTTTATGTAACTTATTGACTTGGATACTTAACGATTTTCAAATTGTTTTTCTTTTGTAATATAAATATTAAAGGCTATATTTTTCCTTATCAATAACACTTTTCTTACATTTCAAGTTTCATTATTATTCAGTACTAAAGTATTTGTAATCACTATGATGTGTTCTGAATTTTTTAAACTATTACTTAAAATACTGAAAAAAAAATTGTGTTTCCAAATAGATGGAGGGTATTTTTTATAACTTTGGGTAAGGGTGACAAAAAGTTACACTTAAGAATGCATAAACAAGGGGCATGAAGTACATAAAGATAGGATGTTCAAATGTGTACAGCTTATGCCACACGTTCCACACTCCGCCATCTCCCTGTGACAGTGGACACGTTTTTCTTCATGCCACTTTTAATGAGCTTGCCTCCCTTTAAGAATCCCAGACTCATGCCTCTATTTCAACTCTCCACTACTCAAATCCCCAAACTCTTAATTCCCGTCTGTATAAACCTCATATGAAAGGCTTAAGCGTCTTTCAAATATAACCCATATCCATCTAACTCCATCCAATGCAGCCACATGGTAAGCCCAGGAACACATCTCTCTGTTCCTCCATTTTTGTTTTTGTTGTTCTCTCTTCATCACTATCTCCTTGAGATACACCTTATGGCTTCAGCTGTCCATTAGAAACAGATTATTGTATGTTGATTTTTATTTTTGTCTGTATGCTGTGATAAAGTTTCAAGTTTTCCTACTATCACTATGTTGCTTTGATCAAATATCTGCTGTTCTATTTTTATTCTTATTTGCCTTTCTATTAATTAAAAATCTTTCCAGCATTGGCACCCATATCTGTCATAGCTCATAGTACTTTCTTTTCTAACTCTAGCTATGTTCAGTAAGCCATCACTCAATTCAGACCTTAGCTACTCTTTGGCTATAATACTTCCCTTTACCTCAGTTTGTGTGTTACCTCCCTATACCTCACTTTCTACCCCAATCTCTTCTTTTTGTCTGGTAGAACCCTGGTAGAAAGGTGATTTAATACTTCTTTTTTTCTTCCCTGCTTTACTCATCTCCCTAGCACCCAGCCTTTCTGGTTACATGGAGAATTCTATCAATCCTGTCACTAGCTAGCAGGGATGGCAACTGAGTTTTATCCTGGAAGTCAATTCTGATCTGAAGGTGCTGGCTGCCAGCCATGTACTTGGAAGAATTCTGCTTTTAAATTGCTGCTTTTGAACTGAGAAGGGGAAGGGGTTTGTGACTGATAGCAAAGGAATAGCATGCCAGGTGTTTTTAAATCACTGCACAGTAACACATTATAGTTTACAATTACTCAAGACATACATAAAAATCCATCAAAATCACTCTGATTTGGTAAGGAGAGAATGCTTTCATCAACATATTGTATTGCCTGCTTCCCAGGTGCCTTTTTTATTTTACTTTCCATTTCCGGGTTATAATTACCAGGTTAGGAAGAGCATGGACTTTGGATTTAGGTATACACTGACTACCATCCTAGTTCTACCAATCACTAACATGTGACTTGGAATTCTTAAATATCTTCTGTCACACATATTATTCAGTCCTTTTATTGACTATTATAAGTTGCACTAGTTTTGTCAATATCCACTATCACAATTATTTACAAATAGCTTGTGAGCACGTTATTATCATTCTTGCTATCAGATGATAAAAATAAGTCTCCCACAATCATATCCTCCTCATCCTACCCAACTATACACTATAATAATTTGTAACTACTTAATTGAGTAACCATTATAGAACTTATAGTTACTTGACAGTAGGGGATATTATCCTCTCATAGGAAGTCACTTTTTAAAAATCATATTATTTCCTGAACTTCAGTAATACAATATATCACACTAATTTAGAATGAATATATATATTTATATATATATCTCCACACACACACATTAATAATATCATTGGTCTATCATAAAATGGCTTCTCTCTGGGATGTTTTCAATGGCTTGCTAGTGTATTTCCTATTCATTAAGATAATTAATAATAATATAATTTCTTGAATGGAGAATGTGGAACAGTTTTACTTTTTCTACAACATGGTAATAAACTATATCAAAAAAAGAATCAGTATATTAGTAAGGGTCAGTCAGGACACACAAAAAAAATACCAGTGAGTTGAATAGGAAAAGTTAACATAAAGGTTTGTTAACTACTAAAAAGTGGTCAACTATGAAAGGATATAATATGCTATGGTTACTATTAAAAGAGTTAAAGTGGACTCTAAGAGGTCAAGAATTAGTGAGCTAAAAGAAACAAAGGCAGCTATTACCACTAAATTGGGGGAGAGAGGGGAATGAAAGAACAAAGAGCAGAGGACTTAGAAGGTCTTCCCTAAGGATGAATTCAGGTCTCTTCAAAGCTGGTACAGCTACCACAGTAACACTCAGTGTGCCAGTCATGAAGAAACCTGTCAGAAGGTGGGAGATGAAGCTGCTAGATAGGCCTGGCACACCAGCTGGGAGACAGCTGCCTGCGAACATGACTGGAACTACTACAAAACTGGTCTCCAGAACTGTTTGTGGAAGGAGCTGGCTTTGCAGGTCACTGGGCCCCCGTGCTAAATAATAAGGAAGCAAGCTCGGTACCCAGAAGGGAGTGTCTTCCTGGAGCCATGGACCTGGCAATGTGCCTCCAGCAGCCCTTATTGACAAAGGCTAACAGCTGGCAAAGGAGAAATGTCATTCCCCTGTCTCCTCCAACTTAGTGGTAATAGCTGCTTTTGTTTCTTTTAGCTCGCTAATTCTTGACCTCTTAGAGTCTACTTTAACTCTTTTAATAGTAACCGTAGCATATTGTATCCTTTCATAGTTAACCACTTTTTAGTAGTTAACAAACCTTTATAAACTTTTCCTATTCAACTCACTGGTATTTTTTATTTTTCTCTGTCTCCTGACTTACCCTGACTAATACCACAGGATATTAGTGGTCCCTCCAGTACAAGTTTGTTGGAAAACTCTAATTTTACAATGTACTTGAAGATATGTGTGATACATTGATGTTGAAAGCCTGTCAAGAATATTTTCATATAATGCGGGTCTTTCACCTATATTTTCTTTTGATGTTTGAATGTTCATAATATGGTTTTGAAGATTTGCTCACAGTGAAAGAGACTTTATTCTAAATTTAGAAACTTTTCTCCAAAGAACATTAACAACGGATTAAGTTTCTTGAGGCATGTGTAACTTTTACAGTGAGATAGTTTCAAACCTTCAAGCTTCTAATTTGAAGATACTTAATTTTTATGTCTTTATATTAAGAAACAATTCTGGAAAAGGCAAAACTATAGAGATAGTAAAAAGGTCAGTTGCTGCCAGGGTTAGGGTGTTGAGGATAAATAGGCAGAGCACAGAGGATATTTAGGGCAGTAGAACTACTTTGTGTGATACTATATATGCTAGATACATGTCATTATGTATTTTCCCAAAGCCATAGAATATACAACACCAGGAATGAGTCCTGATGTAAACCGTGGCCTCTGGGTGATAATGACATGTCAAAGTAGGTTCCTCAGTTGTAACAAATGTGCCACTCTGGTGGGGAGTGTTGGCAGTGGGGGAAGCTATGCATGTGCAGGGGCAGGAAGTGGATGGAAAAATCTGTGTACCTCAGTTTTGCTCAATTTTGCTTTGAAATTGCTCTAAAAAATAAATCTTATTAAAAAAATAGTGGATATGTATGCCTTCATGGAATTAGTTTTAACCCAACTAAGTTGGTTGAGGCGATTCTCCTGCCTCAGCCTCCTGAGTAGCTGGGATTGAAGGCGCTCCACCACACCTGGCTAATTTTTGTATTCTTAGAGGCGGGGTTTCACCATGTTGGCCAGGCTGGTCTCGAACTCCTGACCTCAGGTGATCCACCTGCCTCTGCCTCCCAAAGGGCTGGGATTACAGGCATGATTACACTAAAGCCTTTATGAGCACATTCTCTAAAACCAAGGGGAGAATTTCTATTGACTACCCCTTTTTAAGGTGATTTCAAGGCAATATATTAAGAACTGGAAAGTTGCTTTGGATTGCTGAATGGATTATCATCCCTAGGTAAAAGTGGCGACATATTCTTCTATAAAACTCTTTCGGTTCTAAAAATTTTTTCTCAAAGGCATCCTAGGGCCCTTTTTCAAGGGAACAAATCTAGAAATTGGCATTATTCAATCATGAAAGATAAGCAAAAATACTCAGTTAATAGACTCTGCTACTTAAAAAATAATAAACATTTAAATTACTAAACTTCAATCAATCTTATCTGATCTTGCCAATCAGCTCAAGAATTGTCTGCCTAACATTTAAATGTTATAATGTATTCCCACATTGGGTGGTTTCCAGAGAAATCTATCTGCCGTCATTTCACTGATCCTTAAAAGTCTACTATTTAAGTGATTCATTTAACTCATGGATTTGGACACTCTTAAAACATAGACATTTTAGGAATAGAAACACTAAGAAAGTCATACTTTATTTCCTTTTGTTTTATTTTTTGTATAAATGTGGTGCAAATATTTTCCTGATAAGGAAAACGAGGAGAAAGAATGAACACTGGCACACTAAAAGGGCTTGCAAGTGAACCCTGCACAAGTGGTAAGTGGTTTCAAAATTAAGGGAAGCAGAGGCCAAAAGACCAACAAAAACTTGACAAGTTTGTCTGCATTTGGGATTCCCTTCTTTTTTTTTTTTTCCTATGGGTAAGCTATATTTATTGATTTGGAAACGTGTCCATGCTATATTAAAGAACCTTGAAATTTGCAAAGTAACATCTATCATAATAATCACACATTTGCAAATCAATTCCACGTAAACTTATGCAAGCTCAGAAAAGTTACTGACAACTATACCACAAATACTACTTATCCAACCTAGATCCTGGGGAAGGTGGATATACATGGAAAGCAGAAGTGAGAAAATGTATTCCATTCCATGTCATTTTTCTGAATCCTCAACATAGGAAGTTAAACTAAAACATGGGGCAGAATCTGCTTTAAGCCTTTGAATTCTTGGCTCTTAAAGGTTGAGGGTTGTGTGTTTTTATTCTTTTAAATCTCCTTTTCACTTAGGCTTGGCAACTAGATCATTGAAACAGAGCCAATAAGAATGAGTGAGTCACTCAGTGATATGAAGCAAGTTGTGGTCATTTATCTATTATCTTCCATTCTTACTTCTTGGGATTTCCTTCTAAATCCCAATACCTATCACCTGGTAGCGACTGTTGAAGTAACAGTGGCAATTAACAAGTAACATGTTTATAATTCCTTATAATGTTTTGTTGTTTGTTTGTTTGTTTGTTTTGAGACAGAATCTTGCTCTGTCTCCCAGGCTGGAGTGCAATGGCACGATCTCGGCTTACTGCAACCTCCGCCTCCCAGGTTCAAGCGATTCTCCTGCCTCAGCCTCCCGAGTAGCTGGGATTAAAGGCGCTCCATCACACCTGGCTAATTTTTGTATTCTTAGTACAGGCAGGGTTTCACCATGTTGGCCATGCTGGTCTCGAACTCCTGACCTCAGGTGATCCACCTGCCTCTGCCTCCCCAAGGGCTGGGATTACAGGCGTGAGCCACCATGCCTAGCCCTTATAATGTGTTCTTACAAGTATGAAGAAATCAGTATGGCAGCAAATGAAAAATAGTAATTTTTATTAAAAATTGCTTAACTCATCTTGCAGAGTATAAAGGATCTTTGAGGCAGTGGGTATGTTTGTATTTGCTTTATTCAATATCTGTTATAATATTCCCATCTCTCTGAGGGCCTGCTCCTTTCACTTTAAAGAGCTAGACATTTTTTGAATTAATGTTTTTATGATTATATGAGGTTAATCTTTTTTTCCTGTTTAATTCTCCAATAGAATCAAGTGTGTGTGTGTGTGTGTGTGTCTGTGTGTGTGTTTATTTTATTTTAATTAGCTGTTTTGGGGTGATACAAGGGAAGAAGTATAAGAAATAGTGGGTATGGAGATGAGAAAGGGGAATATAAATATAGTGTAGCACTGAATCTTGGCCAGCTGGTTCTCCATGTTCTTTAAGTTTTAGGCACTTTTCTTGATTTAGACAGTCCATAACATATACATATTTCAAAAGAACATGTTGTATATGACAAATATGTATAATTTTCATTCATCACTTTAAAACATTTTTTAAAAAAAGATATTACCATTGAGGGAAACTGAGTAATAGATATAAGAGATCTCTTTGCATTATTAATTACAAGTGTAGAATCTACAATTCTTTCAAAACAAAATGTTCACAAGAGTAAAAGATAATACACGTTTTCAGATTAAAAACCAATTATTAATGCTAAATGGATGAATATGGTATTCACCTTCACTGCGGTGGTAGTTTCTTATGTCAAAATATATCAATGCTAAATGATGCAAAAATAATTATAGTCATCATTGTCTTTAACTATAGCAATAAAATTGGACTACCAAAAAATAGTAATTAAAAAGTCAGCCACTTTTATCCAAACCCCATCTAGGTCTGCCAACGCTTAGGCCACTTCGTTTATTGACATCCTGGGCCACTGCTGCCGTAGCCAAATCCCACTGTCACCCCTCCTACCCCTGCACTGCTTTTTCTAGCATTTGCCTATCCTTTTTTTATTCCTTTAGGGTCCCAAGGTAACAACTAACAAGCTTATAGATGAGCTATACCAGAAGATAGCTACAACCCTCATTCCAAGTCTATATATTTTATGTAGCTTCTGCAATCAATACCCAATTTTTGTTTTCATTAAAAAACAACAAGGTTTTAGGCCCAGGTAGGGGAGGTGTTATAAAGATACAAAGTTGGACAGAACTATCTGGGGTCAAACAGAGGCCATAACTACCCCCTTGCTTCTATACCCAGACTATCTTCGTGAGCATCTTAAAATGCTTACATGCCCGAGGGAAATATCTTGGGCGATTTAAACAAGGTAACTCATTCCCCAAAGTTACAATTACAAAATTTACTTATAGAACACATTTTTGAAACATTTTTTAAAATCAGATTGCATTTTTTCTTTGGTTGGACATTTAATGCATTTGTTGTTCACTCCAGGAAACTGGCTAACCTCAGAGGGAAAAAATTCTCAAAATAGCCATGATTTTTGGAAGCTAGATAGAGAGAGAAGAAAGCAGACTTGATTGCTCCATATAAAACTAAGTAAAAAAGGATGTTATCAGCAATTAACTATAAAGCTTGATTCTAAAGAAAAAAATAATCAAAGTAGAAACATTTTTAAAAAGATGAAAACACTACTGCGAGCTCCACAGGGCTTGGAATTTCCAACAGGCCAGAATCAATTCATATTTTCTTGTATCTAGGCAGTATTCAGCTTTCAGCAGTTTTATGGGGATGTGGGAGATACAACTGCTGAGAATATATTTAAAAATTAGAAGAAGCCAGAATGACCTGAGAGGTTTCAGTTCTCTCTCTTCCCCCTCAACCCCTTCTCTCTCCTTGTGCTTTGCTAATAAGTTATCACCACAGGCCAAAAATGGAGATGAAACATCACAACGCACAGCTTCATTAAAAATCAAACAAAATCCAATTGCTTGCAGTATTCATGACAAGATGTATGATTAACTGCTAAATCACTCGGAAGAGGGGCAACCTAAAGAGAAATAAATATGCTGGGTGACAACCTAGAGGAAAACACCAACCACATAAACAAAGAGTCTTTCTGAATTTGAGTTAGGGATGGTAAAAAGGAAATGATATTTTATTAGAAAGAAACATTTTTTTCATTAAAATAAGAGAAAAACTAATATTTAGCAGAATTTTCATAAGGTCTTCTACTAATGTATTTCCTCGTAATTCCAGAGTTAGGAAAGCTAGGATGGTCAAACATATGCTCAATTATTTAGTGAGGTGAGGTATGTAACAGAGAAAACTACAAAGAAGGAGGAAGATTTGTGTCAGTATCAGGCAAAAAGAGAATACCAAAGACTTGTGTTAGGAATAGACTGAACAGCCTTAGAGACATCATAGCTTTGGGGTAGGAGTCGAGGCATAGGTCTGCAAACAAATTCTCAGGCTAATTTATTATGATACAATTATAATAGATAAGGATTTCTTTCAAATTGCAGTGCCTACTCAGATTTTTCAGTCTGTTATGGTGAAGACATAAGTTCTAAAATCATAATTATGGTTAAGAGATGCAGTAATATGTGAAAATTTAGTGGCATCTGCCACAAATGATAGTTCTGTTTGTTTCTTTATGTTTTATCTATTTTTTAAAAATGCCATAGCTGTGACAACAAATCATTACAGTTTCTGACCTCCTAACAAACGGAAACAACACATGATAATTGTTTTCTAGTTTATCCATTCTTAGTCTCCCATCCTTACTTGTGCCTTACAATCCAGAAATTGGCCACATAATGCTTAATATTACCCTTAGTGTGGGATCGTGTACTTTGCCCCTTCCTTTCTGGTGAATGTTAACAATTTCCACCCCCGTTCAATGAAACTGTGAGGGTTTTTTCAATCTATAAGCCATTCTACCTCATGGACTATCATACAGACACTGTAGGAAATGATTGCAGCTGTCAAATATGGTGGCTCTGAAGTTACAGAGTAAAGGATAAATTAGCCCAGCCTGTCTTTCCATTGCAATTCGTTAATGCTATTGAGCATGCAATCCCTGGCAGATTTACAGGTGGCAGAATAAAAGATTAATTGTTTTACTTTATTTATGCTTGGAATGTAACTGAAGGACTAAGTAATTTGATTCCCATCCGTAATCTGTTTCCTTTTGTCATTTCCCAACACCTGTCATTCTGCTAATTCATCTTTCTGCTTATAAGTGTTAGGCAGTTGAAGGAAAACATCTACTTTTTATTCACTAATGTTGTACTAGTAACTTGGGAAACTTTCCTCTTTGCATTTGATTTTCCCTTAGTAGGAAATAAAAGATACTTTCTAAGACTGCAGTGTACTGGAGGATTTTTTTTTCTCTTTTAAATTATATTATAATATAAGAGATAGGTATAGGTAGAGGGAAAGAAAAATAAGGAAAAAAAAAGTTACTACTACAAAAACCTCTCGTCCTTCACCACTTACTGTAGTTTAGCCCTTGGCTAGATCCAGTAGCAAGGATTATGTAGGTGTGAAAATATAAATCTATGTTATTCTTTAATTTTTCTTGTCTCAAGCCAAATTTTTCAAATTTTCTTTTATTTTCTTCTATCTTGAATCTGTAGCATTTACATATTTAAAAATACCATAGAATGCCAATCATCCTATCTGACAATCATCCTCATCCTAATCCTGCACCATGTTCATAAAGAATGTGCTCTCCCATATCCCTGGAAGGGGCAAGCCCTGTGTACTATATGACCCTACTCACTCGGTCACTGCTTATGTAGCTGAGAAGTGTTATTACTGTTCACATAGTAATCTGCTATTACCTACAGACACAGCTTTTTATCAAGGTATAAATATCCTAAATGTCATGATTGGACACGCCCTCATAGTCTGAATTCAAGGACCTACTGCTTCCACATGCTAATGGCCTTTCTCTAAAAGCCAAACAATCTCTGTCAGTCTCCTACTCAGACCTCAACAATCTTTCCAAGTGAATACAATGTCTGACTAAAAGGAGTTAGATCTTCCTGCAAAGGATCATAGGCTCTCTCAGTTTTGACATCAAACTTGAGTTCTCTTTCTCTCCAAGCCTTTTTATTAAAAAAAAAAATAGTCTTAATGAAGGTGTATTTTATTTTCACTTCTCCTTTATTTCTTAGTGAACTTGCCAACTTCAGATGATGGAATGTGATGAGCTGGAGGAAGAGCGGAGAGATGAAACTAGCCAGATGATCAAAGATCATATCATAAAAGGGACAATGCAATACAAGTTTGTACATTATCATAGAGCTAACAAGAAGAAGAAAGCATTTTAAAATAATAAGTGGGCTGGGCATGGTGGCTCACGTCTATAATCCCAGCACTTTGGGAGGCCGAGGCAGGTGGATCGCAAGGTGAGGAGTTCAAGACCAGCCTGGCCAAGGTGGTGAAATCCTGTCTCTACTAAAAATACAAAAAAAAATTTGCTGGGTGTGGTGGCAGGCACCTGTAATCCCAGCTACTCAGGAGGCTGAGATGGAGAATTGCTTGAAACTGGGAGACAGAGGTTACAGTGAGCCGAGATGGTGCCACTGCACTCCAACCTGGGCAACAGAGCGTGACTCCATCTCAAAAAAACAAAAAAGTAATAATGATAATAATAAGTGATCAAATTCATGACATAGATAATTTTGACAGCCGTGACAAGGATAGTTTAGGAAAGATAGTTTGGACAGTAGAAGGAAGATCACAAAAAGAGGCAGTTGCAGCAATTCAAGAATAGATATGAAGAGATTACATTAAGGAAACAATGTGAATAGAGAGGAGGTCATAGATTCTAACAATATTATCATTAATTGAGTTAGAGTATGTTCTCATTGATATATGAGATAAAGAGGAGGAATAAAATGGAAATAACCCCCACCCAAGTGTCTGACTTTTGTTCTTGGAAGGTAAGCAAGATAAGAAGTTTTAGTAATGAGTTCAGTTGAGGTAAGTTGATTTCAAGATTTGTATATTTGAGTGGAGGTATCTAATAGAAAGTTGTATGTTTAGTTAATTAGATTAAGAGATATAAGCCTAAAATAAAGATTTCAAGCCATTAACATTTATGTGCTCATTGAAACCATCATTTTTATTTCATATTTTATTTTATATTTCATATTTTTACGTCGTAACTGAGAGACTGCAACGGCCATTGAAGCCATTCTCAGATATTCTGGTTTCCCCTTTTTTGCATATTATACTATTATACTTACTCACTTCATTTGAAGTTAGGTTTGACCACATTACTTACTTGAGCCAACAAAAAAGGGAGAGATTTACGCTTCTTTGGAACAGAAACTTTGAAGTGTTGATGCATAATTTTCCATGTTCTGTTCCCTTTGCCACTGTGACTAGGTGTATTCCAGGTATTGGAGGCTCTGTAAGCCTATGGATCTGAATAACAACAATGGGAAGGAGACCTTTGGTCGAATTGATATGATCATATAGTGTGAACAAAAAAGAAAGGTTGTATTAAGCCACTGAGACTGTCGGGGTATTTAGTTGTGACTTGGCTTATCCTGAATTGACAGAGTGACAAGGAAGATCCAGGGACAGAATCTCAGAAAACAGTAGCTTGTAAGCAAGAGGTATTGAGAAAAGACAGAATAAATAGTCAGAAGAGGTAGGAGGAAGGAGAACATGAAAAAGTAAAAAAAAAAAAAAAAAAAGTAACTGAAGCCTAGGGAAAACAAAATTTCCCAGTAAGAAGGAAGAGTGGATGATGTGGGCACTGATTGCTACCCTTGGCAAGAGTCATTTAGATAGAGTGTGATGTGGGCAAATCACCAATTGTAATGTGCTGAGAAATGAAGGAAGGTAAGGAAGAGACCTAAATTGTACATTGTACTTTTAAGTAGCTTGGCTCTCTTTGAAAGGAAGAAAAAAAGTATTATGCTTTTGGAAATGGAAAAAAGACTGGAAAAATAATTTGATTGTGGTGTTTATGGATGAGCAGCACTAGACCATATTTGTAAGCTAAGAGCAAAGAGTAGAGAGGGAGAGGCTGAAGGGACAGACGAGAAAGGGTAACACATGAGCACATACATGTAAGAACGGAGTGAAACCTGGTTCACTTTCAGTGAAAAAACTGGCTCGGGAAAATAATAAAGGAGGGAGTTTGTATGCCCACTCTCATAAAAGACAGCGTTCAAGGAGACTTAGCTGTAATAAATCCATTCATTATATTCTTCTTTATTGAGTTCACTTTGTGAACCAGACGCTGTAGTAGAACGGAATATGCAAGAATGCCACTGAGTTTTTTTAAGGATACAAATAAAGCTGCTATTCCCTACCTTGGCATTTTGAAAACTGTGGATCTTCCACATTCATCCTCTTATCATGTAGAAAGAAAGTAGCTTCATTTTGAGATTAGCTGCATTTATGGCTCATTTTTTCCTCACAGGACTTGATGTTCATGGTGGAAGGGGTGGGAGTGCAGTGGTGTTTGTTTAAGATTTACTAAGCAGGCAGATTATTTTTTAATTTCTTGCTGTTATAAAACACCAGTGCCTCCCTGATCCTTAGGGAATGTATGGATACAACATTAAGTTTATCTTTTGAAAATTATCATATTATGAATCTGATTAGATTCAGTTCTTGTTCTCAATATATTGTTCTGTTCCCTGTTGGAGCTATTTACTATGTATATTTGTTCTTGGAAGCAGTGTACTGCATAAATATTAAGGGTATTTGAAAAAAAATTCCACATGTTTATTTGCATTGAGTTTTTAAGTGATTACTGTGCTAATCCAATGTTTATAATTATTTTAGATGAGAATTAATGAGTTTTGGGCAAAGGCTTGTAAGTTTTAAAGTTCATTTCAAATGTTCTTTTATGTTGGTATATAGAACACCCCCAAGAAATATGCTAATGCTTTCCTAACACTATTATTTTGATATATGATCAGAAATTGTATAATTCTTTGTCATTTAGATTTGTCTTTTAAATTTTTTCAATATATTAAAAGAATTTATGTTTCAGGAACTCTTTGGAGTTGACTTTGTAAGGATTATAAAAGAAACTAAAGTGATCCAAAGTTGTTTTTCTTATTTTGTCATCAGGAAACTGCTTTAATTGACTCTCCTGTAACTTATCCTTCCAAAAAATAAAATAATTCTAGTTTCTAATGTACGACTATGACATTACTCACCCAGAAGTGTCCTGATTATTTGATTCTATGAGCATGAAAGTTATTCAGTAAAAATTATAAAACAGTACGATGGCAAAGCTAACCTAGAAATTTGAAATTTTAAAATAAAATAGAAAATGTTACATAATAGCTCAGTATGAGAAAAGTTATGTGATATTTCAACGTTTCTAGCTAACTATTCCTATCTACTTTATTGCCATGTTTAACATTTTTATCAGCATACTTTTGTAGTCCATAATAACTATGTTGTTAGGAGATACCATGGAAGGAATTCTAGTTTTAGGTACAAAGCTTAATGAGTTCTAAGGTACTGTCCAATACCAAGATTTGATGATTCCATGAATTCTAATTCTCAGCCCTTAATTGTCTGATCTTCTGGCAGATTACTCCACATTATTTTAGATGTGAGGAGACTCCCTTAACCATTTCCCTGAACTTTGCCCTTCTCAACTGAATTACTAAGTGTTAATCCCATTTTAATTACTGAGTTTATAATTTATGTTGGGAAATAAACTTAGTTACTTATACAAAGTAGACTAAACAAGTTCTTTTGAAAACGATCTCAGAGGGTAAATTGTAGGATTGATATGCTGCCATTCTCCTTTAAAATTTAATGAACAATATTTGAAAAAATACTAGGGGAGTTCTACTAAAATGACCAAATAAACTCCTACCAGACACATCTCCCAGCAGATACAAAATATAAACTCTGGACAAAGTACAATAAAACACTACTTGCAGGTTCTAGAGCATCAACAGCAGCAGAGCAGGGAGATTCTAGAGGGGGAATCTAAGACTTCACAAGGTATTCCCATGGGGGTACCTTTTTCATTGTTTTCAGCTTTAATTCTTAGAGATTTCATGGCAAACCACAGCCACGGGATTATGAGGAAATCCATGAACTAAAATAACAGATGGCAAAACCCACTCATTGTGTATATTCTCTACCTAAGTCTCTACCAGACCTAAACCACACATACATGGAGCATATTGTGAATAGTCAGCTAAGGAAAAGCGGGTGGGGGGATTATGCTTGAGCTCTTTGGTCAGCTAGCAGCCACCACCTGTACTATTCTTCCTACTATAAAAGTTGTGTGATTACTTAGTATGCCATCAATAACCTCAGCCTGAAGTTTGCCTCCAATCACACATTCATCAAAGAGCCTAGATAACTTGAAACTTAGACAATGATAATGTATCTTTGAAGGAATTCACCAAATATTTGTCTTCAATCCTATGAAGAAAGGGTACACAGAGAGACTAATGGAGCTGCAAACTTAAAAAAAAAAAGTGGCTCACGTTTCCTTTAGACCATCAAGAGACTAAAGTCTGACAATGGTGAAAATGAGCTGTGTGAAATGAAGAGTGCCTTATTCTTGAAATAATACACTAATCAATCATCCTGGGTGCATAAATCAATTGAACTGTCAAAATGTATATTGTATAATTCATTCGAAGCCCATTACCTGAAAGAACAAGTAAAATGCATTTACAAACTTGAAGATCATGTAACCATCTTGTGCAAGATGGTAGTAAGCTCTGCCTAAGTATATGATGGATGGATAGATAGATAGATAGATAGATAGATAGATAGATAGATACAGATTTTTTAAACAAGAAAATCTTGAGGAACAAAAAGAAAGAAAACTAACCATGCAGCTGGCTACTCCTCTCTGCCCAAAGAAGAAAAAGTAATAAGATCCATGTGCTGTAATGAGGTAAAGAATCAGACATAAAATATTCATGTATAATTGGATTTTTGTCTTTAAATCAGCATACAATTTTAGTGCCTGATAAGCAACAGCAGAACTTTAACATTGATTGATAGTCAAGAGAATTGTCAAGTTACTAAAAGTGCTCCATACACTGGCACAATGAACAACATAGCTCAGGCACAACAGTTAACAACTACCAAGTCAAACAGACCTATCATTGGGAGGAGGTTGGAGGAGGGCAAAATGATAGCGCCCTTGTTCTCAAGGAAGGTAGATTTTACAAGAGAAAAACAAATACATTCTCAAATAAATAATAAATGGTAAAAGAAAGGTAAATGCAAGGTAGTTTGAATGGTACAATGTTGGGAGTGATTAATTTGGGTCAAAAATGTTGCTGAAGAATCAAGAGTGGATTTGGCATTTAAACTTATGGATCTTAGAGGTGTTTGTATACCACTAAAGTAGAAGATCTGTCGTTTTTGAGAAATGCCAAAAGTTGTTTAATTATATCTATGTTCTCTTATAGAATGAGTTATTCATAAGCTCATTTGTTCTTATTAATCTGATTATAATTCTACCACTCATCTGTTTCATAGTCACTTAATTTGATCAAGAAATGCTTGGAGTAATAAACTCACATTTAGTTTATGCATTAATTTGTGAAGCATTTCTTGAGTGCTTACTATATGTCAGTCCCTGCACTTTTCTGATACCAGCAACACCAATAAGTAATCTAGTCATTGCTTTAACAGCTGCAGGCACGAGAAACGACAATTCTAGCTGACAAAATACCTTTTCATTACGTTTGAATGAAACATGCCTCCCAGTATCTTCATTCATTCATCTAACAAATATTTCAGTAACTATTATGTGACAGGCATTATATAGGACAAAAAGGATGAAAATTCATTTAATTCCTGTTTCTGTTCCCAGGGAGCTAACACTGATTTATTCTGATTCTATTATGAATTACATAAACGGGGGTTCCCAATTTTGGCTGTCTAATTATACTTACCTGGAGATATTTTTAAAATGCAGATTTTCAGGAGACACCCCTAATTCTTTTTATTCAATAGTTCTGGGATAGGTTCCTGAAATCTCTATTTTGTCAATTTTATAAGTGATTCCAGTTTCTTCCGATGAAAAAATCTCTTTTTCACATTATAGCCATTTAGACATGTGAAACAGATATTCTTCCCCACCTCCCCACCTTCCTTTTCCTCTTCTGTGCATCATGTGTCAGAGTTTTAAGTCTTGCAATTATTATGATCAAAATCATTCAACCAACAACTTGACAATCTTGTTGTTATTTTATTAAAATACACTTGGCCATGTCAAATCTGCAAGATAGAACTATTGTCTGTTGTTGTTGCTGTGGTTTTTCTGTCAGCATTTAGATATTCAAACCTAACAGAATATTAATAGTACCACAAAAGGGAATTAATTTGGCCTCTATTTGCCTGGTATTGTGGTCACTAAAAAAGACTGTAGCTTGCAATATACCAAAAGATATTTTAGAAGTATGCTAACTAATATATGCAGGAATATATAACTCTTTTCAGAGACTTTTAAAACACCTGCTTACAAATATTAATTATGCTAACCCCAAATTAACATTTTTTTCATTAATGTTTACCCCCCCTTTAACAAAACTATGGTTTTATTTTATTTTTAGATTTTAACTGGAGTGGGAGGGGAAGGGATCTTAAATGGAAAATAGTCTTAGTACAAAATGATTTTAACCATGTGGTACACTTTTGTTTTTTAAGTAAAAAGCTGAGTTAAAATAATGAAAACAGCTAGTGTCAACAGAACCTTGTGAGTTAAACAATATTTGCCTTAAATCAGCAAAAATGGACTGTGGACATGAAGGACCAGCAGTGTTTAACTTTCCACTTTATATAACTGTAATTTCTCCTTTTTGATTTTCAGAGACTGTGCATCACAGCAATTTAGGAGTGTCGCTGCTGCATCATGAATGCTGAGACATCCTTGTGGACACCAGCTGAAATGAATCATGGTTCCACAGCGAATCCAGCCATGCTACCCTGACACAGGCCTGATTTAAATCACCACTTTCACCTAGAGGGTCCACTGCTGCCCAATAGCATCCATAAAAGAATCTGTCAGAAATTAAACTCTGTGTGTGTTTTGGGGGTGAGGGACAGAGAGTGATACCAAGATAAGCTAAATAAAGAGCTTCTCTGAGATGATTCAGGTAAAACCGTATTTTAAGGCTGAACATTGCAGAGCCAAAAAGCTTCACCATTGAGAAGCTACCCACGTGGCACCAAAATGTTCAATAAGGATACAAATTAGACATGAAAGTCTGACAACTCCTGAAGACATGGTAGGGAAAAGCATTTCATCTAAACAGAGATAGAAATTTCTCTCTTAATACATTATTTTACATTCATAAAAATACACATTTGTTATCACTGATAACTATTTCAAACTTTTGGGTAAATCATACACATATTTTAAAAAGTACTTTTATGGACTACAAGTTGTGAGGTTTTATTGTAGATTTTTCAAAAATATTTTCATTAAAGAAAAAATTAAGACTTCAAAAAGTACCTTTTTACCTGTACTTATAATAATATATGCTTTGCTAAAATATACAATATTTTTGTTAAAGAAAGTGTATTCCTGTGAAATTATTAATAAAAAATTATTAAAATAGTAAACATACTGAAATAGTATCCGTTGTTAAGTACAGTGCCTTGATTTAGAGGAATAAAGGCCAATGTTACTTTCTCATTTATTTTAATGCAATAAAAAACCTTTCCTTAGTAGAAATAAATTTACTTTAATAATTTAGTTACATTATAATCATTTTATGCTCACCATTCTTCTGTCATTGTCATTTTAAGATTGGTGTCCTTAAGGGATAGCTGCTTTCTGTCTTGATCTTTCTCATCTATCCTTTCTTTCCTGACACAGACTTAATTTTCATTAAAAAGAAAAATCCCTGTTCCACTAGACTATTACTAACATTCTCCTCAAAGCATGCAGGAGTCTGGGGCATAATGCTGCCTAATCCCCAGTATTTCCTAAGGGCTGGAAAAGAAACCAGTTAACCATCCAGACACCCACCATTGGTAGTGAATGAATGAATAATAATTACAATATCTTGTGGTATGCCTAAAAGTCAAGAACAAATTCCTCAGGATCAGCACATTATTCTTGAAATATTCGGCTTTTCCCACCTATAGCTGCTATGCATTGGGCTAGCTAGTCATATGTAAACAAACAGTTTGCACCTCAGATTTAAAACACGTTGCTCTCACTACAGGAGTCAGAATTTTCAGCTGTCACTTAACCTGAACGAGCTATTGTTTCCACCATATGCAGTGTGCCTGAATGAACAAATAGTGGCTACCTTCATTTAGCTCTATGGATCAAGTTCTATCAGCCTCATCCTCACCATCCTCATTATTATTAAGTAAAACGTGGTTAATGTCTTAGAGTAGATAGTGCTTTATAGACACACTTTCATTTCACCACCATCACAATCATGAGCAGGAAGAATTGAGGTTCCACTGGTTTAATAAACACAAATTCAAGTTCTGACCAACAAGTTTATTTTATTGACTTAACACAAAGCTAATCCCCGGCAAAATCATGAATTAGCAAATTTTTTACTTTGCTAACTTGCTTTCATGAAGTTTTGTTTTCATTATTCCTCCTTGTCTTTGCCCCATTTCTTCCTCTGACCTCTCTTTGATTTGTTTCCTCTTCCTCGATACCAAACCTCACTTCTTTCACTTCTGTTTAATACATTTATGCAGCCAACAAACATATGAAAAAAAGCTCACCATCACTGGTCATTAGAGAAATGCAAATCAAAACCAAAATGAGGTACCATCTCATGCCAGTTAGAATGGCGATCATTAAAAAGTCAGGAAACAACAGATGCTGGAGAGGATGTGGAGAAATAAGAATGCTTTTACACTGTTGGTGGGAGTGTAAATTAGTTCAATTATTGTGGAAGACAGTATAGCAATCCCTCAAGGATCTAAAACTAGAAATACCATTTGAGCCAGCAATCCTATTACTGGGTGTGTTCCCAAAGGATTATAAATCACTCTACTATAAGGACACATGCACATGTATGTTTATTGCAGCACTGTTCACAATAGCAAAGACTTGGAACCAACCCAAATGCCCATCAATGATAGACTGGATAAAGGAAATGTGGCATATACCATGGAATACTATGCAGCCATAAAAAAGGATGAGCTCATGTCCTTTGCAGGGACATGGATGAAGCTGGAAACCATCATTCTCAGCAAACTAACACAAGAACAGAAAACCAAACACAACATGTTTTCACTCATAAGTGGGAGTTGAACAACAAGAGCACATAGACATGGTGTGGGGCAGGCATCACACACCGAGGCCTGTCAGGGAGTGGGGGCCTGGGGGAGGGATAGCATTAGGAGAAATACCTAATGTAGATGAAGTGTGCAGCAAACCACCATGGCACGTGTTTACCTATGTAACAAACCTGCACGTTCTGCACATGTACCCCAGAACTTATCATTATTTTGTCAGGACACCATCTGGCATGCCTCAAGCTGTACCACGTTAGTAGGCTCTCACCTCAAGCAGCTTTGATCTTATGCTGCTTTTCAATTTATGGGATAGTAAATGTTCAAGAAATTGACAGATATCTCATGGCCAATAAACCAAAACAAGTCAAGGAATGTACAGATTGAATAATTATGGGTGGCGATAACTAGAATGAAAGGAAGGAGAGCAATAAATAATAAATCTCCATAGCCAGGCATAGTGGCTCACTCCTGTAATCTCAGGACTTTGGTAGGCTAAGGCAGGTAGATCCCTTGAGCCCAGGAATTCAAAACCAGCCTGAGCAACGTGGCGCAACCCTGTGTCTAAAAAAAAAAAAAAAAAAAAAAAAAAAAAAAAATTCAGATGTGAGATGTGGTGGCACACAGCTGTAGTCCCAGCTACTCAGGAGGCTGAGGTGGAAGGATCACCTGAGACCGAGGAAGTCAAGGCTGCAGAAGCCGAGATCCTGGCACTGCCCTCCAGCCTGGGTGACAAAGCAAGACCCTGTTTCAAAAGAATAATAATAATAATAAATCACAATAAAGGAGAGATCCTTTATTGTGATTTGGGAATAAGAAAAGGAACAGATTATTGATAAATAAAAGGAAGGTAAGACGCTTATTATAAGTTATTTTAATAAACTCCGTGTTGTAAAGAATCAAATTTGGTTGAGTTATCTCAAAACAATGCTGGACAAAAAGTGGAGATGCAGAATGTAAAAAAAAAGTGCACTATTTATTTTGGGCTTAACTCAACTTTTCAAGGAAAGAATAACAATATGTGGGGAAAGAATAAACCACTATTTAAAATGAAAGAGATTATGAAAGTCTTTTCTTATCAGTTTAGTGCATCCGTCTCTGCAACAGAATCACAAATTCCCAGGCTAGAGTCCAGGACTGTCAGAATTGAAGTCTCTAGGAGTGGAACTAAGGTATCTTAACTTCTTGAGCACAGATAATTCATAGTCACATGAAAGATTAGAACTACTGGTGTAAGGGATACTCCCAGCAGTAAGCTATAGGAAAACTAGAAATGTGTTAATTACTTGTGAAATTTCATATATATTTACATATTTGTAGATACATTTATGTGTGTGTGTGTGTGTATAAATATATATATACACACACACATCCTTGTGGAGTAAAATGTATATTGATTGTCACTTATTATTTCTACTAAACTTGGAAATAATCAGTTTCAGCATTTATCCAAGCTACTTTAAGTCATAACTTTTCTAAAATATTTGGTGAAAATTATTGACTCACTGTCAGTACACAATGTCAGTGGCTTCTCATATTTGTGATTATCATATATATTGCCCCCTCCTCTTCCCTCTGGCAGGTGAAAAGGTCTTGAGCATCTTATTTCCTAAAATATTCTGTTGGATAATTTTCTTTTTAAAAGCACTCAACTGCCTATTTTTTATATAGCTGCAATGTGGATTAAATGACAAAGTGGAAGAACCTGAAATACAAAATGTGAACTCAGAGGACAAGAATATTTCATGTCAAGGACAGACTAGAAGACACTGAATTCAGTAATGACAGACCATTCAACAGTTTCTAAAAGGATTTTTTTTATCCCTAGTAAAATGTAAATTACAGCAATCTCTTTTCAAAAAGTCTGCAACATAACAAAATTGGCTTTGGGTAGATATAAAAGTAGTGATTCCCTGATATATGATAGTGCCAAATTAGATTTTATTCTCTTTGGAAGGATTTTTTTCTCCCTTTGGTAGAAAAAAAGGGTAAGGGAAGGTCTTTTAAATATATTAACAGGAATTAAAACCAAAAGCTTCACTGAAAATTGGAGACAGGAAGCATTTATTTTTAAAAATAGATTTTTAAAATAAAAAATAGAAATATTATTCAAATTCAATCTAAACATATATAAACTCAATCTAATATATCAAAATAACATATTGTGATTTGTCCTTGAGCAAACATCATAGAGTGTACTTACACAAAGTATAGCCTACTAGATGGTATAGCCCACTACACACCTAAACTGTGTGGTATAGACTATGGCTCCTAGACTATAAACCTGTACCTCATACTTCCCTGAAAACTATAGCCAATGCAACACAATGGTAAGTATTTGTATATCTAAACATAACTAAACAGAAAACGTGCAGTAAAATATGGTATAAAAGATTTTAAAAAATGGTACATTTTTATAAGGCACTTACTATGAATGGAGCCTGCAGGACTGAAAGTTACCCTTGGTGATTAGTGAGCGAGCAGTGAATGAATGTGAAGGCCCAGAACATTCTGTACACTAGTATAGACTCTATAAACACCGCCCACTTAGACTACAGTAGACTTACTTTTTAAAGTTTTTTCTTTCTTTAATAACAAATTGACTTCAGCTTACTGAATTGTTTTTACTTTTATAAACTTTTTAATTTTAAAAAACTTTTATTCTTTTGCAATACTTAGCTTAAAATACAAACACAGTATACAGCTGTCAAAAATATTTATTTCTTATTCTATAAGTTTTATTCTATTTTACACTTTTTTGTTAAGGTTTCTTTCTTAGGTTATAGCATTGTTATAAGTTCATATTCTTTATCTTCGGCAGAACTGTTTTTGTAGAGCTTGTTTATTGTTGACTTATGGGAGCCAGTGATGTGGCTAGACACAGAATCCCCTCTCTGGCCCTTCACTTTCTGAGAACACCCTTCCAGTAACCACAATTTTCCTGAATTTGTTTTTCTAAATTTTCAAGAGAAGAATGCGCACAGTAGGATGACTGCATCTGGCCTCAGGATAACAGCTGGGAAGACAAAAATCCACTTCGTGTAACTCCACTCCTCTGAGCATATACTTGCCAACAGAATCTGCCTACTTTTCCTTATTCTCTACTGTCTTAAGGTAGCTAGCTGCTTTTTTATTACACCCAAATTTTATATTCTTTTTGGTGAGGGAATCTGCTCTAGTATAATCAGTACCAAAAGTTGAAGTCTAAGTTATATATTTAAGTATTTGCTATGTTCCATTATTTCATCTGTTTTCTTCAGGAATTCCAGTAATTGGCATGTTAAATTTCCTTTTTTATGTCTATTATTGCCTTTCCAGTATTTTATAATACATTCTTATCTCAATGTATTATTACTGTATTATCTTTGATCATTACTGAGCCTTACATAATCTCTCTTCTTGCTTGTATCCCTTTCAGTTCTGTCTTAAATTTTCTAAGCATGTCTTCTTTTTTCTTCTACCTCTTTCTTATGTTTCATTTTCTCTCCATGACTCACTATCTGGTTACAGAATTCTTGTTTTTCTGATACAGTTTTTGTTTAGAGAAGCCATTGATTGTTTATGACATTTAAACCAAAATATTTTGGCACAATTTTCATCTGCTATGTAGTAACACTTTCCTGGTGATATTTATTTATTAGAAAGTTTGGCTGCTTCTTTTTACGTGTTTTGTTGCAGTATCTCTGTGCTATGCTGTGCTGATTTGTGCCTCGGCATTGAATTTGGATTGTCTCTGATGTGTTATTTTTAGGAGGTTCCTGTGATATGGGGGTTGGGACTGAGTCAGGAAGAAACACATAGCATCCAGTGTTGCCATAACATGTTTTTATAGTTTAAAGGATCCTTCTCTGCTGTTCCAAAGTGAAACCACTTTCTACAAATATGGCTCATAGTGTCCATCTCTCCTTGTTTTCTCTGAACCAAATTAGTTCTAAAGGGTCTACTAAAGGGTCTACTTCTGTCTACTCTAATTTTCTTTTCCACTGTTGAAAACACAGGATCATGCTTTTATATTTTAAAAAATACCCTAAGTCTGAAGGATTTTCTTGCCAAAATTTCCTGAAATTTGTTTCCATTGGATCCTCCTCTTTTCCTCTTACCTATTCCTGCATGGCTTTTGCCCAGTATCAGTTGTTCTTAACAGTCTTAATGGGAGGTGGGGGGCTGTGGAGTGTATTTTTCTTGTAACTTCACTAAAACTGGATTTTGTGAGTATATATGAACATATTTGTGAAGCTGTAATTTCTAAGAAAAGAGAAGAAATGATGCTAATTTTCACAGCCTTGATCATAACGAAGATGGCATGGTCAGGTTTTGTTTGTTTTAATTTTTTATTGTTTCCATTGAGTAAAGTACCTTTTATTTATTTGCAATGCAACAGATGTCTAGTTATTCCAACAGCTGAACACAGTTAATAATACATTTATTTAGATGCTATTAGATTCTATGTAATCCAAAAATAAATACAAGGTTTTTTGTTCATATGTCAATATGTAAGCATAAAGGGAAACACTAATTATAAGTCCAAGAAACAGAAAAAAGAAAAATTAGTGACAACTCTAAGATACGCTTCTGAAAAATCAAGTGCTCCCAGATACATATTCAATATTTCCTGGTTGAAAAAAAAAGTAAAAACCAGATAAACAAAGTTAGAGGCATATTTAAAATTTTAATGTATTTAAGAGTCTATCTACATATTAAATCTACAGCTGCAACGTTTCTGTTTCAAAAATGTGAAATAATGTTTGCTTCTTAATAGTTTTGTCACAAACATAATTCACATGATTACAAAAAATATTGAAAAACAGAAAACTATAAATTAGAAATTAGAAGACTTAAAATATTTATACTTTTTTCCACTAGAAATACCCACTATTAACACTTGATTATATTTCTTCCCAGTCTGTTTTCAATGTGGTGTGTGTGCATGTGTGTGCTAATGAGTGGATGGATAGACAGTAGAGAGATTGAGAGGTTTTTATTTTTGAAGCACACTTTTTCATCTGGTACTATATATTGAGTATATTCAAATATATTTATTTTTATAATATGACATTATTCCCTTAATAATATTTCAACATATAAATGATTATAATTTATTTGAAATTAAAGGTGGTTTCTAAATGTTTGCTACTATGGATAATACTCTTATAGTTTATTTATTTATTTAATTAATTTATTTTGAGAAAGGAGTCTCACTCTGTCACCCAGGCTGGAGTGTAGTGGCACGATCTCAGCTCACTGCAACCTCTGCCTCTCGGGTTCAAGCCATTCTCCTGCCTCAGCCTCCCGAGTAGCTGGGATTACAGGCACCCGCCACCACGCCCGGCTAATTTTTGTGTTTTTAGCAGAGAAAGGGTTTCTCCATGTTGACCAGGCTGGTCTCAAACACCTGACCTCAGGTGATCCACCCCCCCTTGGCCTCCTCAAGTGCTGGGGTTACAGGCATGAGCCACTGTGTCTGGCCAATACCCTCATATTTAAACCTTAGTCCATAGCTCTGCTCAGGTCATAATGGTGGATTCTGACGGATAGAATTAGCACAGGCTATGAATATCTTTAAGGCTCTAGACACATACTATGAAATTAGTTTCTAGAAAATCTGAGATAAATTATGTTGCCAATACTAAATATAGTTGTGCCTGTCTTCTGGCAATGATTTTTTGTTTGTTTAATCTCTGCCAAATCATCAGGAGAGAAATTTTTCCAGTAGTTAGTTATTGTTCTCTCACCAAATTACCACCAATTTGAGGCATAAAACAATACTCTTATTATCTTAGAGTTCTATGGATCAGAAATTCAGGCACAGTATGGTTCAGCTGTTTCTCTGGTCCTGGTTTCACAAGGCTGAAATCAAAGTGTGAGTACAGCTGTGTTTCTTTATAGAGGATCTAGGAATGAATCCACTTCCAAGCTCATTCAGGCTGTTGGAAAAATTCACTTCCATGCAGTTGTAGGACTGAAGTCCAAGATAACTTGCTGTGTGTCGGCTGTGAAGCCATTCAAATGTTTTGGCTGGAGCGCCTTTCTCCATCTTCAAAGCTAGCAAAGGCAGGTTGAGTCCTTCTCATGCTTCTAATCTCCCCAAACTCCCCTTCTGTTTCATCTCTCCTCCCTCCTTCCGTGCCATTTCTGACTGACACTTCTGCCTTCTGCTGCTGCTTTTAAAAGCTCATAAGATAATACTGAACCCAGGATAATAGTTTTTAGTTTTAGTTTAGCTTTCATTTATGTATGGTAGAATACATTTCATGTGTGTATTGTAGTTTAATTGGTTTATATATATTATTTCTATTTTTTGTGAGTAGAAGGTTGTGTCGTTTGCTAATTTTCATTTGAGGTAACAGTATTTTATTTTTATATATTTATATAAAATACTTTTATATAACATTTATATATACTGCATATAATTTTTATGTTTTAAGGATACTGAATCATCTTGCTTTTATAATATGAAGTTTTGTGGCTAATATTTTAATGCTTCTTGGCTTTATTTCATGTTTGTTGTAAGGTTTAGATATGTGTTTTTAAATAGCTAATTTTCCAATAATATTTTGCAGGCTGAAATATATATTGAAATATATTTTGATTTGCATCCCTTGTTCAACATCAGTATCTTGTAATATATTTCAACTCTTTACAAGAGCTATTTTTTTCCATTGATCTGTTTATTTCCTTTCACAATAATATTGTTACATGCAAAGTACTGTCACATTATCTGGAATATAAAGTCAAGGAGCTTGCTCATCATTTTTGTTTTAAAATTCACTTTGACATTATTCTTGAATTTTAATTCTAGAATGTCCTCTTCTTAAGAAATCCATTGAAACTTTAATAGAGGCTTCATTCATCATATAAGTGAATTTGGGATAAACTTTGTTCCTTACAGTGTTTCTCCCTTTTAAATGGCCATTTTAAGACTACATAAATGAGTGACATTCATTGTCCCTCTCTATGTGTGTGTGTGTGTGTGTGTGTGTGTCTACCAACACACATCCTGGTTATTTTGAAGAATTTTTCTCATAGTCTTATCAGTGAAATTTCTTGGTTTAATATAGCCAATACACATATTTATCTTTTGGCCTACTATTTTTGTAGATTTTTAAATTTCAGAATAATTCTACTGATTATTTGATAAGCTATGTGCACATGGATATTCTCCACAAAGGATATTATTTTGATTATTTTGACTCTTCTTTTTTGATTTGATATAAATATATGGATTCTTGATTTTCTGATGATAATGCCATTCTTTTGTGATTATTGCAGAAATATTATCTTTCAGTGTGGTAAGAAAATGAAATTTTTGCAGCTTTATTGATTACATTATAAAATCTACCTTTATAAAGTTTTGTTAAATTAATGCACAGTTATGTTTCTATCATTGTCTTCTTGCATTTTTAATATTTGTTATACTTTTATTATTCTCATAAACTACGATGCTTTATAAATATATTTTTGTATTTTGCACTTCTTATGGATACAAAATTACTTTCTCATTTAGTGCTTTTTGATATGTTTATTATTTTACATAAAATTAATAGTTATGTTCATCTGATTTGAATTTATTTGATAAAACTATACAATTCTTCTCATTTTTTACATTTCTAAGAAATTTTATTTTAGTCTTCACTTATATAAGCCATGTAGTTTGTATTTAAGTTTACCTTATGACAGAGAAAAAATAACTACTTGTGTTTATTACTGTAATAGATGTTTGGTCATATTTCCTTTTGATATAATCTTTTCTAATTTTCATACTTTCTCATTTTACTTTTTAAAATTTTTTAAATTTTTGCTATGTTGACTTTTATTTTGTTTTATTCAGTAATTTTAATGTCATCAATGTTTACTAGAGTTATTATTTTACAAATCCTTCTCATTAAAATTTTCTAAACTACTTTTTAACATTTATTTTTTGAGTTAACAATTTAGAATGAAAAATGAAATATTTGCTACATTTTTCTTTTCCACCCACTCTTGTATACATGGGTTTTTGTAAGTGTAATATATATCTTAATACCCAGCTTATCTCTAATTCATTTATATTTAACATACCCTCACAACAATAAAATTGACATTACCTTTCAAACTGATAACGTTAATTTCAAAGTAGTTTTAGATGTAATTTTATTTAACTATTTTAAATGCTTACCACTTATTCAGAGAAAGGGATAATTTTTCATTCTTGTGTTCCTGTTTTGATTAAACTGTCAGTTGACTGAGTTATTTTCCAATATACTGTACAGAAATACTCATGGTTAGCAAGGTTCCTGAGCCCTTGAGTATTTTGCAAATGTTTTTCTCTTTTCTTCAAATATCAAAACCATTTAGGTTATCATAAAATTTGAGAAACACTAACCTCTTTTCTCTCAAACTTCTATAGATGCTATTAGCTTAGGCATATTATACTGCAAATATAAAACCAAAAATAGCTTGATTTTTGTTCTTCTGTAGGCAATTTGGATAAGCGTAGAATTATTTTCATTAACCTTTTAAGGAAAGTTTAAGAGGATTTTTCTTGGTGTCTCTTTTCATTAATTCTATCTAAAGTTTAATAAGCTCTCTTGCTCTGCATAGTTATAATTTTTTAAGCTACAGGAGAAATTAATTTAAATTATTTTATTCTTTGATTGTTGATTTCGTTCCCATTTTTGCCCTTTCATAATCAGAAACATCTTTAATTCATAGTTGGCTTCTGTTTTCTGTCATCCTTATCCTTTCATAGGTGATAAGGTTTTTTTTTTAAGTGTCTTTCTAGTCCGTATGGTACATACATTTCAGAGACCAACAGTTTATTAAAATCTTTAGTACAGTAAGATATTTCACTTGTTCTCGCAGAATATTCTTTATAGAACCCATTTGTGATTTTTCTTATCTTTTATTTTGTTCTTGATTTATGTGTAATTCAAAGAGATGATATTTATGTAGGTCTGTGCTGCTAGTCACATTAGCTATTTATATGTATATTATTTGATTTAAATTAAATTAGAAATTAAGTTTCTCTGTCACACTAAAGACAAGTTTTCCATGCTGAGTGACATCTTTGAGTTATAGGTCTCTGAGACTGTTGATTTTGTCAGTTGGAGACTCTGGCAAGACTCCACCTGGAGGAATCTCTTTGAATTTTGGACCCATTGCCTCCCTGATACTACTAATAGTTCCACCTTTTTTGAAAACTATGCATAAGAAAACCAAAACAGATAACTCCATTAAAAAGTGGGCAAAGGACATGAACAGACATTGTTGAAAAGAAGACATACAAATGGCCAATAAGCAGACAAAAAATTTGCAACATCACTAATCATTAAGAGAATTGCAAATTAAAACCACGAGATATTATCTTACACCAGTGAAAATGGCTATTGCTAAAAAGTCAAAAAAGAACAGATGTTGGCGAGGATGCAGAGAAAAGGAGAAAAGGGAACATTTATACACTGTTGATGGGAATGTAAATCAGTAAAACCTCTGGGGAAAAGAGTATGGAAATTTCTCAAATAACTGAAAATAGAATTTGCATTCCATCCAGCAATCCCACTACTGGGTATTGACCCAAAGGAAAACAAATCATTATATCAAAAAGAGACCTGCACTCATATGTTTATCACGGCACTATTCACAACAGCAAAGACATGGAATCAACCTAAGTGTCCATCAATGAATGATTGGATAAAGAAGGTGTTTTATATATATATATACACTATATATATTACGATATACTATATATAACACGATATAATATATATACCATATATATTACGATATACCATATATGTTACGATATAATACTATATATGTTACGATATAATATATACACTATATATGTTACGATATAATATATACACTATATATGTTACGATATAATATATACACTATATATATTACAATATAATAATACACTATATATTACGATATTATATATACTATATATTACGATATAATATATATACTGTATATTACGATATAATATATATACTATATATATTACGATATAATATATATACTATATATATTACGATATAATATATATATACTATATATATTACGATATAATATATATATACTATATATATTACGATATAATATATATACTACATATATTATGATATAATATATATATACTATATATATTACAATAAAATACTATTCAGCCATTAAAAAGTATTTTGTAACAATATGAATGTAACTGAAGGCCATTATCTTAAGTGAAATAACTCAGAAACAGTTAAGTCCATAACCACATGTCATCACTTATATGAGGAAGCTAAATAATGTGTACACATGGACATAGAGTGTAAATCATAGACACTGGAGACTCGGATGAGTGGAAGTGTGGGAGCAGGTTGAGGGATAAGAAACTGCTTAGTGGGTCCAATGTACATTATTTGGGTGATGACTAAAAGCCCAGATGTCACTGCTCTGCAATATATCCATGTGACAGGACTGCACTCATACCCACTAAATATATACAATTTTTTTTTAAATAGAAAAGAGACCATTTCAATTACTACTGCACTCTTATCAACACTGAATGTCTCACCCATAAGGCCTAATTAATATTTACCCTGATATATCTAGTTTGAGGTTGGTCAATTCAGATTGAATTATTACCAAGGAAGAAAGGGCCCAATAATCTTCCCTACCTGGGTGAAAATGGTATATTCAGGAACACAGATGGCCTATCCTCAGCAGCAACTTGACCTCACATTAAAAAGTAGCAGCTATTCCTTTATAGGAAATTATACCACTAGTCTATTGTCTGAGGTAAAGCCAGTGGACCAATAGGAGCAAAAGTTGATCCCGATGTCACTAAGTGAGAGAACATATTCCATGGGCACTACCCCAATCTATTTCTGGCAGACTGATGACACTAGACCTTTGATCTTTACTTGTAACTATCAAAAATTCAAAATTCTTTCCTGACATCCCTGGGTGGGATTATTTTTCCCCTAACAAGAATCCTAGGATAGCCTGATTCATAGTCTGACAACCTAGCAAAAGGGAGCGTCAGTAATTCAAAATTAATTTCAGGTCAGCCACCTGCATTGTGTCCTGTTAAATTGACAAGGTAGCAAATCATAAGTGTAATGACCACTTGGTTAAGTACATTGCTCTCCAAGACGAAGAGAGGGAAACACTGGGTCTCTGTGAGTTTTATAAAAATACATGGACACAGGAAGGGGAATTTCACACACCGGGGCCTGTTGTGGGGTGGGTGGAGGGTGGAGGGATAGCATTAGGAGATATACCTAATGTTAAATGACAAGTTAATGGGGGCAGCACACCAACATGACACATGTATACATATGTAACAAACCTGCACGTTGTGCACATGTACCCTAAAACTTAAAGTATAAAAAAAAAAAAAAGCCTTGTCACTTGGACCTAACCCCACTATGTGAAAGCTCTGGGTGTGCACAGAAGATGCTTCAAAGTGTGGACTTCCCCTTAAAGGAATTAGAAACACCAATTTTGAGGTATTAGAGGAAAAGCAACTACCCTGGCTCCCAAGAAAGCAAAACATTAGGCCCCGGAGGCGTAGATAGGGGAGACACATTAGTGATTTTTTTGTTTCAGATCTGTCCTGGATCCTTTCATACCAAGAAAAATGTCCTGGTGATGACACAACAAAAACTGTTGCACTCACTTTAAATTGTCTGCTGGGTTAGCTATCCTAACCAGACACCTCTAACCATTGCTTTGTCTTCTAACCTTATCAATAGGTCTATCACAAACAACAGGGAATGATTCCAGCTTTTGCAACTCCCAAAGAAAATTCTCCTCTCTACCTCCATAAGTCCACCATCCACATTCTCATCATTGCCTGGGGCAAATGAATAGCATCCAAATGATGACAAAAACAAGCAGGACAGATGGAACTGCCTTCACAGTCTTTTCAAAATCAGGAACTAGACTCTACCAGTGGGCCTGAAGAACACATTTGAGGCAGTATCAACTTGTGCCTCCACATTGATTGTTGCAGGTCCCATGAGCAGGACCTCAACAATCATAACATATCTTTTCTCCCCTGGGACAACATGTGCATATTGCTGGGATCATAGTTCTTGTGTAGAAGCTAGGAATCAACTTCCTTCCCTTCCAAAAACACTGTTATTTTCATCTTATAGGTGGTGATAAGAGAGCAAGTCTTTAAGGAAACACCACCAGTAACTCTGAGAGCTCAGAAGACTGAGGCATTCTCTCTAAAATGAGGCAGCCCTGGATTTTCCAAGGTAGATTTGTTGAGGGATAACTGACTCCTTACTTATTTGCTGTGTTTGGCAGTTATTACCACAACGTGAGTCATCAAATTAGAAAAAGTGCTAAAATATTTGTTTTGAATTTAGCTGAAGTAACCAATCAGACTATCTTGGAGCTGGAAGGAACTTGGCTTATCCTCAACTCATTGACTAGGGATATTAGGAATGCTGGAATTGTTATAGATTTCATCCTTATTGGCAAATGTACAGCCTGGGCAATTGCTAATATATCCTATTGTACTTGGATTAATGACTCAGGCCAAATGGAAATCTCTATTAAGAAACATGAGGAAGAAATTATCCAGCTCTCCAAAGTAGACAGCAATAATTTCTTTTTTTATCCATTACTTCAAGCATTTATCCTTTGTGTTATAAACAATCCCATTATACTCTTTTAGTTGTTTTTAAATGCAAAATTAAATTATTTTTTACTATAGTCAGCCTGTTGTGTTAGCAAATAAATACTAGGTCTTATTCATTCTTTCTATCTCTTTTGTACCCATTAACTATACCCACTTCCCCGCCACTACTCTTCCCAGACTCTTTTCTCGATGTTTGTTCTTGGCAACTTTGCTGAAAATAGGTTCACTGTAGACGTATGGATTTGTTTCTGGGTTCTTTATTCTGTTCCACTGGTCTATGTATCTGTTTTTATGCCAGTATCATGCTGTTTTAGTTACTACAGTTCAGTAGTTTAATCTGAAGTCAGGTAATGTGATTCCTCCAGTGTTGCTTTTTTGCTCAGGATAGCTTTGAATATTCTGGATCTTTTGAGGTTCCATAAAAATTTTAGCATTGTTTGTTCTATGTGAAGAATGTATTAGATATTTTGATAGGTATTGCATTGAATCTGTAGATTTGCTTTGGTAGTATGGACCTTTGAAAGATATTGGTTCTTCAAATCCATGAACGTGGAATATCTATACTTTTTGGTGTCCTCTTCAATTTCTTGCATCAGTGTTTTATGGTTGTCATTATTGAGATCTGTTAATTCTTTGGTTAAGTTTATTCCTAGGAATTTTATTTTGTCTGTTATCTATTGTAAATGGGAATGCTATCTTGATTTCTTTTTAAGATTTTTACTGTTGGCATATAGAAATGCTACTAATTTTTGCATATTGATTTTTCATCCTGCAACTTTACTGAATGTGTTTATCACATTCAGAATGTAGTTATTCTAACAGTTTTTTGTGGAGTCTTTAGGTTTTTCAAAATATAAGATTATATAATCTGCAGACAGGATAATTTGATGTCTTTCTTTCCAAAATGGATGCCATTTATTTATTTCTTTTACTAATTGCTCTAGCTAGGACTTCCAGCTTTACATTGAGTAACAGTGTTGAAAATATGCATCATGATTGTGTGTTCTAGTTCTTAGAGAAAAGGCTTTCAGTTTTTACCCATTCAGTATGATACTAGCTGTGGGTCTGTCTTATTCGGCATTTTGAATGTTAAGGTATGTTCCTTCTATACCATTTGTGATGGTTCTTACTATTAAATGATTTCGAATTTTATCAAATGGTTTTTCAGCATCATTTGAAATAACAATATTGTTTTTGTCCTTCATTCTATTGGTATGATATATCACATTGATTAATTTGCATATGTTGAACTATGCTTGCATCCCCTGGATAAATCCCACTTGGTTATGATGAATAAACTTTTTAATGTGTTGTTAAATTAGGTTTGCTCATATTTTGTTGAGGACTTCTGCATCAGTAAATATACATCAGAGATACTGGCCTGTAGTTTTCTTTTCTTGATGTGTACTTACTTGGTTTTGTATCAGGTTAACACTGGCCTCATAGAATGAGTTTAGAAGTATTCCCTTTATTTGACTTTTGGTCATATCATTCTAATATCTGTCCACAAGGCCACACTTCCTTCTCATCTCCTGGCTGTGTGAAACCTCTAGCTCTGTTTTATAAAAATATTTGCTATGGCATTCATTGCCCTACAAAATAATATGGGGTTATTTTCTTATCAAAAAATTGTTAATTAATCACATCTGCAGAAACCCTTTTTTCAAAATACAGTAATATTTACTCTTTCCAGGGAGTAAGATTTGATTTCTTTGGTGACCACTATTCAACCTACTTACAGAGGCATTTTGCAGCTTTGTTTAAAGATCAACTCAGATGATTTAGGTGAAACACTTAGCAAACTCTGAAATCACCTAAATATATAGTGTATAATTTAAATTTTCTATCGATTTTTGACATCCATTGTTCTCATGGCTAATGCCATCTTAATTTTATATAATTTCTCACATATAAAGTCCATGATAAATTAGTAATTTATACATTTGTATTAGGTTATTATGATAGTAATACATCTGCACCCACTCTTGTTAAGAACTTTTTGTCAGAAGTGATAAACATTTGTTAGATAACCATCTGTCTGGGGTTTGGTGCTCAAAGATATTTGGAAGACAAAATTGATCAAACTCAAGATCTTGTCTTCATAATATTACTTTCCTTGTACTAGCTAAGCAGCCATTATAACTCAATCTAAACAATGCTCCCACTACATCCACTATTGAGTGTGACTTAGATTAAATTAGGTTTCCAGTATTTTGTCCTGGGCATGGTTATCTCGGTCTCTAGTTTCTATTAAAGAGAGGAGGACATGACAGATCATTTCAAGTTCATTTTGCACTTAAATTGCTTCTCAGTTCAGGCTTTTATTACTAAGAAAAAAAATGATGCTCTTAATGCATTCCTGGATGCTGCTTTCCCCAAGGTTTTGTAAAACTTAACATTTATTTTTCATATTTTGGAAAAAGTGTTTAGTCCCTGAACTTTCTTCTCAGTTAAAAGAAAAAAAAAGTCTCAGTGTTGAGACCTTGCCATCTTCAGTGCTATAGTCTTGTGAAAATCCCTGTAAAACATTTGCCTCTTTCTTCAGAGGAATACTGTGCAAGGAAAAAGATAACGACTTAAAATATTTCACATGATGTCTTGGAGATTAAAAGACAAAGAGAACAATAGAAATAAAAGATATACATGTTAAACATATGTTTACAATAAAATTCCAGTTCTTCAACAACATTAGGATCTATTTATATGTAAGAAATTTGTTGGGCTAAACAGGTGAGGATTGATATACGTTTGGTGTAACTAATTGCTTTATTTGAATCCTTTCTCTTGGATTAAAAAAAAAGTAATAACCCTAGTGTAGTGGTTCCCCAAACATGTTCAGTCAGAACTGATTTAGATTTTTAAAAAATAATAATGATTCTTACACTTCACCTCATGAAATTTTGATGGAAAAGACAGGACCTGGAGAGTGGTACAGTGTAGGCAAGAAATTTGTGTTTCTGAAAACCTCAACAGGTCATCTCAATAAGCAGCCAAGCTTCGCAACCATTGTGAATAAGGCAGTTCTAATCTTTCAGGCCTGTTGTACTTTACTTCAGCTTTACAGGTACTTTAAGAAAATATCGGGGGAGGAGCCAAGATGGCCGAATAGGAACAGCTCCAGTCTACAGCTCCCAGCGTGAGCAACGCAGTCGACGGGTGATTTCTGCATTTCCATCTGAGGTACTGAGTTATTCTCACTAGGGAGTGCCAGACAGTGGGCGCAGGTCAGTGGGTACAGCGCATCGTGCGCGAGCCGAAGCAGGGCGAGGCATCACCTCACCCGGGAAGTGCAAGGGGTCAGGGAATTCCCTTTCCTAGTCAAAGAAAGGGGTGACAGATGGCACCTGGAAAATCGGGTGACTCCCACCTGAATACTGCACTTTTCCGATGGGCTTAAAAAATGGCACACCAGGAGATTATATCCTGCACCTGGCTCAGAGGGTCCTATGCCCATGGAATCTCACTGATTGCTAGCACAGCAGTCTGAGATCAAACTGCAGGGCGGCAGGGAGGCTGGGGGAGGGGCGCCCGCCATTGCCCAGGCTTGTTTAGGTAAACAAAGCAGCCGAAAAGCTCCAACTGGGTGGAGCCCACCACAGCTCAAGGAGGCCTGCCTGCCTCTGTAGGCTCCACCTCTAGGGGAAGGGCACAGGCAAACAAAAAGATAGCAGTAACGTTTAAATCTTTAATCCATCTTGAATTGATTTTTGTATAAGGTGTAAGGAAGGGATCCAGTTTCAGCTTTCTACATATGGCTAGCCAGTTTTCCCAGCACCATTTATTAAATAGGGAATCCTTTCCCCATTGCTTCTTTTTCTCAGGTTTGTCAAAGATCAGATAGTTGTAGATATGCGGCATTATTTCTGAGGGCTCTGTTCTGTTCCATTGATCTATATCTCTGTTTTGGTACCAGTACCATGCTGTTTTGGTTACTGTAGCCTTGTAGTATAGTTTGAAGTCAGGTAGTGTGATGCCTCCAGCTTTGTTCTTTTGGCTTAGGATTGACTTGGCGATGCGGGCTCTTTTTTGGTTCCATATGAACTTTAAAGTAGTTTTTTCCAATTCTGTGAAGAAAGTCATTGGTAGCTTGATGGGGATGGCATTGAATCTGTAAATTACCTTGGGCAGTATGGCCATTTTCACGATATTGATTCTTCCTACCCATGAGCATGGAATGTTCTTCCATTTGTTTGTCTCCTCTTTTATTTCCTTGAGCAGTGGTTTGTAGTTCTCCTTGAAGAGGTCCTTCACATCCCTTGTAAGTTGGATTCCTAGGTATTTTATTCTCTTTGAAGCAATTGTGAATGGGAGTTCACCCATGATTTGGCTCTCTGTTTGTCTGTTGTTGGTGTATAAGAATGCTTGTGATTTTTGTACATTGATTTTGTATCCTGAGACTTTGCTGAAGTTGCTTATCAGCTTAAGGAGATTTTGGGCTGAGACAATGGGGTTTTCTAGATATACAATCATGTCGTCTGCAAACAGGGACAATTTGACTTCCTCTTTTCCTAAATGAATACCCTTTATTTCCTTCTCCTGCCTGATTGCCCTGGCCAGAACTTCCCACACTATGTTGAATAGGAGCGGTGAGAGAGGGCATCCCTGTCTTGTGCCAGTTTTCAAAGGGAATGCTTCCAGTTTTTGCCCATTCAGTATGATATTGGCTGTGGGTTTGTCATAGATAGCTCTTATTATTTTGAAATACGTCCCATCAATACCTAATTTATTGAGAGTTTTTAGCATGAAGGGTTGTTGAATTTTGTCAAAGGCTTTTTCTGCATCTATTGAGATAATCATGTGGTTTTTGTCTTTGGCTCTGTTTATATGCTGGATTACATTTATTGATTTGCGTATATTGAACCAGCCTTGCATCCCAGGGATGAAGCCCACTTGATCATGGTGGATAAGCTTTTTGATGTGCTGCTGGATTCGGTTTGCCAGTATTTTATTGAGGATTTTTGCATCAATGTTCATCAAGGATATTGGTCTAAAATTCTCTTTTTTGGTTGTGTCTCTGCCCGGCTTTGGTATCAGAATGATGCTGGCCTCATAAAATGAGTTAGGGAGGATTCCCTCTTTTTCTATTGATTGGAATAGTTTCAGAAGGAATGGTACCAGTTCCTCCATGTACCTCCGGTAGAATTCGGCTGTGAATCCATCTGGTCCTGGACTAAAAACCCTAGAAGAAAACCCAGGCATTACCATTCAGGACATAGGCATGGGCAAGGACTTCATGTCCAAAACACCAAAAGCAATGGCAACAAAAGACAAAATTGACAAATGGGATCTAATTAAACTAAAGAGCTTCTGCACAGCAAAAGAAACTACCATCAGAGTGAACAGGCAACCTACAACATGGGAGAAAATTTTCGCAACCTACTCATCTGACAAAGGGCTAATATCCAGAATCTACAATGAACTCAAACAAATTTACAAGAAAAAAACAAACAACCCCATCAAAAAGTGGGCGAAGGACATGAACAGACACTTCTCAAAAGAAGACATTTATGCAGCCAAAAAACACATGAAGAAATGCTCATCATCACTGGCCATCAGAGAAATGCAAATCAAAACCACTATGAGATATCATCTCACACCAGTTAGAATGGCAATCATTAAAAAGTCAGGAAACAACAGGTGCTGGAGAGGATGCGGAGAAATAGGAACACTTTTACACTGTTGGTGGGACTGTAAACTAGTTCAACCATTGTGGAAGTCAGTGTGGCGATTCCTCAGGGATCTAGAACTAGAAATACCATTTGACCCAGCCATCCCATTACTGGGTATATACCCAAATGAGTATAAATCATGCTGCTATAAAGACACATGCACACGTATGTTTATTGCGGCACTATTCACAATAGCAAAGACTTGGAACCAACCCAAATGTCCAACAATGATAGACTGGATTAAGAAAATGTGGCACATATACACCATGGAATACTATGCAGCCATAAAAAATGATGAGTTCATATCCTTTGTAGGGACATGGATGAAATTGGAAACCATCATTCTCAGTAAACTATCGCAAGAACAAAAAACCAAACACCGCATATTCTCACTCATAGGTGGGAATTGAATAATGAGATCACATGGACACAGGAAGGGGAATATCACACTCTGGGGACTGTGGTGGGGTCGGGGGAGTGGGGAGGGATAGCATTGGGAGATATACCTAATGCTAGATGACACATTAGTGGGTGCAGCGCACCAGCATGGCACATGTATACATATGTAACTAACCTGCACAATGTGCACATGTACCCTAAAACTTAGAGTATAATAAAAAAAAAAAAAAAAAAAAAAAAAGATAGCAGTAACTTCTGCAGGCTTAAATGTCCCTGTCTGACAGCTTTGAAGAGAGTAGTGGTTCTCCCAGCACACAGCTGGAGATCTGAGAATGGGCAGACTGCCTCCTCAAGTGGGTTCATGACCCCTGACCCCTGAGCAGCCTAACTGGGAGGCAACCCCCAGTAGGGGCAGACTGACACCTCACACGGCCGGGTACTCCTCTGAGACAAAACTTCCAGAGGAACCATCAGAAAGCAGCATTCGCAGTTCACGAAAAGCCACTGTTCTGCAGACACCGCTGCTGATACCCAGGCAAACAGAGTCTGGAGTGGACCTCTAGCAAACTCCAACAGACCTGCAGCTGAGGGTCCTGTCTGTTACAAGGAAAACTAACAAACAGAAAGGACATCCACACCAAAAACCCATCTGTACATCACCATCATCAAAGACCAAAAGTAGATAAAACCACAAAGATGGGGAAAAAACAGAGCAGAAAAACTGGAAACTCTGAAAAGCAGAGCACCTCTCCTCCTCCAAAGGATCGCAGTTCCTCACCAGCAATGGAACAAGCTGGACGGAGAATGACTTTGATGAGTTGAGAGAAGAAGGCTTCAGACAATCAAACTACGAGTTACAAGAGGAAATTCAAACCAAAGGCAAAGAAGTTAAAAATTTTGAAAAAAATTTAGACGAATGTATAACTAGAATAACCAATACAGAGAAGTGCTTAAAGGAGTTGATGGACCTGAAAGCCAAGGCACAAGAACTACGTGAAGAATGCCGAAGCCTCAGGAGCCGATGCCATCAACGGGAAGAAAGGGTATCAGCGATAGAAGATGAAATGAATGAAATGAAGCAAGAAGGGAAGTTTAGAGAAAAAAGAATAAAAAGAAACGAACAAAGCATGCAAAAACTATGGGACTACGTGAAAAGACCAAATCTACGTCTGATTGGTGTACCTGAAAGTGACGGGGAGCATGGAACCAATTTGGAAAACACTCTGCAGGATATTATCCAGGAGATCTTCTCCAGTCTAGCAAGGCAGGCCAACATTCAGATTCAGGAAATACAGAGAACGCCACAAAGATACTCCTCGAGAAGAGCAACTCCAAGACACATTATTGTCAGATTCACCAAAGTTGAAATGAAGAAAAAATGTTAAGGGAAGGCAGAGAGAAAGGTTGGGTTACCCACAAAGGGAAGCCCATCAGACTAACAGCGGATCTCTCAGCAGAAACTCTACAAGCCAGAAGAGAGTGGGGGCCAATATTCAACATTCTTAAAGAAAAGAATTTTCAACCCAGAATTTCATATCCAGCCAAACTAAGCTTCATAAGTGAAGGAGAAATAAAATACTTTACAGACAAGCAAACGCTGAGAGATTTTGTCACCAGCAGGCCTGCCCTAAAAGAGCTCCTGAAGGAAGCACTAAACATGGAAAGGAACAACCGGTACCAGCTGCTGCAAAATCATGCCAAAATGTAAAGACCATCGAGACTAGGAAGAAACTGCATCAACTAACGAGCAAAATAACCAGCTAACATCATAATGACAGGATCAAATTCACACATAACAATATTAACTTTAAATGTAAATGGACTAAATGCTCCAATTAAAAGACACAGACTGGCAAATTAGATAAAGAGTAAAGACCCATCAGTGTGTTGTATTCTGAAAACCCATCTCACATGCAGAGACACACATAGGCTCAAAATAAAAGGATGGAGGAAGATCTACCAAGCAAATGGAAAACAAAAAAAGGCATGGGTTGCAATCCTAGTCTCTGATAAAACAGACTTTAAACCAGCAAAGATCAAAAGAGACAAAGAAGGCCATTACATAATGGTAAAGGGATCAATTCAACAAGAAGAGCTAACTATCCTAAATACATATGCACCCAATACAGGAGCACCCAGATTCATAAAGCAAGTCCTGAGTGTCCTACAAAGAGACTTAGACTCCCACACATTAATAATGGGAGACTTTAACACCCCACTGTCAAAATTTGACACATCGACGAGACAGAAAGTTAACAAGGATATCCAGGAATTGAACTCAGATCTGCACCAAGTGGACCTAATAGACATCTACAGAACTCTCCAACCCAAATCAACAGAATATACATTCTTTTCAGCACCACACCACACCTATTCCAAAATTGACCACATAGTTGGAAGTAGAACACTCTTCAGCAAATGTAAAACAACAGAAATTATAACAAACTATCTCTCAGACCACAGTGCAATCAAACAGGAACTCAGGATTAAGAAACTCACTCAAAACCGCTCAACTACATGGAAACTGAAGAACCTGCTCCTGAATGACTACTGGGTACATAACGAAATGAAGGCAGAAATAAAGATGTTCTTTGAAACCAACGAGAACAAAGACACAACATACCAGAATCTCTGGGACACATTCAAAGCAGTGTGTAGAGGGAAATTTATAGCACTAAATGCCCACAAGAGAAAGCAGGAAAGATCTAAAATGGACACCCTAACATCACAATTAAAAGAACTAGAGAAGCAAGAGCAAACACATTCAAAAGCTAGCAGAAGGCAAGAAATAACTAAAATCAGAGCAGAACTGAAGGAAATAGAGACACAAAAAACCCTTCAAAAAATTAATGAATCCAGGAGCTGGTTTTTTGAAAGGATCAACAAAATTGATAGACTGCTAGCAAGACTAATAAAGAAAAAAAGAGAGAAGAATCAAACAGACGCAATAAAAAATAAAGGGGATATCACCACCGATCCAACAGAAATACAAACCACCATCAGAGAATACTACAAACACCTCTATGCAAATAAACTAGAAAATCCAGAAGAAATGGATAAATTCCTCGACACATACACTCTCCCAAGACTAAACCAGGAAGAAGTTGAATCTCTGAATAGACCAATAACAGGAGCTGAAATTGTGGCAATAATCAATAGCTTACCAACTAAAAAAGAGTCCAGGATCAGAAGGCTTCACAGCCGAATTCTACCAGAGGTACAAGGAGGGACTGGTAACATTCCTTCTGAAACTATTCCAATCAATAGAAAAAGAGGGAATCCTCCCTAACTCATTTCATGAGGCCAGCGTCATCCTGATACCAAAGCCTGGCAGAGACACAACAAAAAAAGAGAATTTTAGACCAATATCCTTGATGAACATTGATGCAAAAATCCTCAATAAAATACTGGAAAACCAAATCCAGCAGCACATCCAAAAGCTTATCCACCATGATCAAGTGGGCTTCATCCCTGGGATGCAAGGCGGGTTCAATATACGCAAATCAATAAATGTAATCCAGCACATAAACAGGACCAAAGACAAAAACCACATGATTGTCTCAACAGATGCAGAAAAGGCCTTTGACAAAATTCAACAACGCTTCATGCTAAAAACTCTCAATAAATTAGGTATTGATGGGACGTATCTCAAAATAATAACAGCTATCTATGACAAACCCACAGCCAATATCATACTGAATGGGCAAAAACTGGAAGCATTCCCTTTGAAAACTGGCACAAGACAGGGATGCCCTCTCTCACCACTCCTATTCAACATAGTGTTGGAAGTTCTGGCCAGGGCAATTAGGCAGGAGAAGGAAATAAAGGGCATTCAATTAGGAAAAGAGGAAGTCAAATTGTCCCTGTTTGCAGATGACATGATTGTATATCTAGAAAACCCCATTGTCTCAGCCCAAAATCTCCTTAAGCGGATAAGCAACTTCAGCAAAGTCTCAGGACACAAAATCAATGAACAAAAATCACAAGCATTCTTATACACCAATAACAGACAAACAGAGAGCCAAATCATGAGTGAACTCCCATTCACAATTGCTTCAAAGAGAATAAAATACCTAGGAATCCAACTTACAAGGGACATGAAGGACCTCTTCAAGGAGAACTACAAACCACTGCTCAAGGAAATAAAAGAGGACACAAACAAACGGAAGAACATTCCATGCTCATGGGTAGGAAGAACCAATATCGTGAAAATGGCCATACTGCCCAAGGTAATTTATAGATTCAATGCCATCCCCATCAAGCTACCAATGACTTTCTTCACAGAATTGGAAAAAACTACTTTAAAGTTCATATGGAACCAAAAAAGAGCCCGCATCACCAAGTCAATCCTAAGCGAAAAGAACAAAGCTGGAGGCATCATGCCACCTGACTTCAAACTATACTACAAGGCTACAGTAACCAAAACAGCATGGTTCTGGTACCAAAACAGAGATATAGATCAATGGAACAGAACAGAGCCCTCAGAAATAAAGCCACATATCTGCAACTATCTGATCTTTGACAAACCTGAGAAAAACAAGCAATGGGGAAAGGATTCCCTATTTAATAAATGGTGCCGGGAAAACTGGCTAGCCATATGTAGAAAGCTGAAACTGGATCCCTTCCTTACACCTTTTACAAAAATCAATTCAAGATGGATTAAAGACTTAAACGTTAGACCTAAAACCATAAAAACCCTACAAGAAAACCTAGGCATTACCATTCAGGACATAGGCACGGGCCAGGACTTCATGTCTAAAACACCATAAGCAATGGCAACAAAAGCCAAAATTGACAAATGGGATCTAATTAAACTAAAGAGCTTCTGCACAGCAAAAGAAACTACCATCAGAGGGAAGAGGCAACCCACAAAATGGGAGAAAATTTTCGCAACCTACTCATCTGACAAAGGGCTAATATCCAGAATCTACAATGAACTCAAACAAATTTACAAGAAAAAAACAAACAACCCCATCAAAAAGTGGTTGAAGGACATGAGCAGACACTTCTCAAAAGAAGACATTTATGCAGCCAAAAGACACATGAAAAAATGCTCACCATCCCTGGCCAACAGAGAAATGCAAATCAAAACCACAGTGAGATATCATCTCACACCAGTTAGAATGGCAATCATTAAAAAGTCAGGAAACAACAGGTGCTGGAGAGGATGTGGAGAAATAGGAACACTTTTACACTGTTGGTGGGACTGTAAACTAGTTCAACCATTGTGGAAGTCAGTGTGGTGATTCCTCAGGGATCTAGAACTAGAAATACCATTTGACCCAGCCATCCCATTACTGGGTATATACCCAAAGGACTATAAATCATGTTGCTATAAAGACACATGCACACGTATATTTATTGCAGCAGTATTCACAATAGCAAAGACTTGGAATCAACCCAAATGTCAAACAATGATAGACTGGATTAAGAAAATGTGGCACATATACACCATGGAATACTATGCAGCCATAAAAAATGATGAGTTCATGTCCTTTGTAGGGACATGGATGAAATTGGAAATCATCATTCTCAGTAAACTATCGCAAGAACAAAAAACCAAACACTGCATATTCTCACTCACAGGTGGGAATTGAACAATGAGATCACATGGACACAGGAAGGGGAGCATCACACTCTGGGGACTGTTGTGGGGTGGGGGGAGGGGGGAGGGATAGCATTGGGAGATATACCTAATGCTAGATGACGAGTTAGTGGGTGCAGCGCACCAGCATGTCACATGTATATATATGTAACTAACCTGCACATTGTGCACCTGTACCCTAAAACTTAAAGTATAATAATAAAAAAAATTTAAAAAAAAAGAAAATATCAATGTGGAAATGTGACTAATTTTTGGCGAATATTTTTTATGAGGAGATCTCTTTAACTTGAAAATATTTTTTATTATATAGGTATGCAAACATATTAATATCGAATAGTAGATTAAGCCTAGCCAAGAAGCAAGCAAAACTTGCTCACAATAGATCAGTTCTGGATAAACATCTTCCATAGATCATGGAATTATCAACATGTGATAATCAATCTAAATTATCAACATGCGATAATCAATCTAAATGCTCTTACACTGACCAGTTCAAGCTAGTATTTTCTTTCAGCTATGTGATGTCTGTGATCATGACGATTTTTCAGGAGCATATGTTGTGGCCTGTTATGAAGGGTTTAAACCCTAATAAACTTCAAACTCAGAATAAGACTGCTACCAATATGAGCATTAGGGCAATACATTGAAAGACTGGGGACAGGATGAGAATAACTGAAAAACATTTCTCTGAGAGTTTCAAGGTCCTCATTAAGTGTACATAGATGTTTTCCAAAGGCTGTTGGCAAAGTAGCAGGTGAATAGAAATCATATGAAGGGCAGAAAACTAGGAAGCAAACTGACTGACCAAAAACGTGTCAGTCAATCTCTAAAGGAGAAAGAACTCTTCCATGGTTTGCAGAACTGGATGATCACCTTTGTAAAGATATCCTGACTCTCACTTGAGAGCGGACTTTTTTCTCACATTGACTAGCTCAAGCTAGTGTTTTCTTTCAGCTATGTTATTGCTATGATCATTATGATTTTCAGGAGTATATGTTGTGGCCTGCTATGATGGATAAAAACCCTAATAAATCTCACACTCAGAATAAGTCTGCTACCAATTTGTGCAGACAAGCTCTCACTTGAGAGTCAGGATATCTTGAGACATGCCAATCTCAAGCCCTGCTAAAGGAAAAATCTACCACAGCCATAAAAGTTTGGAGGACAGTATTTGTTTTTTTTTTTTTTTTTTAAATTTTTTTTTTTATTATACTCTAAGTTTTAGGGTACATGTGCACATTGTGCAGGTTAGTTACATATGTATACATGTGCCATGCTGGTGCGCTGCACCCACTAACGTGTCATCTAGCATTAGGTATATCTCCCAATGCTATCCCTCCCCCCTCCCCCGACCCCACCACAGTCCCCAGAGTGTGATATTCCCCTTCCTGTGTCCATGTGATCTCATTGTTCAATTCCCACCTATGAGTGAGAATATGCGGTGTTTGGTTTTTTGTTCTTGCGATAGTTTACTGAGAATGATGGTTTCCAATTTCATCCATGTCCCTACAAAGGACATGAACTCATCATTTTTTATGGCTGCATAGTATTCCATGGTGTATATGTGCCACATTTTCTTAATCCAGTCTATCATTGTTGGACATTTGGGTTGGTTCCAGTATTTGAACAATGCAAGGAAAGCTACAATAAGGCCTAGCCTCACATCTCAGATTACATTCACTCAACTTCTTAAATTGGCTAACAGAAGAATGGGTAAGTATCAGGGGTAAATAATATTTTCTTTTCTTTCTACTGTTCTTGTACAGACACTATCTATACAAGCAAAATTTATAAGCATTATCACATATGTAAGAATGCAACAAAATATGAGCATTAGGCAAGAGAAAACAAACGCTGACATAGCTGAAAAATTAAAATCATCAAGCAAGGCATTTAAAATAACTAGAATTGATATGTTAATATGGAAAAGTATTTTCGAAACATTGGCATAGAGCAATATCTGGAACATCACATGTGTTTTGGAAGGCAGAGTGATACAGAGGACACACACATTCTACTGCCAACAGACTGCGTCTGAATCTAGGCTCCAGTACCCACTGTCTACATCAAATTACTTACATACTTAGAGTTCCAAAGTTTCTTCACTGGTCAAATGGGAATAATAAGGAAAAGCATGGCATGCCAAGATACAGCCTCTGGAGCAGGAACATCTGGATTTGGATCCTGGTTTCTCTGCACATTACTTGTATGGCCTGGGTCAAGATATTAAATCTATTTGCCCCTCATGAATAATCCTAGTTCCTATCTTACATGACTGTTGTGTTAAATTTTTTAACATACACAAATCATTTAAATGAGTATGTAGAAAAATAAATTTTCAGTAATAATGCTTATTATGAAAATAGCTTACCTGGCTGTTATAATGATTAAATGAAACTTTATGAAATGTTTGAGCAATGCCCAACTTGGTTCGAACTCCATAGATGTCTTTGCTCCTTCCCTCTTCCTCTTAACTGGCATCTATTTTTCTTTCCTTCTTAAGATAAGTTTTGATCCACTTTGGAGTTTTTAAAGGTGAAGTATTTCAAGTAATTATTCTATTGGGTAATGCCTCATTTCCAAGGAGTTTGGAGAAAGGAAATAGATATGAAATTCAGGTCAAAGTAAAACTGAGAGTGTGACAATAAAAATAAGTCAGGAACTATTAGAAGAATGGGTAGTAATGTATCCCTTAAGTTGCTATAAATGGATAAACAATTTTCTGAGTTTCCTAGAAGTCAAAGCAAAGATGAACAAGTTCAGTTACAAGCCTTCACTATATTTCATATTTTAAAAACTATACTGATAAAGTCACATTTTTCTAGTGCTGGGACTTAAAAAACATCTTCCATATGTCTTCCTAAAAAAAAAAGCCATTCCTGTCTTAAACACAATAGCATGCTGTTCAAGGCAGGGCAATAAGTAGCACAGTCATAAAATTCAGTAAAATAAATCCTCCACAAGTCTTCTTGATGGTTTATGAAAACTAAAACAACTGATTGAATAGTTAAACAAACATAATATATCTAGTAAAATACAGGGACATCCTCACTGGTAATCACTTCAACCACTCAGTGTCTGAGGTTCTATTTTGTGCTAAAGCCTGGAATGCAGGTAAACTCTGCTGTCATCTGGGAACAAAAACATATTGCGAGTGAAGAAAACAGTGACATTCTTATATAAATATAATGTAAGCTGATACCTGATGAGATAATCATGCTACCTCTACAGTAGCCCTCAAGCATAATTATTTTTCAGAAATTGTTCGAGTCTGTCCTAACACAAGAGATACAATGACCATAATATCTACCTGTAGACCAAACTCAATGATCTTGTCTACAAAAATATTAAAGAAAGTGTTACTAATTACTAAATCACCATTTAAAAATCTCGGTAAAGCACTGCACTAATATTTACTGTTTATTAGTTTGGATTCTGGTATCATACTTTCATGTAGATTAATTACAAATGATCTCAGTAAAAAGTAGTTGGAAATAGACTGGTTAGATATTGTCATTATATGCACAAAATAATCATTTTAGTATTAGAATAGTTCTCTTGAAACATTTTTCTAACAATATTTTGTAGTGAGACACGTTGAAGCTATGTATAGTAAGTGACAACAAAATCATATCATTGGTATGAAGAAAAACACCAAATATTCTTTCCTCAGAGTAAAAGAACAGGAACCCAAATCTTCCAGGAGCAGCTGTGAGTCATTAACATACAAGTTTAAGAGAAATGGGTTATAACGTACCTTTGTTTTATACCACTGGCAATTGTTAACTTGTCTTCAGGTGACCATTTATATAGACTTTGATCTTAGCATATTAAAATGTGGGCTCAGTTTGAGCAAGTATAATCAGGGGAATATATCTTTTATAGTATTTTGATTTCAGTTGGATACAGTAAAATTCAAAAATGCTTAACACCACATTTAATATTGTCAAGGAAACTTACAAATTTGAAAGGTCAGAAGGTTTGTAAATTAGTAAGGGAGGTTCTTATAAATTGATAGTAAAAACAGTAATAAGAGTAATATTAATATAATAAGAATACATTTTAACATTCAATATTAATTATGTCCTTTCAATATATCCCAGAAAGTAATGTTACCAAACTCAGACTCTTTTACTCTATAAAACACAAGCTGTTCATTTTAACATATAATTTAATTTAATTTCCATTCTGAGTAAATGAAATTCTTAACCAGGAAATATTACAATCATTAATCTTAGCATATTTAAAAAATGATTTCCTTTAAAAGCTACAGTGTGGGTAGATAACATATAATTTGAAATTAATTTTTAAAGAAGTATAACAGATAGATCAAATCACAGTGGGTTTAATATGGATGGAATACTGATAGTAAGATGTTAGATGTACAGTCATTTGCAATCCCAAATGCATATCACAGGTTATCTGTAAGCAAAACTTAGCTTTATTTAGTCATTGAAAATGGTGAAGAAATAGGAAAACTGGGCTATTTCTTTATACCTTACTCTTTTGATCATTTCCAAGAGGACAGCAACCAAAGATGCCATTCTTTTATTTATAGGCAGGCTTTTGACATCTTTGACAAAAAGGAAATAACAAATTTTACATTAATAGGAAGAACATAATAGTCTCATGTATGGATAAATGGAGAAAAGCAATCAATGGTAAATAGGAATTTTTGGCTATATCTCTGCAGAATATTATTAGACTGACCGTATTACTATTTCGTAGTTACATTTAGTTACACTAGATTTGGCTGCCTACATTGTTTTTATTAATCAGGGTACCTAAATGAACTGCGTGTGAATTGTGTTGTTTGGTCATAGCTTGTGTATTAAACTAGCCCTATGCTGGCCAGAAAGACCTATTTGTGTTTTTAGGATTATTGGTTGTAGTAATATTGTTATTATTAATAATAATTATTATTATAGTATATATTGCTAAATTTTCTTAAAATAAGCCTGTTACAATATCACTTACTTTTCTTATTTGTTTTTAATTTTAATTTTTATTTCTTATTTTAGCTTTTATTATTATTATTATACTTAAAGTTTTAGGGTACATGGGCACAACGTGCAGGTTAGTTACATATGTATACATGTGCCATGTTGGTGTGCTGCACGCATTAACTCGTCATTTAGCATTAGGTATATCCCCTAATGCTATCCCTCCCGCCTCCCCCACCCCACAACAGTCCCTGGTGTGTGATGTTCCCCTTCCTGTGTCCATGTGTTCTCATTGTTCAATTCCCACCTATGAGTGAGAACATGCGGTGTTTGGGTTTTTGTCCTTGCGATAGTTTGCTGAGAATGATGATTTCCAGCTTCATCCATGTCACTGCAAAGGACATGAACTCATCATTTTTTATGGCTGCATAGTATTCCATGGTGTATATGTGCCACATTTTCTTAATCCAGTCTATCATTGTTGGATATTTGGGTTGGTTCTAAGTCTTTGCTATTATGAAGTGCCGCAATAAACGTATGTGTGCATCTGTCTTTATAGCAGCATGATTTATAATCCTTTGGGTATATACCCAGTAATGGGATGGCTGGGTCTAATAGTATTTCTAGTTCTAGATCCCTGAGGAATCGCCACACTGACTTCCACAATGGTTGAACTAGTTTACCGTCCCACCAACAGTGTAAAAGTGTTCCTATTTCTCCACATCCTCTCCAGCACCTGTTGTTTCTTGACTTTTTAAAGATCGTCATTCTAACTGGTGTGAGATGGTATCTCATTGTGGTTTTGATTTGTATTTCTCTGATGGCCAGTGATGATGAGCATTTTTTCACGTATTTTTTGGCTGCATAAATGTCTTCTTTTGGGAAGTGTCTGTTCAAATCCTTTGCCCACTTTTTGATGGGGTTGTTTTTTGCTTGTAAATTTGTTTGAGTTCATTGTAGATTCGGGATATTAGCCCTTTGTCAGATGAGTAGGTTGCAAAAATTTTCTCCCATTCTGTAGGTTGCCTGTTCATTCTGATGGTGGTTTCCTTTGCTGTGCAGAAGCACTTTAGTTTTATTAGATCCCATTTGTCAATTTTGGCTTTTGTTGCCATTACTTTTGGTGTTTTAGACATGAAGTCCTTGTCCATGTCCATGTTCTGAATGGTATTGCCTGGGTTTTCTTCTAGGGTTTTTATGGTTTTAGGTCTAACATGTAAGTCTTTAATCCGTCTTGAATTAATTTTTGTATAAGGTGTAAGGAAGGGATCCAGTTTCAGCTTTCTACATATGGCTAGCCAGTTCTCCCAGCACCATTTATTAAATAGGGAATGCTTTCCCCATTGCTTGTTTTTGTCAGGTTTGTCAAAGATCAGATAGTTGTAGATATGCGGCATTAGTTCTGAGGGCTCTGTTCTGTTCCATTGGTCTATATCTCCGTTTTGGTGCAAGTACCATGCTGTTATGGTTACTGTAGACTTGTAGTATAGTTTGAAGTCAGGTAGCGTGATGCCTCCAGCTTTGTTCTTTTGGTTTAGGATTGACTTGGCGATGCGGGCTCTTTTTTGGTGCCATATGAACTTTAAAGTAGTTTTTTCCAATTCTGTGAAGAAACTCATTGATAGCTCGATGGGGATAGCATTGAATCTATGAATTACCTTGGGCAGTATGGCCATTTTCACCATATTGATTCTTCCTACCTATGAGCGTGGAATGTTCTTCCATTTGTTTGTATCCTCCTTTATTTCATTGAGCAGTGGTTTGTAGTTCTCCTTAAAGAGGTCCTTCACATCCCTTGTAAGGTGGATTCCTAGGTATTTTATTCTCTTTGAAGCAATTGTGAATGGTAGTTCACTCATGATTTGGCTGTCTGTTTGTCCATTATTAGTGTATAAGAATGCTTGTGATTTTTGTACATTGATTTTGTATCCTGAGACTTTGCTGAAGTTGCTTATCAGCTTGAGGAGATTTTTGGCTGAGATGATGGGGTTTTCTAGATATACAATCATGTCATCTGCAAACAGGGACAATTTGACTTCCTCTTTTCCTAATTGAATGCCCTTTATTTCCTTCTCCTGCCTGATTGCCCTGGCCAGAACTTCCAACACTATGTTGAATAGGAGTGGTGAGAGAGGGCATCCCTGTCTTGTGCCAGTTTTCAAAGGGAATGCTCCCAGTTTTTGTCCATTCAGTATGATATTGCCTGTGGGTTTGTCATAGATAGCTCTTATTAATTTGAGATATGTCCCATCAATACCTAATTTATTGAGAGTTTTTAGCATGAAGGGTTGTTGAATTTTGTCAAAGGTCTTTTCTGCATCTGTTGAGATAATCATGTGGTTTTTGTCTTTGGTTCTGTTTATATGATGGATTACGTTTATTGATTTTCATATGTTGAACCCGCCTTGCATCCCAGGGATGAAGCCCACTTGATCATGGTGGATTAGCTTTTCGATGTGTTGCTGGATTCAGTTTGCCAGTATTTTATTGAGGATTTTTGCATCAATGTTCATCAAGGATATTGGTCTAAAATTCTCTTTTTTTGTTGTGTCTCTGCCAGGCTTTGGTATCAGGATGATGCTGGCCTCATAAAATGAGTTAGGGAGGATTCCCTCTTTTTCTATTGATTGGAATAGTTTCAGAAAGAATGGTACCACCTCCTCCTTGTACCTCTGGTAGAATTCGGCTATGAATCCTTCTGGTCCTGGACTTTTTTTGGTTGTTAAGCTATTAATTATTGCCTCAATTTCAGAGCCTGTTATTGGTCTATTCAGAGATTCAACTTCTTCCTGGTTTAGTCTTGGGAGAGTGTATGTGTCAAGGAATTTATCCATTTCTTCTAGATTTTCTAGTTTATTTGCGTAGAGGTGTTTATAGTATTCTCTGATGGTAGTTTGTATTTCTGTGGGATCGGTGGTGATATCCCCTTTGTCATTTTTATTGCGTCTATTTGATTCTTCTCTCTTTTATTCTTTATTAGTCTTGCTAGCAGTCTATCAATTTTGTTGATCTTTTCAAAAAACCAGTTCCTGGATTCACTGATTTTTTGAAAGGTTTTTTTGTGTCTCTATTTCCTTCAGTTCTGTTCTGGTCTTAGTTATTTCTTCCCTTCTGCTAACTTTTGAATGTGTTTGCTCTTGCTTCTCTAGTTCTTTTTATTGTGATGTTAGAGTGTCAATTTTAGATCTTTCCTGCTTTCTCTTGTGGGCATTTAGTGCTATAAATTTCCTTCTACACACTGTTTCGAATGTGTCCCAGAGATTCTGGTATGTTGTGTCTTTGTTCTCATTGGTTTCAAAGAACATCTTTATTTCTGCCTTCATTTCGTTATGTACCCAGTAGTCATTCAGGAGCAGGTTCTTCAGTTTCCATGTAGTTGAGCGGTTTTGAGTGAGTTTCTTAATCCTGACTTCCTGTTTGATTGCACTGTGGTCTGAGAGACAGTTTGTTATAATTTCTGTTCTTTTCCATTTGCTGAAGAGTGTTCTACTTCCAACTATGTGGTCAATTTTGGAATAGGTGTGGTGTGGTGCTGAAAGGAATGTATATTCTGTTGATTTGGGGTGAAGAGTTCTGTAGATGTCTCTTAGGTCTGCTTGGTTCAGAGCTGAGTTCAATTCCTGGATATTCTTGTTAATTTTCTGTCTCGTTGATCTGTCTAATGTTGACAGTGGTGTGTTAAAGTCTCCCATTATTATTGTGTGGGAGTCTAAGTCTCTTTGTAGGTCACTAAGGACTTGCTTTAGGAATCTGGGTGCTCCTGTATTGGGTGCATATATATTTAGGATAGTTAGTTCTTCTTGTTGAATTGATCCCTTTACCATTATGTAATGGCCTTCTTTGTCTCTTTTGATCTTTGTTGGTTTAAAGTCTGTTTTATCTGAGACTAGGATTGCAACCCCTGCCTTTTTTTTGTTTTCCATTTGCTTGGTAGATCTCCCTCCATCACTTTTTTTGAGCCTATGTGTGTCTCTGCACGTGAGATGGGCTTCCTGAATACAGCACACTGATGGGTCTTGACTCCTTATCCAATTTACCAGTCTGTGCCTTTTAATTGGAGCATTTAACCCATTTACATTTAAGGTTAGTATTGTTATGTGTGAATTTGATCCTGTCATTATGATGTTAGCTGGTTATTCTGCTCGTTCGTTGATGCAGTTTCTTCCTAGCCTTGATGGTCTTTACAATTTGGCATGTTTTTGCAGTTTCTTCCTAGCCTTGATGGTCTTTACAATTTGGCATGTTTTTGCAATGGCTGTTACTGGTTGTTCCTTTCCATGTTTAGTGCTTCCTTCAGGAGCTCTTTTAGGGCAGGCCTGGTGGTGACAAAATCTCTCAGCATTTGCTTGTCTGTAAAGTATTTTATTTCTCCTTCACTTATGAAGCTTAGTTTGGCTGGATATGAAATTCTGGGTTGAAAATTCTTTTCTTTAAGAATGTTGAATATTGGTCCCTACTATCTTCTGGCTTGTAGAGTTTCTGCCAAGAGACCAGCTCTTAGTCTGATGGGCTTCCCTTTGTGGGTAATCCGACCTTTCTCTCTGGCTGCCCTTAACATTTTTTCCTTCATTTCACCTTTGGTGAATCTGACAATTATGTGTCTTGGAGTTGCTCTTCTCGAGGAGTATCTTTGTGGCGTTCTCTGTATTTCCTGAATTTGAATGTTGGCCTGCCTTGCTAGATTGGGAAAGTTCTCCTCGATAATATCCTGCAGAGTGTTTTCCAACTTGGTTCCATTCTCCTCGTCACTTTCACGTACACCAATTAGACGTAGATTTGGTCTTTTCACATAGTCCCATATTTCTTGGAGGCTTTGTTCATTTCTTTTTATTCTTTTTTCTCTAAACTTCTCTTCACGCTTCATCTCATTCATTTCGTCTTCCATCACTGATACCCTTTCTTCCAGTTGATCACATCGGTTACCGAGGCTTGTGCATTCATCACGTAGTTCTCGTGCCTTGGTTTTCAGCTCCATCAGGTCCTTTAAGGACTTCTCTGCATTGATTATTCCAGTTAACCATTTGTCTAATTTTTTTTCACAGTTTTTAACTTCTTTGCCATGGGTTTGAACTTCCTCCTTTAGCTCAGAGTAGTTTGATCTTCTGAAGCCTTCGTCTCTCAACTCATTGAAGTCATTCTCCGTCCAGCTTTGTTCCATTGCTGGTGAGGAGCTGCGTTCCTTTGGAGGAGGAGAGCCGCTCTGATTTTTAGAGTTTCCGGTTTTTCTGCTCTGTCTTCTCCCCATCTTTGTGGTTTTATCTACCTTTGGTCTTTGATGATGGTGACGCACAGATGGGTTTTTGGCGTGGATGTCCTTTCTGTTTGTTAGTTTTCCTTCTAACAGTCAGGACCCTCAGCTGCAGGTCTGTTGGAGTTTACTGGAGGTCCACTCTAGACCCTGTTTGCCTGGGTATCAGCAGCGGTGGCTGCAGAACAGCGGATACTGGTGAACCACAAATGCTGCTGCCTGATGGTTCCTCTGGAAGTTTTGTCTCACAGGAGTCCCTGGCCATGTGGGGTGTCAGTCTGCCCCTACTGAGGGGTGCCTCCCAGTTAGGCTACTCAGGGGTCAGGGACCCTCTTGTGGAGGCAGTCTGCCCATTCTCAGATCTCAAGCTGCGTGCTGGGAGAACCACTACTCTCCTCAAAGCTGTCAGACGAGGACATTTAAGACTGCAGAGGTTATTGCTGTCTTTTGTTTGTCTGTGTCCTGCCCCCAGAGGTGGAACCTACAGAGGCAGGCAGGCCTCCTTGGGCTGTGGTGGGCTCCACCCAGTTCGAGCTTCCTGGCCGCTTTGTTTATGTACTCAGGCCTAAGCAATGGTGGGCGCCCCTCCCCCAGCCTTGCTGCCACCTTGCAGTTTGATCTCAGACTGCTGTGCTAGCAATGAGTGAGGCTCCATGGGCGTAGGACCCTCCGAGCCAGATGTGGGATATAATCTCCTGGTGTGCCGTTTGTTAAGCCCGTTGGAAGAGCTCAGTATTAGGGTAGTAGTGACCTGATATTCCAGGTGCCGTCTGTCACCCCTTTCTTTGACTAGAAAAGGGAATTCCCTGACCCCTTGCACTTCCTGGGTGAGGTGATGCCTCGCTCTGCTTCGGCTTACGCACAGTGCACTGCACCCACTGACCTGCACCCACTGTCCAGCACTCCCTAGTGAGATGAACCCAGTATCTCAGTTGGAAATGCAGAAATCACCCATCTTCTGCATCGCTCACGCTGGGAGCTGTAGACTGGAGCTCTTCCTATTCGGCCATCTTGACTCCACCCTTGTTTTTAATTTAACAAGTATTCATCAAAATACTACTGTGATGAGAAGAAAGGTATAAAACACTGAAGCCTTCTAGAAGAAAATAATCTATTTATGTAGACATGATCTAAACCTTGGAACAATTGTAAAATCTGTCTTGTGTGAAAATTTAATGAATTGCTAAATGAATTCTACAGGTAGTTATAGCCAATAAACATTTGAAGTAGAGAGATCAATGAAGAATGGAGCAATAAAAGAAAGCCTAATGAAGGAGGTGAGACTGAGTGTTCAGTTATGGTTGGCACTTGGATAGGTCAAAGGGCAAGGGCAAAGTGTTTTAGGAAGGGCAAAATATTGGAGTCAAGACTGTGTGACAGTACAAACTGAAGAAACGTGTGTAGCTGGAACAGACAGTATCTATCAACAGGGCAACAGAAGAGAAGTTTGCATGGATAGGAAGGAGCCAGACTGGGGGATTAGGGAGGTTCAACAATGAGATGGAAAGTTGGGTTATCATTCTACTGACAAAGGGGTAATAATGATAAGAAAAATGGTGTTATATTCAGTTAATCCTCTAAGTCATTCCACTCATTACTCCCTTAAAATTGTCTATCAGAACTTTCTAGAAGAGATTACAGTGCTGCTCAGATGTTACCCATCAGGGTAGATGAGTGGGGCTTAGGGAGGCTCAGAAGGTCCACTCTTTCTCAGAGCCTAACTAACCTAACGCATAGAGTCATTCAAATATCAGCATTTTCTTTTTTTTTCTTTTTCTTTTTAGTTTTTTTGAGATGGAGTTTTGCTCTTGTTGCCCAGGCTGGAGCGCAATGGGGCGATCTCAGCTTACTGCAACCTCTGCCTCCTGTGTTCAAGCGATTCTCCTGCCTCAGCCCCATGAGTAGCTGGGATTACAGGCATGTGCCAACACACCAAGCTAATTTTGTATTTTTAGTAGAGACGGGGTTTCTCTATGTTGGCCAGGCTGGTCTTGAACTCCCGACCTCAGGTGCTTGTTTTCTTATTTCTAGTTTATAAATTAACTGTAATTCAATATCTCGAAATAAACTCTTATGAGATAGCACAGTACACACAAAGTAGTACCTAACAACAATCATTAGATGTATATTCTTTTGTGTGTATTTGATAATAATCTTATCAATAACGTAGTATCAATCACTTTCATCTACATTTTATAAAAATGATGGTTTTAAACATATTTCCCTTGGCCCTCCCAGGAAATTTTTATTACGCCTACTATATAGCTTATCATAATTTAGCCAGATCATTAAAAGAGATGAAAATACATGGTTTAACACATTGCCTCTATATTATCTAGCCTCATTTTATAGATAACATCTAAATATTTGTTTATCCTGTTCATTTTGCCCGCCTATTCACTTATTCTTTTAGTAAGATACAGGTTTTATATCCATAATAAGAAAAAAAGCACTTTAACTTGTAGATGAATGTTACATTCTATAATGACTAAATTACTTGCTGAACATATGTTTTCTTTAAGTGTTACTATATCATTTTAACAAATATACAGTGTTAATTTATGAAGAAATGCACAAATCATCAAAACACCCTACAATGACTTCATAATATGTCTGTGAAATGCTGTTTATCCATTTCATTGCTTTATTTATATGAAGTAGCAATGACATTTGCCAACCAGCTGTAGTGATAACAGGTGTGCGTGCCCCCTGGCTATCCTACAGATACATTCCTGCTAAGTGGTAGTCTAATCACCCAAGCTCCACGGAAGACTAAATTTAAATCAGATGTTAATTGCCTCCAGAGTTCAGCTGATCTTTGCATTCAATTATCTCCCCCAAAGTCAAATGGAAAAAAATATCAGGAAATTGTATATGAAATTCACAACTGCTTCAGAAAAATAGGTTTACAAACCATGTACTTTTATAAAGACAGAAAATTCTCATTTTCCATTGTAATATTGATTCAATATCTTTTCTGATGTTAGCTTCACCAAATGATTTCTATAATATCTAAAAAAATCTCATTTATAACTATTTGCCATTGCAAGCTTGTTTAAATAAAGACTGAATCTTTTCAAGCCCGTGTATTTAGCACTGTCTAGCAGAGTCTGTACCCCACAGAAGATCCTCCATACATCTATGCCAACCTACCTCAGAAACTTACTATACACATGCACTTGAGCAAGTTATTTCTTTTCTGTTTTCTTTCTTTCTCAATGAACTTATTATCTAACTTTTCCAACTCCTCTTCCTCAGTCTTCCCCTTAAATATTCATATTCCACAATGGACAATTAATGGGACTACCATATTCTCTCCTTAATCCCTCTGTTCCTGAGCCAATTTATCTAATGTCACCTCTTTGTAGCTGGCTTCTCACTCTATCTCTGCTGCCCTGACCTCTCTCAAGTTTCAAACTCAGTTTTCCTACTCCACGTTGGCTACACTGGATTCTTTATGGCAATCTCTAATTCCATCCACCATCACACTTCCCATCAGTGTGTCTGCTTTTGATTTTTCAAATGTACCTTATTTTTGGGCCAGGTGCAGTGACTTGCACTGGAGGCTGAAGTAGGATTGCTTGAATCCAGAAGTTTGAGAACAGCCTGGGCAACATAGCAAGATCCAACCTCTACCAAAAAAAAAAAAAATTAGCTGGATATGGTGGCACACACCTATAGTTCCAGCTACTCAAGAGGCTAAGGTGGGAGGATCTCTTGAGACCAGAAGTTGGAGGCTGCATTGAGCTATGATCGTACCACTGTACCCTCCAGTCTGGGCAACAGAATGAGAACTTGTCTCTAAAAAAGTTTAAAACTTAGAAAAAAAATCAATAAAAATCCATATCTTATCTTTCTCTAGTATGTTAATGGACATATGAACTCAAAACTTTCAGAATAAGCTTGATTTTTTTCATTCATTTTCCTATTCTTCCTTAGCCCTCAAATGATCCACCTTTATTTAAACTATTTCAGCTCTCTAATTCTTTTTCTGATAAAAATTTTCAGCATAATAATCTTTATATATTTGTTACTATGTAATGAATTATTATTCTATATTAAATTACACTTCCAAATTTCACAGTGGGAATATGGTAACCAAGAATTGGTGACAAGTCTACATATACTCTAATCATATTGTTTGTTATTTTTCCATATTTGCTCCCTTGTTTTATATAAAATAACAATGTCAAAAAATGTCCTTTAATTGTACTGATGAATTTATACTTTTTATTAGAAACAAAGAGTGAAAATTGCTTTCTTGGCCCAGTGCTATTAGTTATTTTTAAAAAGGACATTGCATAAAAAACCATTAAATTTCTGGACACATGCACACACAAAATAATACTGTTACAAATGTCTATTCTAATACCAGGCCAAATTAAAAGCCAGGAGTTGCAAATGTCCTAAACAGAATAATCTATCAACCCACTTGTGAAGATGAAATCAACTGCTATAGGGTAGAAATGGTACTAAATACTTGATACCATACAGCCAGTCCCAGTTTTCATTTGCCACACAATTCTTTGTGAAAGAAAAGAAATTACAATTAGTTAAAACCCATTCAATTATGAGAAACCTATTTCATACTCTCATTTTCTGTCATGAAATACATGTCTATAAACCCATCTTTTTATTTTATTATCATTACTACTTTTTAAATTTAGACCCACACTGAGTAAAAGTGCTCAGATATAATTGAAGACTAGAAATATCATGTTTTTTTTTTCCTTTAAACTTCCATAACATAAAACAGGCAAACCAATTTTACCTAGATTAAAAAAAAATAAAAAGTTGCTGTCTGCCTAGTTTAATCCCAGCAAATTTTATATCAGAACAATAAATCCCTGAAAATGCAAGCTTCCAATGGAAACTTGTTAAATATTTAATCATAGGCCCTAGGCCCATAAGCATAAGCTCTATTCCTTATTCTTATTTATTTCAACAGTAACTTTTATTCTTTTTATGGAAGAGATCAAATGATGAAGAATAATCACTCATGTGAGTATATGTGTGCTTACCACGACTGCCACGGCAATATTGCTGCATATAGATTTAGTTGCGTAAGGATAAATTATAATGACTACTTCTGCCACAGAAAGCGAAGAAAATCTCTCCCCTCTATATTTGCTAGTCTTGAGAGATTTGAATAAAAATGCCTATTTTGTGGATTGTTTTAGATTTATATTAAAAATAACAATATTTTAGCTATCAGAAGGTATTAATTAAATGTCCAAAACATATACAGCACTAATACAGAAATAGTGAACACATTAAAGTTAATTTGTATTCATCCTTTAGATATTTGCTTAAATGTCACTTCCTTAAAGAAGCCTCCCTTAACCGTGCAGAATAGGATTATTCTTCTGATAGATATTTTCTAGAGACTTTTACTTTTGTTGTGTGGTGAATCTTAATGATGAAAAGCTGTCGAATTAGATTCTATTCTCCATAATGGCAGAAACTATGCCTATTCTGTTAATTTCTACATCCCAGTGGCTAATCTTGCCTTCACATATTAAGCACTCTATAAATAGAGTATCAAGGACTGCATTTACAAAAGGAAACTTGAAAATTTTGTGTGAATAGATGAAAAACTAGAATCACGACAAAATAAAAAGAGGCTTCTGAACCCCCAAAATTTCTAGGACAAAGAAGAGGTCAAGAAAACTACTCAGCTACAAAATGGGGCATTTCCTATGGTATAGGAAAGATGCCTTGGCATAATTAAAAGTTCAATGGGCAGAGTTAAAAGCAGCAGAGAAGGGAGTAGGAAAGGACCCTAATCAAGGAACCAGTGAGAGGTACTCTATCAAATTTTAGAATTACTAATAGCAAGTATCTGCTATGTGCCTCCCATTTCCCCTCTGTGAGAGTTAATTTTAAGTGTTAACTTGATTGGGCCACATGTCCAGATAGCTGGTTAAACATTATTTGTGGGTGTGTCTGTGAAAGATTTTCCAGAAGACATTAGCATTTGAATTGGTGGTAAAACAGGTGGCCCTCTCCAATGCCAGTGGGCGTCGTCCACTGGGTTGAGGGGCTGAATAGAACAAAAAGGCAAAGAAAGGTTAATTAATGCTGCCCCACTGCTAGATCTCCTGTCCTTCGCATTACAAGTTCTTAAGTCTTCAGACAGGGACTGGAATCTGTACTCTCAGGTATCCAGCTCTCAGCTTTCCTGGGCCTCCAGGTTGCAAGCTTCAGAGAGCAGGTCCTGAAACCTCTCAGCCTCTATGATCATGTAAGCCAATATCTTATAATAAGAGACAGAGAGATCCAGAGAGAGAAAATAAAGAATATTTCTATTCTTTATATTTCCTTTTAGTTCTATTTTTTTGTGGAGAAACTTAACTAGCGTACCCTTTTTGTTCTTTGTAAGTAGAAGTGTCTGCTGTGCTATCCCATTCCTGAAAACTGTTGTAAGCTGGGTGATTTTGGGGCAGATAAATGGTCTCTTTAGACCATAGACTATAGGTCTTTAAATCAAACGAAACTATACTGATTAACCAAACCCAAGGCACTTTGTTTACACCTAGACATGATTTACATGACAAGACCCTGAATCATGAACCTGATGTTATAATGGGATCAAATTTTGACAGAGGTCTTTGGAGGAGTGAGTGCGTTTTGCATAGCAGAAGACTATAAATAACTTATGGCCAAAAATCAGTCTGTGGAAATTTTAAAATATGTTTGTAAATTCTTAGGTAATCTTGCCATTGAGAGGTGGGGGTCAGTGTCTCCTTCCCTGGATTATGGTTGGACTTGTGACTACTTAAACATCAGAATATGATAAAAGTGATGGATGTCACTGCAGAGACTAAATCATAAAATGCCACTCAGCCTCTGCTTTGCTGCAACATTCACAACAATATAATTTAAGATCTCCAACTATCCGGAAGCTCCATGCTGCAAGGTAACTCAAGCTGTGTGAAGAAGTCAAGTCTAGGTATGCCTGTCTATCATTCTAGCTAAGTCCATCCTTCAAATTATCTATTTGCAGTCATGTAAGTAATTATCAGTGTTTGTCAAAGTTTAGTGCATGGAACTTCAAGAGCCACTGAAATTTTCCTAAAAGATCTGTGAAATCAGAATTGTTTCTTAATGCTAACACACTCTATACTGTTTTCACTGTGTTGACATTTGAAGTGATGTGAAATTAGTGATAGGTAAAACCACTGGTGCCTTAGCATGAATCAGTACAGAGGCATCAAGCTGATATATTAATCTTAAAATTCTTCACTCCCATGTACTTGCAGGAAAAAAATGTCATTGTCATATCTTCATACATATCCTTGATGGTGCAGAAAAAAATAATTTTATGAAATAACTCTTTAATACTCATTTTTCTAACATTTTATGTGGCATGATGAATAGTATACATAAACTGTTTTTCTGCTGTTCTTGGCTGAATTGTGTTCCCCCAAGATTTAGATATTGAAGCCCTAACCCTCCATATTTCAGAAAGTGACAGTATTTGAAGATAACGCCTTTGAAGAGGTGCTTGAGTAAAAATGTGGTCTTTAGGGTGGGCTTTAATCCAATATATAGGTATTCTTTATTTTTATTTATTTATTTATTTTTGAGACAGAGGAGTCTCATTCTGTAGCCCAGGCTGGAGTGCAGTGGTGCGATCTCAGCTCACTGCGCCTCCCAAGTTCAAGCAATTCTCCGGCCTCAGTCTCCCAAGTAGTTGAGATTACAGGCATGTGCCACCACACCTGGCTAATTTTTGTATTTTTAGTAGAGATGGGGTTTCACCATGTTGGCCAGGCTGGTCTTGAACTCCTGACCTCAAGTGATCCACTCGCCTTGATCTCCCAAAGTGTTGGAATTACAGGTGTGTAATTTTAGGCCACTGTGCCCGGCCTAAAATGTAGGTATTCTTATAAGACATTAGGACAGAGAAAGAGAGAGAGAGGTGCACATGCATGGAAGAAACCACTTAAGCATACAGTGAAAAGGTGACTATCCACAAGCCAAAGACAGAAGTCTCAGAGGAAACCAAATCTTCTGGCACCTTGATCTTTGACTTCTAGCCTTCAGAACTGGGAAGAAAGTAGATGAAACTACACAGTTGGTGATTTTTTTTATGATAGCCTTAGCAAACTATTAAAGCTGCATACTAAGTATGAAACTTGTCTCAAGGAAAAACACTTGTGCAATTGAATTGTGGGCTGGAATATGTGCTTTTTTCACGGAACACCATTTTTACATGAAAGAATGAACCCAAAATCTATAGTTATTCAGCATTAGGTATTTGGAAGATATTTGCTTGAAAAAGAAAAGTATTATTTTAAGGAAAATAATTGACAGCATTGATTGTCAATGATAAATTTTGAGGTTTTATCTGCTATGAGTTTGACAGCTTCCTAAAGCACTTCTGATGAAATAGGTGATAATTTTAATAAATGGTATTTTTTGATACTTTACAATGAAATATATCAGCATTTGGAAGACCTGCATAGCTTAGTGAAACAACATACTCAAATGACATGTGCGTGGCATTACAAAAACTATTTATGGGTAAAAGGCCCATTCAAGATTCATTCAAGTGTAAGATAGATTAATGGATTTTAATGTAGCAGAGTCCAAAAAAATCAGTAAGACAGTTTCAGATTTCATACTGCAACTGAACTTTCAGAAAATGCCTTCTGTCAAGCTTTGGTATCATATAAAAGGAAAATGTTCATAAATATCTGAAGAGCTATTAAAATATTACTTTATTTTCTAACTTTAAATCTATGAGAGGTCACATTTTCTTCATATACTTTAATTAAAACAACACACTGCAACACTGGATGCAGAAGTACACATGAGAAACTGGCTGTTTCCTATTATGTCAGAGAGTAAAGCATTTTACCCAAATGGAAAACAAGGCCACCCCTCTCACAGTGTTTTGTTGGTCAGGAAAATAAAGATTTCTGTTAACACAGTTACATACAACACCAATTGGAGAGCTTATCATTTCTATTTTAATTAAATTGAAAAACAAGTACTTTAAAAGTTTTTTGTTTTAATTTCTAATATTGTGAATATTGATGGTTATAATCCACATAAACAAAGACCCTTTGGGCATCTTCAATAATTTTTAAACATGTAAAAGTGTTTTGAGTGCAAATTTTGAGAACTTCTGTTCCAGATGTTCTAGACAACAGCTGTCTGAGTCATCTCCAGTCCTTCGAGTGTTCTCAGATGAGGCCACAGATATCACAGAGCAGCTACAAACCATTTCTGTGGTGCTTTTTCTGAATTCCTGATCCACAGAATCTACGGCCATAAGCAATGGTGGTTGCTTCCTGGCACTTAGTGTGGGAGGTTTATTCTAACAAGGATAAGGAACTGAAACGGTAGCTTTGCATCTCTTGAATCTTCTACCCAACCCAAAAGTTTTTCTACATTCCTTGTGTGACTGTCATGCTTCCAGCTACAGAAGTTGGAAATGTGAGAGTTCTCTAGATTTCTCTCTTGGTTGGCCTGGTTTCGGTTTCCTGGGTTACCAATTTGATAGATTCTACCTGTTAAGTAGCTAATGAAGTCCTTCACTTTTTCCATTTCTATAGCCAGAAATTTAATTCAGGAACTTATATCTCTCATTTTTGCAATTGCAATAGGCTTCTAATTGATCTTCCTAGCTCCAATTGCCCCTGTAGTCAGACTTGCATTTCATGTAAAAGTACTTTTTTTTTTCTTTAAAGAGTAAACTTGACATCATTAGCTCCTTGCAGGAAAGCCTTCAGTAGCTAGCTATCACATCGTAGGATAAAGAGTAAACTTTCTTTAAGAGGACAAATAAAGCTAAAGTAGTATGACTCTTACTGTCCATTTTTTCTCATCTTCATCATAAAATTGTCTGAAAGTCCAATATTTTTCTGTACTACCAGTAGCCTTTTAATAAACCATGACTTCTAAAATCTTCATGCTAGGTACCTTTTCCTCTGCCATATCCTGCTTCACTTTGAAGGTGAATGTCAAAAATCTTCTTCTGGAGGCAACATTTTACTCCAGAAGAATAAGTCAGAATTTGCCCTATGTATTGACATTATACCTGTTTCTACCTTTATTTATAGCATTTATCAGAATATACAATTATGCTATGCTGAGAGCTTACTGAGAAAAGAGACCATGTTCCATCTTTATATTTTTGAAATGCCATTATCTGTCATAGTGGCAAAAATAACTATAAAAATAATTTTCTGTAGTATGCAGTCATACAAGTATTTGAACATAATTTAGTCATCTTTAGTGGGGACATTATATTAAACAAAAATTCAAAGTTAAATGGTTAGAAATAGCCTTTAAACAAGTCAATAATAATAATTTTAAAAAGCAGATTATTCACGCAGTCAGGGTAAATGTTCTTAATAAGATACCACGAGTTTCAGTAATTTTAACCTAAGAGCTATATACTGTCTTTTTTTTCTGCTGCTAAATATCTGCTTAATTTTACATTCCAGAACTGATTAATATTTTCATGTTTTCAAATATATAAAACTACATAGTGACAGTAACTAAATTCCATGTTCAAATGTGATTTTCAGTGCAATATTCATGCCTCAAATATGTATGTGGCATTTCATTTTAGCATACCACAATTATTCTCCATATATTGCCAACTGAACATCTATTTGCTTCCTAACAAATTTGATTTCAATTTGTGATGTAGAAAAAACATAAATAGAAGTAAGAAAATAGGGTTTTGAGCAGGGAAATGATATGCTGTGACTTAGGTTTTAAAAAGATCATTCTGGCAATGGTTTTAAAAATAGCCTGTAAAGGAAGTATATTGAATATCTTCTATTTGCACCTCCAGATTTAGTCTCCATCCTGCTCTCTGCCCCAGGAGTTTGTCCCATATGTACGGCATCAACTGACTTCCTTTCTTTCGGCTCTTAGTTGGGTATGTCCAACAGAGGTACATTAGCTACCTCTTGAGTTTAGCCTCACATTCCCCTTTTCAGCTAGAGCTGAGCATTTACCTACAGGTTTTTAACTCACTGAGCATATACCTAAAGGTTTTGACTTCCTTCCCTTTGGTAGCCTCTTGCTTCAAGCCCAAGCCTTGATAGTTCATTTACTGTGACATGAGATGACAGCAGAAGCCCACATCGTATTGCTACAAGCACAGTTGAAAGTGTGGAAGAAGTTAATACCCCGTGTTAACCCTCAAACAATGGGAAATGGGAGTGATGGATAAATGCTTTTTCCCATTAATCTTTTGCTGACCTATCTAAGAGTCATTCTGTGTGTTACCGAGAAATCCCAAGAAGGATGAAGCCCCAGTTGCCTCTGGAGAGGACCAAATTCAGCAATGCACGTTTGTATTAACTTTTCCTTTTCTTATTTCATTCTTTCTGGTTCCTCCTACTCACTTCTTGTGTCACCTACTGAATGATATACCTGTAGGTGAGTATGTGTTTTAGTCATTGCTTTCACAAAAATCTGAAAGCCAAGATTCAGACACTAATAGGGAGGCACTGAGAGGAGATCTAGAAGCTATAAGAAGAGTGAGGTCAAGATAACTATTTCTTTGGCTTTTCTGAGAAGTCATTGTGGGTTTCCTCCATCTTGCTTGTAAGGTCAAATACAAATTAAAAATAAGGGGTTTCATACTCCCTTTTGCAAACAAGGAAAGAGACTTCCCTCCCCTCCTTTAGAGTATTTACTTAGAAAACTTGTAATTATATATTCTGTCTCTATCTATTTGAAATGTATGTATATCTTTTTAAGACCTAGATAAGAGTTTTGCTAGCTTTTACCTCAAAAATGTCTTACTTAAATATGTGGGGACTATCTCTTTGAAATGTAGTCAAAGAAGATAGTGCTATTATCTTCAGATTTTAGTGGAAGGGTAACTAAGTAGGCACCTCACTGTAAGTTGCAAAACTATCTCCTGTCATTAAGAAATGTGAGGTTTAGTTTTCCCTCGTATATAATCAATTAACTAACACTGATGGCCACCCTAATAGCCAGGCAAATTTATGATGAAGTGTTTATGACAAATGTTGCTGTCAAGTCCTCTTACTTGAGGACAAGTTATTATCTTGTGAATATATATGTATTATATTGAATAAAAGACTGAGTTTTTTTACTGTCTTTGAAATCTCTTAGCAAATTGCCTATGATGCAAGTCATGTTCTAGTTTAATGCTTATTCAATAATAATTTTTTTTCCTTTTACCTTTGTAAAGAACTTTTCAGAACTGACAGATTTTGTTTTTCATTATGTTTCACCAGCACTTCCAATAGCCATAGCCCCTACCATGTAGCTCTCCCCTGGGTCTGATAACTACTTCTTGTCCTAAATTCTCCAAGCCTGGGTGTGGTAATCACTCTCTATTTTTACTAGCCTCCAACTACTGCAATTTTTTCTTTTTTCTTTTTGCTTTTTCCCAACCATACCAACAACTTTATAAACATTTTATTAAATTCTTCTAATTAATAAATTTGAATGTGCTATTTCTTTCCTTTCAAGACCATGGCTAACAAAATAGAAGAGATTAAAAAGCAGAAAAGTTAGGTAGGATATTATTGTTGAAATCACTCTTGCGAAAATTATAGCAGTGAGAGAAATCTAACCTAACTGATTCCATCTTGCTTCTGGCCTCACAAGATAACTGCCTTTGTTAACTTTAAAACAAAGATAATAACAGTCCTTCTGGAAGCTAAACCCCTCCTTGCTTAGAGATTGAAATTGCCTTATAAAATTAATTAAAGGTCACAAAATTAGGATTATGGGATAAATCTGAATTCTGCTAAGATATAGGCATCATTAAATGATAACTAACTATTGTTCTCCAGCTTCTCTTTCTATAATCATTTACTGTTCTGGAGGTCACAAAATTTGTATCTTCCCCAATTACTCCAATATATAACATAACTATTATCAAAACCTAAGATTGACATTTGAGATGTTTTTCAGACTCTTGCATTCTGACAACTGACTGACTCCACCTGAACCTCTGACTTACAACAAGGAAATGGCTCCCACCCAGAAACTGACTCAGTGTGTGAAAACAGTTTGGACACTTCCATGAATTCATCCCCAACCAATCAGCAGTATTCATTTCTTAGAAACCTGGCCATCAAATTATCTTTAGAAACCCAAGCCTCTGAGCTTTCAGGGAAGCAAATTTGAGAGATGTCTGTCATCCTTTTGCTTGGCTGGCCCCGAGATAATTAAACTCTTTCTTTGCTGCAATATCTGTTGTTCTTAATGTATTGGCTTTTCTGGGCAGGAGGCAAAATGAACTCATTGAGTTGTTACATTATGTAATCCAAGTAAAATATAATAATGGCTGTTCAGTAGTAATGGGAGATGTAAGAAGTGGATGGATTATTCTTTAAAACAGAAAGAATCAACTGGATTTGCTAATGGATGGCAATTTAATATGGTCTGTAAAAGAAAGAGAGCACACAAAAAAGACACCAAAATATTTGGATTCATTAACTAAAAGGATGGAATTCTCTTTTACTCAGATGGAAAATATTTGGAGAAAAACATCTTTGCAGTAAGGGAAAACAAAAGCGTGTTCTTGTGCCTGTCAAATTTGAAAAGAGTATATGCTTTCCAGACATGGATGTTAAGTAGACTGTTCTATGCACCAGTTCAGGGTAGAAGTTCAGGCTGGAAGGATGAGTATGTGGGCATCAGTTTAGAGATCTGAAAATCTTGGGGATGAATCAGATCACCAAGACAATGTGTACGAACAAAGAAAGACGATATTCAAAGACTGATCTCTGGGCTACTCCAAAGTTTAAAGCTTTGGGAGGAAACAGAAAATATAAGTTGTCAGTTGTATTAGGTTGTTCTTATATATGAGACTGGATAATTTATATTTAAAAAGGAGGTTTAATTGGCTCACAGTTCTGCAGGCTTAAGGGAAGCATTGTGCTGCCATCTGCTTAGCTTCTAGGGAGGCTTCAGGAAACTTACAGTCATAGTAGAAGGTGGAGGAGGAATAGGCACCTAACATGGTGAAGGCAAAAGCAAACAAGAAAGAAAGTGGGGAGGGGAGTGACACACCCTTTTAAATGACTACCTATTATGTGAACTCAGAGCAAGAGCTCACTATCACCAAGAGGATGGCCCAAGCCATTCCAAGCCATTCATGGTGGATCATCCTCCATGATCCAAGTACCTCCCACAAGGCCCCACTTCCAACACTGAGCATTATATTTTAACATGAGATTTTGTCAGGGACACATATTTAAACTGTATCAGTTTACACCTAGACCATCCCAAATCTCATCTCCTTTGTACATTTCAAAATACAATAATCTCTTCTCAATAGCCCCCTTAAATTCTTAATCCATTCCAGCATTAACTCAAGTCTCAAGTTCAGTTCAAATCAAAAGTCTCATCTGAGATTTATTTTCTTCCACTTATGAGCCCGTAAATTCAAAACAAGTTATTTACTTCCAAGATACAATGTGAGTATAGGCACTGGGTAAACATTCCTTGCTCCAAAAAGGAGAAAAATCCCCCAAAGAAAGATGCTACAGGACCCATGCAAATCTGAAATCCAGCAGGGCAGTAATTAAATCTTAAGACTCCAAAGTAATCTCCTTTGACTTCATACCCTGCATCCAGGGCACAGTGGTGCAAGAAGTAGGCTCCCAAAGCTCTGGGCAGCTCTGCTCCTGTGACTTTGCAGATTACATCCCCCATGACTACTCTCACAGGTTTTTGAGTGCCTGTACTTTTCCAGGAGCAGGGCATAAGCTGCCAGTGGATCTACTATTCTGCTATTCTGGGGTCTAGAGGACAGCAGCCCACTTCTCACAGCTCCACTTGGCACGGCCCCAGTGGCAACACTGCATGTGGGCTCCAGCCTTACATTTCCACACTTCCCTAATAGAGGTTTTCTGTGGTGCCTCTGACCCTGCAGTAGGCTTTGATGTGCATCCAGGCTTTCTCATACAGCATTTGAAATACAGGCAGAGTCTATCAAGCATTTTTCACTCTTTACACTCTGCACACCCACAGGCTTAATACCACATGGAAGCTGCCAAGGCTTATGGCTTGTACCCACCAGAGGAACAGCCCAAGCTGTTATCTGGGGCCCTTTGGGCTGAGACTGAATCCAGAGGTGCTGGTATGTGAGGAACAGTGTCCTGAGGCTACACAGAGCAGCAGGGCCCTGGGACTGGTCCCTGAAACCATTCATTCCTCCTAGGCATCAGGGCCTGTGATGACAGGTGCAGCTTGGAAAATTTCTAAAATGCCTTTGAGGCCTCCTTTCCATTATCTTGGCTATTAGCACTCGGCTCCTTTTTAGTTATGCAAATCTCTCTAGCAAGTGTTTGCTCAGCAGCCTGTTTGAATTCCTCTTCCCCCCAAAAAAGGTGTTTTTCTTTCTCTGCCACATGGCTAGGCTGCAAACTTTCCAAACGTTTATGCTCTGCTTCCCTTTTAAATATAAGTTCCAACTTTAACTCATTTCCTTGCTTCTGCATCTGACCATAGGCTGTTAGAAGTAGCCAAGTCACATCTTGAATGTTTTGCTGCATAGAATTTTTTTCTGCCAGATACCCTAAATCATCTCTCTTTAGTTCAAACTTCCACAGATCCCTAGGGCATGAACACAATGCAGCCAAACTCTTTGCTAAGCCATCACATGTGTGACCTTTGCTCTAGTTCCCAGTAAGTTCCTCATTTCCATCTGAGACCTCCTCAGCCTGAACTTCATGTCCAATTACTATCAGCATTTTGGTCACAATCATTTAACCAGTCTCTAAGAAGTCCCAAACTTTCTCTCATCTTCCTGTCTTCTGAGCCCTCCAAACTCCTGTAACCTCTGCCCATTACACAGTTCCATAGCCACTTTCACATTTTCAGTTATCTTCATAACAGTGCCCCATTCCTCAGTACCAATTTTCTGTATTAAGCCATTCTTGCATTGCTATAAAGAAATACCTGAGATTGGGTAATTTTTAAAGAAAATAGGTTTAATTGGCTCACAGTTCTGCAGGCTTTACAAGAAGCATGCTGCTGGCATCTGCTTGGCTTCTAGGGAGGATTCAGGAAGCTTACAGTCATGGCATAAGGTGAAAGAGAAATAGGCACCTTACAAGGCAAAAGCAGGAGCTAGTGCTGGGTCAGGTGCTACACACTTTTAAGTGTCAAGAACTTGTGTGAACTCAGAGGTAAAGCTCACTTACCACCAAGAGGATGGCCCAAGCCATTCATGAGGGATCTTCTCCATGAGCCAAACATGCACGACTGGGCGTCACCTCCAACATTGGGTATTACATTTCAACATGAGATTTGGGTGAGGAAAAATATCTAAACTATATTACCAATGAAATAGGAGGAGAAGTAGGAAAAGTAGATGTCTCAGAAGCAAATGAATAAAAGGAGTGAGCGCTCAATGGTGTCTCATCCTTTAATAATTGTTGAGTAACCTGAAGACCAACTAAATTTACCAACATGGAAATAATTGGTAGCCTTGACATGAACATTTTTTGTGGAGTGATAAGGACAAAAACTCACTGGAGAATACGTGGAGATAAAAGTATAAGCAGTTGCTTTTAAGGACCATTTTGCGTATGTTTTTCACAGAGAAATTGAGCAAGAGGAGATGAGATCTAGTGTACCTATGGGGAACTAAAAAAAGGAGCATAGGCAGTTTATCCAAACTAAGAGTACAGAAGGTAGAGTGTATGGTCTCAAATGACTTTAGGATATGTGTTAGTAGAAGCAAAGTAAAAAATGTTTTCTGGTTGCCTTCATTTCCTGAATAAAATAGGAATTAAAATCTCCTTGGAGACAGGATGATGGAAGAAGAATTGGAGATGCAATAGGAGAAGAGAAAGTATATGATGGCTTTCTAGAAAATTGGAAAAAATGAGTGAACTACAAAAATATAGTATAATTGTACAATTCTACTAAGAGATAACTTGGGTCTAGTGATCTTAAGTTCAATGTAATACTTTTCAGCATGGTTGTATGCTCTTCTCTAGTCTAGCCCGTTTAGCTGTTTGCAAAGGTAGAGTGGCCCAAGAATTAGATTTAACCAACACTGGGTTTTATTAGGAGAGAACTAAGAGACAGAGAGAGGCAAGACAGTTGAGGAAGTATTCAAGAGTAATTTTAGTGATGAATCCTGAAATTTATCCTGAATAATAATGGAGAAATGAGCATGAGATTAGTAAAGAACAGGAAAAAATAGTATAATAATTGAATTTTAAGTCCTAATTTAAAAAATGTTGGTGTCAGAGTACTAGAGGAAAGAATCAGTTGAGTGGAGGAATTGGCTAGAGTACTTAAAGTTGTATTTTTTTAAAGTATTTTTTTATACTGGCTTGGGGAAATGGAAGATAGGGCTGTTTATAACTAATGACCTTACTTAAAAAGGGAAATTGTGTAAATTTGGAGGCAGGAATACTTGGAATAAAATTCCAAATATGCCACCTAATAGATCTATAACTTTCAACAGATCACTTTAAGGGAGGAGACCACCCCTCATATTGTCTTATGACCAATTTCTGCCTCAAAGAAAAAGTAGGACTTAAAGAAAAGACAGAAATGAAATCAGTAGTCAGACAGCCTGGCGCTGCATTCCAGGCCTGGTAGTTAAAGACTGACCCCTGCAGCCCCCAGTCACATACCCACTGCTTGCTCAATCCATCACAAACCTCTCACGTGGACCCCCTTAGAGCTGTAAGCCCTTAAAAGGGATAGGAATTGCTCACTCAGGGAGCTCTGTTTTTGGAAACATGAGTCTGCCGATGCTCCCAGCTGAATAAAGCCCTTTCCTTCCACAGCTAGGTGTCTGAGGGTTTCTTGTCTGTGGCTCATCCTGCTACAACTTTACCTAAGAGTCTGTTTTCTTGTATGCAAACGGAAGTTAAGAGTAGCTACCTTAATGGATTCTTATGAAGATTAATTGAGATAATTCTAGATTAATTGTTAATTATAGTACCTGGCACATTGTAGATACTCTATAAATATTCATTATTTATATTAGCATATAAGCTTTCATCCAATAAAGTTGTTTGTTGAAGCAAATTTGACTTAAATCTAAGTGTGATTTAGATATTAAATACTTTTAATGTTTTAAATGTTAAAGCAAAGTCTTACAATCATTTTTTGGTAGTGCCAAGTTGATGTTAAGTAAATTTAGTTATGTGTGTGTGTATATATATATATATATATATATATATATAATATAATATATATATACTATATATATTTTATATATATAATAACATTTAAAAGTATGTCTACATATTTACCATATTCATTTAAACCAAATATTTAGCTGACTTTAATGAGAAGATGATTTTTTTCTGGCCATGTCTATATGAATTAAACATAAGAAATCATAATGAATGTTTTATTTAAAAAGTGTTTTACCTCTATGCCTATAGTGAAGAGAAGATATTATTATCTTTAAGTTTAATGTAAGTTGTTAATGCGTATTAGATGCAAAGTGAAGTAATTGTCTATTGCCTAATAACATGGTTTATTTATTCATTCATTCATTCATTCATTCATTCATTCATTCATTCATGATTTTCTATGCCATAGACATTGTACTAGGTATCTGGGAAACAGACATACTAGAAATATAAAGGTAGGATGCATGATCCTATAAGACTTACACTGTAGTGAGAAAAACAGTAAATGAATATTCTGTGAAATGAACTATATAAATACAGATAGAGGGAAGTCTTCGGAAAAGAAAAAAAAACATAAAAATGGAGAATGAGAGAGAATAATCAGAATTGGAGGGATGTTCTGAAGAAGTTATGTTTGAGTAGAGGCCTGGATAATAATATGGCATTAGCCATATAAATAAATGTAGAACAAACATTCTAGGTGGAAGGAATAACAAGTATGATGTATTCAGCAAGTTAGGGACAATATAAGGGGAAAAAAAAGGGTAGAAATTATTCCTGAAGGGGCAAACACAATATATTCTACACACTTGTATGTGAATTAGTACTTCTATTTTAATTGTGTTAAGTTTGAGGTGACTATTAGACATGCCAGTCAAAAGGACTGACTGAAGTCCTCTTGAGAAGTTAGACATACGTTCTGAGGAACAGGCAGTCTTAAAAATCACAATGATCAATGCATGAAATGTATGAAAGAACCCAGAGTCATTCCTGACTCTCCACTTTGCCTTAAACTCCAATTCAATACTTCTGAAAACTCTGAGATCTCAGGACATACACAGAACTAACCACTTCTCCACTCCTTTACTCCTATCACTTACTCAGTCACCATCACCTTTATCCTTGATTATTAACATCATCTTTTTAGTGTTCTTACTGCTTCCACCCTTGGGTCTTATGGTTTATTCTCAACACAGTACACAGAGTCATTAACACAATGTAGAAAAGATAATGTTATTCTTCTGTGTGTACAATCTAAGAGCTCCACTTTTTACTCAAAATGTGAACTCAAAATGTGACATGATCCTATCATGGTCTCAAGGTCTAATATAATCTAGTTGCTCTAGTTGCTTAGAGCCCTGTCAAAATTGTTACTACACATTCTCAGGCCATTTCCCTTATGTTCAGATAAATGGTATATTCATAGACTTCCTATCCAAAGACAACACTTGTAGTGCCTTTTTTACTTTCCAGGTCTTACATCAGAAGATGTAAGTTTTCTCTGGCATCTCTGCGTGTTCATCCTGTCTACTCTCTGGACTATGCCATTCTGTTCCCTTCTCTATTACCTAAGACTATTTTTTAAATTCATAGTAATTATTTTCAGTAGTTATACTTAGTATCGTTGCCTATTTGTGCATATTATGATGTTGATTGGATTTAGGGAGAGAACACACTGAAATATTGCTTAAGCAAATACAGTTTAGATGGAAAGGAGATGCATTTTGGTGGGTTATGAGAGTAACTCTGAAACCAGACTACTTTGGTTCACATCCCAATTCTACCACTTAGTAGATGAGTATAATCTCATGCAATTTATTCAATCTCTCTATGCCTTATTTTCTCATGATAGTGATATTAATATCCAAAGTCATAGACCTGTTGTTAAAACTTAAATTAGTCGATTCATGTAAAGAAATTGGTATGTCTATACATAGAAAGTACTTAATATGTTATTAAATTATTATTTTGCTGCTGTTGAAAGGCTATCCTTAAAATCAATTGTGTGATTAATATCTTGGGCAACTTATATTATTAATATTAGAATAGTAAAACAAATATTTTGAAGGGAAAGAAAAATGTCAGGAATGTACTTCTGGTTCAACTTAAATATCCATGTAATTTTAAAACTGGAAGGATCATGTAACTTGGTGAAAGTCTGACTTTTTTGGTAAACTTCTCCTATGATCACTTCCAATCTTTTATTTCTTCTTCTTCTCTGCTTTTTTCAAGTTTAATTCCTTTGCTGAAATAAATCTCTATCTTGGATGTGCAGTGACTATTAAATACTACAATTGATTGCTGCTGTATGTTCTACTAATGAGCCATAAGAAATTCTTTCTCTTGTCACTTTTACACAGCTGACTTCATTCACACTGCATAAATGAACACCTAAAAACAAATCAGTGTCAGTTTTTATTAATATGTAGCAGTTTTTAGATTACAGTTACCAAATAGGAAAACGTATTTGTTAGTTAAAAGTGAAGATTAAAAAATGATGAATTTCTGAGAATTGTATTTCAATTGCAACCTTATAGAGAAGTAAATATTAAGGAGAGTATCACAAAGTGGAAAGAACACAATGTGAGGCAGCAGAACTGAATCTCCATAGAAGATCCTTCCCCTTTACTGGTTGTATAAACTTGATGGAATACTTAACCTCGCTGAGCCACAGATTTTCAATCTGTAAAACAGAATTCCTTTCCCATTAAATTCACACTATTCAGAGCAATAAGAGACCCCATTTGCAACACAGTAGTAGGTGAAACATTTTAGTGAGGGTAATAATTAAGATGTTAAATTCCCACATACTTGAGGGAGACAGTGGGTGTAGAGGGGAGAGATGCAAGACCTCATTCCATGGAAAAATGAGGTGCCTGGGCTTCAAAGTTCTTTTTGAGCGTACACTAGCAGACAATCACCACTGTCCAAGGTGACATCTCTTAGACTCTGAGTCCCTGCACTCCCTATATGCCTCTTAAACTAGTGCTGTGATAAGATTGAGGGGAGCACTGGCCATTCTACTTTGCTGAATTTGCTTCAACTCCTACTGTGATGAAAACACCTGACTGTTGCTATATCCTCAATTCAACCCTTGATAAGATTGTCTGCCTTCAATTTCTGCTGCAAAATAATTTAGCTCTACCCTAGTAGGATGCCTGACAGACCCATAGGCTCTCAACTCAGAATCCACATCTGAATAGAAATAAGGAGCATTCACGTATGCCAGCTAGGGCCTGACCTTGCTCTAGTCTCTTCATTGGCCTGTTACTTTATTTTGTAGTAAGGCTTTGCACAGAGTCTCTTTCTGGTGTCCTAATTCACTAAGGAACAAGGTAAATATTCCACACTTTCTGTACTCCCTTCATTTTATTAAACACATATCTAAAGAAGGTCCCAGTGAACTATGTCTCTGAGCATTCACAGTCTCGTGGATGGACCAACCCTGTAACTCACTTATCATGAAGAAACTCTGGCACAAGTGGCGCTACAAGACTTCTGAGCCTAGGTAAGAAGCAGCATGGTAGTGTTTGCCATGGTCTTTCAGAATGCTTTCTCTGGAGCATATAAGAAATCTGAGTGCTCTGGAACTGCCCTGTGAGGAATCTCAAGTTCCTTATGTTGAGCGTCCACATAGAGAGAGATGGTTAACCAGCCTCAGCACTTCCTGGCACCAGACATACAGGGGAAGAAATCTTTCAAGTACTTTAGCCTCAACAGTAATCTCATTGAAACCCCAAAGGAGCACCATCAGGCTGAACTCATCAGTTGTATGAATCAAAGAAAACAATAACAACTCATTGTTGTAATCTAATGTGCTTTCAGGGGATATGTTCTATAGCAATAGACAAGCAGGACATCTTCTTTTGTTTAAAAGCCAAAGAGGGAAAATTAGGACACCAATCTGTTCTACTCACATGTCTATTTTTCTTCTTTCTTCTCGCAATTCTAGGAGCTATAAATACATGCAGGTGTCATCGTTCTGCTGTTTGTGTTTGAGGATGTGGGGTTTTTGTTGGTGGTGATGGTTCTGGTTTTATTTTGTTTTGCTATTCTTAACAGTAAACTGGTTTCTCCTTTACACTAATAGTCTCTAAATTTGTTTTGATCTTATACTCCTCCAAATAAAAAGACATGTTGAGAATTCATGTGCACATGCCCTGAAGGAAAATATATATATATATATATGATAGAATGTGGGAAGCAGAGAAGAAAAGAAGAACCGAAAGCAAAAGTACAATTTCAGGAAAGTCTTGAGGGGAGTGCTTTAGCCTGATTCCGCAAAGAATTCCTGGAGTGTCAATTCTGTGTCAAAAATTTGTTCTGGCTTAAGGCAGAGGACCTGAGCTTTCATAACCTACACTGATTTGTCTCTAACTAAGGGCTTTCTGAGGAGGTGGCAATGGGAAGACAAATTCTGAGGACTTCTAGTTTCAACAGGCCAAGCATCTGCAGTAGCAGCTCTATGAAGAGCCACAGTTGTGCACTATTGAAAGAAAAAGTGGGCAGACGCTGGGAATCAAAAACAGTGAAAGAAAGTAAAGGGAATTTCATTGGCACCAGCAATATCCATATATACCCCAATATATGTTATGGTGGCAAACATAAAAGATGATAAAAAGACATTGCTTTAGGAACAGCCTCACAGGGTGGATTGTACAGAAATCACCCCAGAAGAATTATTTTCTTCTTCTTCTTTTTCAGGTACTCCTAGAAATTCAGCTAACAAATCAAAAACTGATCTAAGACAAATGGCTTTCAGAAAAGATTCCTCCTTCCTCTTCTCCCTACTTCTTCTCCTCCTCCAAGCCAGACTGGGATACAAGTAACACATATAAAACATTCCAGCAGCTCACATTAATGAGTTCATGAAAACCTAATCGTTATCTACTCTCTATATTAAAATTATATCTCACAGGTTTACATTAGAGTCTTCTTAATATTTGTTATAAAAGGGAGACTCTATTATAGTACCACAGTAACATAGCTATCTGCTCACCAACTACTTATCAGTGTGAGTGCCATTGCCCTTCTCAGGATGCCTATTTACTTTTAATAAAGTAATCTTGACATATGTAAAGCAAGTCAAACAGATAAATACTGAATCAGATAAATCTAAAACATATTTACTTAAAAAAAGTTTTTCTATCATGACAGTGTCATGACATCAATGGCTATTACTGCAAGACACAAGAAACTTCTAGGCCAGATTAGTTGATATGGACTGAAGATGTCTTTACTAATAAAATTTCCTACTATAGACGTAAATTTCCTTTACAAAAGGGCAGCTTTTCAGAGCTGCTCCTATGTCTGTGGTTTCTCAAAATAATCTGCTCCAAATATGCCAAAGAACTATGTGTTGCGATGACATATTCTGGTTTTCCACAGTAATGTTTTGGGGGTGGTGTGTCCTGCCTCCCAACATATCCATCCTGCCATATTTCTTGTTGTTTGTTTTGCTGCCTACTCTACTTGCATTGTAGGTATTACCTTCAACATATGGCCTCTTTGCATAAATAGTTAAAGCAATTTATAATTTCATAGGGTTCATTTGGTTGAATTGGGAGGGTATAATCTGTAAATCCACTTCACAGGCGCATATTACTGCACTATGTCACACTATGCTGAAGATAAACCAACTGGGGAGGACATCATTACCATTACTTATTATTGGAGAACCCCTATGATTGCCTCTGAGTAGCTCATAGAACATAGAGGACATTTGACCACCTAACACAGGGGACAGAATTAGGACACCTTTTAAACTCTATGAATTAAAATTAGTAAAGTATAATGTCTTATTTATGTTTAAATAAATCTAAAATTTAAATGTAGGAACTAGTATTTTCTTCCTACACCCAAGTCAACTTACCTGGTATAACATACCAGGGTTTACGTACTTCACTTTTCTTTCTCCTACCTTTTTTTCCCCAATTTCAACCAAACTATAAGTAGGCCAACATCATCATCATCACCTAATAACTCCCATTCTGCCCTCCTGCCATCTGTGGTTCCTCTAAACTACTCTGAATGTGCCTCTTCTGGATATGTCGTGTAAGTGGAATCACAGAACATTTATCCTCTTGTGTAAGCATTTCTTAGCTCTGCAGTAGCCGGAAACCTCCTTTGTTTTTCTGGAGTGATACATTTTGTTGCCTCTTTACTACAAGTCCCACTAGCTTCTTTTTCACTCATTCTCAATAAATGTTTGATACTTTTCCATCTCATTATAAAGTTAATACCTTGTAATTTTTTTTTTTTTTTTTTTTTTTTTTTTGAGATGGAGTCTCGCTCTGTCACCCAGGCTGGAGTGCAGTGGCGCGATCTTGGCTCACTGCAAGCTCCACCTCCCGGGTTCACGCCATTCTCCTGCCTCAGCCTCCCAAGTAGCTGGGACTACAGTTGCCTGCCACCATACCCAGTTAATTTTTGTATTTTTAGTAGAGACAGGGTTTCACCATGTTAGCCAGGATGGTCTTGATCTCCTGACATCGTGATCTGCCCGCCTTGGCCTCCCAAAGTGCTGGGATTACAGGCTTGAGCCACCGCGCCTGGCCAATACTTTGTAATTTTATGTAAAATATTACATACTATAAAAATACATATATGGATGAACATACAGAAATTTTCCACAATCTATCTGAAAATATAGGTAATATATTTTCCATTATGAGGTGAGTTGAGAGAAAAAAGTTTCTTATTTATAATATTAATTAATGAGATAGCACATTATACTTAATTTGCATATCTTACTGGAAGCTAAAACATGCCAGTTGAGCAACTGTCTTAATTAATTGTCGTTCAGTGAACCACAGTGCACTGCATTTCGTAAAGAAATAAGATAGACCACTGACTGTTTAATTCTCTTTAGCACAAGAGTTACAAATCATACTAAAAAACATTAAAATAATTACTAAGTTATATACTCACATACACATACACAAACATATATAATTCTAGCTGTTCATTTGAAACAAGAAAGTAAATTGTTTTTATATTTTCTTTTAAATTGGCATATAACAAAATTACTTCTTTTTTAGTAGTTTTATTCAAAAATCTATTTCACCAATTGTTCACTTTAGAAAATGCTAAACAAATTATTTTAATAAAATTACTCCCAATTTGGCTTAGAAAGTTTGATTATAAATTAGAAAATTGAAACAACACTCAGAATTTGAAATACAAAATTAAAAAATTTCTTTTTTCCTAAAGATGTGTTCATAGCACATGATCAGATAATAACAAATAAACTTACGTAGTTTTTTGTGGCCATTTTTTAATTTACCAAGTACTCAGAAAATGTGATGTGGATTCTTTGATTTTTATATTAATAGTAGCTTCAATTATTTGTTCTGAGCCTCTTTGTTTTTTGTTTGTTTTTTGAGATGGAGTCTTGCTCTGTCGCCCAGGCTGGAGTACAGTGGTGCTTTCTCGGCTCACTGCAACCTCTACCTTCCAGGTTCAAGCGATTCTCCTATCTCAGCCTCTGGAGTAGGTAGGACTTCAGGCACACACCACCACACCCCGCTAATTTCTGTATTTTTAGTAGAGACAGGGTTTTGCCATGTTAGCCAGACTGGTCTTGAACTTCTGACCTCCGGTGATCCACCTGCCTCGATCTCCCAAAGTGCTGGAATTACAGGCGTGAGCCACTGCGCCCAGCCTGTTCTGAGCCTCTTTCATTGAAAATTCCCATTATTAAAAAAAACAGAGGAACATAATTTCTTCACGAGCGGTATGTGTATAGTAATGGACTGTAGGGGAGAAAAAAACTTTTCTGTCTACCCTCTGAAGTTGATAATCAAGTCTATAAAATAAACTGACAGTAAACAGATTAACAACAGAAAAGGCAAACACATTTATTACATGCATGGGGCATCATCAAAGGAAAGAAGTGTGTACCCCAAAAGCCACTGAGACCTAAAAGCTGCATACACTCTTTGTAGGGGAGACTGGAGGGGAGATGTAGGCAACTTAAGGGAGAGTGAATAATTTTGGAGAAAAATCAATGGGCTCTCCAAAGAACAGGTGATAGTCCGGGTGGTGTCAAATTTCAGTCTCTTCTTCTGTGATACAGTTAATCTTTTGTGGGTAATGGATTACTAGGGTGCAGACTCATGACAATTGCATTTCTTCTGTCTGTAGTCAGATAAGGGAACATCACAGAAAGCCCCTCCCTGTGCTCAGAAGAAAAGAGGAATGAGAAACAGGAGAGTAGAGAAGGTCCGAGAGACACTGGTTCTGAGGCTGCTTCTGAAGCCTTCCAATCTTTAGTTCAAAGTACTCTGCCTGCCAAGGTGTCATGCTTTCAGATATTATTTTCTGAGTCCCAACAAGGCCATCAGGAAATTCTGTCTTCACAGAATCATCAACTTGTTGGCTTCTGTATACATCACTGTGATAGAACTCTCTGTAGCTTCTAGAGACTGGCATAACTTTGAGTTTGTACATTATAGTGCTATTCACTCAAATAAAAGAGTTAATGTTTATAGTGCTCTCTCTGCCAAAAATTTTGCTTGATCTTTTTTCATGCGTTATCTCATTTAATCCTAATAATCCTTTGAGGATAGGTACTACTATAAGCGACCTTCTTTTTCAGGCAAAGAAGCCAAGCTTCAGAGACATTAAGTGTGTGAAAGGAAAATAAAAACTTGAGATCCCAATTCATTATGCCAAAAGTAAAACATTAAGCTGAAAGCTGAGTCATGCAAGAAAATGCCTTTCCTTTTGTTCCTCAGTAGACAGCTACAGAAAAAAGTTTAAATATCTCCACAGATTCACCTTATCTTATGTAAAGTGCATATATATTGAGTGTAAGACTAATGCATAATTGACTATTCCCCTACCTGTTTCTTTTCCCTTGCAAGATGTGGATTGCCCTACCCTCCCTCTTTCCCCTCCAACCCACTCTTCCCTTTTAAATATTAAAGCCCTCAAAATTATCTTTGAAGAAAGGCACAGACCATAGACTGTTTCTGTGATCCCTTGTTTATTTCTTCTGGGCATTGTTCTTAACTTTGGCAAAATAAACTTCTAAATTGATTGAGACCTGTCTCAGATACTTTTCTGTTTACAAGTTGTCAGAGACATTTGAACCAGAGCAACTCCATCTTGAATAGGGGCTGAATAAAATAAGGCTGAGTCGTGCTGGGCTGCATTCCCAGTAAGTTAGGCATTCTAAGTCACAGGATGACATAGGAGGCTGGCACAAGATACAGGTCATAAAGACCTTGCTGATAAAGCAGGTTGCAGTAAAGAACCTGTGGCCCGAACCCACCAAAAACAAAATGGCCATGAAAGTGACCTCTGGTCAATCTCACTGCTCGTGATATGCTAATCGTAATGCATTAATATACTAAATGGCACTCCCACCAGCGTCATGACAATCTACAAATGCCATGACAATGGCAGGAAGTTACCAAATATAGTCTAAAAAGGGGAGGAACCCTTAGTTCTGGTAATTGACCACCCCTTTGCCAGAAAACTCATGAATAGTTCACCCCTTGTTTAGCATATAATCAAGAAATAACCATAACCATAAAAAATGGGCAAACAGCAGCCCTTGGGGCTGCTCTGTTTATGGAATAGCCACTCTTTATTTTCTCAATGAACTTGCTTTACTTTACTCTATGAATTCACCTCAAATTTTTCGTGGGGTCCAAGAACCCTCTCTTGGGGTCTGGATCAGGACCCCTTTCCAAGGTCACACAAGTATGATTCTCATGAAATCATTTGACTGATGAACAAATGGTTTCCTCCACACATCAGGATGCTGGTGTCAATGGCTATCAAAATGATAATGCCAATGGTATTATCTTTCTCCCATAACTTCTTCACTTCAAAAGATGGTGTACTTTTGTGCAATAAAAATCTGTTTAGATATGTGAATGGTATTTCAAACTCTTCTGTTGTTACCCTAAATCATTCTGCCAGATACCCTAAATCATCTCTCTCAAGTTCAAAGCCCCAAATATCTCTAGGGTAGGGGCAAAATGCTGCCAGTCTTTTTGCTAAAGCATAACAAGAGTCACTTCTATTCAAGTTCCCAAAAAGTTCCTCATCTCCATCTGAGACCATCTCAGCCTGGACATTATTGTCCATGTCACTGTCAGCATTTTGGGAAAAGGCATTCAATAAGTCTCTAGGAAGTTTCAAACTTTCCCACATCTTCCCATCTTCTGAGCCCTCCAAATCTCTTGGAAGCTCCAAAGTTTCCAGCATTTTCCTGTCTTCTTCTGAGCCCTCCAAACTGTTCTAACCTCTGCCTGTTACCCAGTTTCAAAGTTGCTTCCACATTTTTGGGTATCTTTACAGCAGTGCCCCACTCCCAGTACCAATATACTATATTAGTTTGTTCTCATGCTGCTAATAAAGACATACCAAAGACTGGGTAATTTATAAAGGAAAAAGGTTTAATTGATTCAAAGTTCAGCATGGCTGGAGAGGCATCAGGAAACTTACAATCATGGCAGAAGGAGAAGAAAACACATCCTTCTTCACATGGCAGCAGCAAGGAGAAGGGCAGAGTGAAAGCTGGAGAAAAGCTCCTTATAAAATTATCAGATCTCATGAGAACTCACTATCATGAGAACAGCATGGAGGTAACCACCCCCATGATTCAATTACCTCCCATCAGGTTCATCCCATGATGTGGGGATTATGAGAACTGCTGTTCAATGTGAGATTTGGGTGGGGACACAAGCAAACATATTAGAGGACTTCTCAGATAAGTTTGCAGGAAATAAATGCTTCATCTGAGCTCATTTATCATGTATTCACCTTTAGCTCCTGACACATTCCCAGTAAATGGTGATATTGGCAAACTAATTTAATTTCATATTCTTTATTTAGGCATAAAGCATATTTACATGTTTCCTAAATTACTATAAAATTTTATATTGGTTATTAATTTCAGTTAATTTTTTAATCCAGCTTTAAAACATATATAATTGTAGCAAATATCAAATAATGGAAAGCTAATTTATTGGTCAGCTAGTTTTGGAATTAAAGAAAAATTAAACACTTAAAACATGTTTTTAAAATGGCTGTTTTAGGGTAGAGAAACTGAATCCCAGAACCTAAGCGGAGCAGTTGAAATAAAGAGTTTTTCTTCTTCCACACCAATACCTGAGAAGGTTATACTTTTTCCCAGGCCACTCCCGACACTTCTCCTTGGTTCTAGATGCTATGTTGTGCCATGGTAAGACGGTACCTAGACTGTAGCAGGAAGATGCTGTCTACAGTGAACTTGGTTGGACAGAGGATCCAGACCTTCCAGTAACAGCCAAGAGAGAAGAAGCCCACTACAGCCCATGTGGGAGAAAATACAGAAAGCAACTCTGTAAATCAATTGGAACAGGCTGATTCTAGAGGGAAGTCAACTTACAATTGCAGTATTTCCTGCTAGCCCCACTTCTCCCCCTCGCCCCGCCCCTGCCTCCGCCCCACCCCGCCCTCTCGCCTTTGACTTGAGGGCAGGCCCAAATTGAGAAACTTAGCTACAGGCCTAAACATCAAAGCATCCTAGGGAAATCCATCCTCCTGCCTGGATAACTGGGAAAAAGAGACTTTGTGAGCTGATAAGTATGGAGGAAATCCCTTCTGTTTCTCTATCTCTTGCTATCTCTTCCTCTCCCTCTCTCTCTTTTCTCTACCACTTTCTTCCCAAGGTCGTCGATCTGCACAGTTGCAGAGGAGGTAGCTTCGTATCTAAAATTCAAGAGAAAATAATTTCTCTGTGTAGAGAAATAAGAAAAAGAGTCCCAATGGGGCAAAAACGATTGAAATAATTATTGTTATTTCTCTCTCTCTTTTTAAATACTTCACCAAAGATGGGTTCAGCAGGTAAAACTGTGCAGTAATATGGAAGGTTAAAATGCTAAAAGAACATCTCACTTGCCAGTGAAACTGGAAAAAAGGACTCTGTGAGCCTACAAGTGTGAAGGATATCCTGGAGAAGAGACATATAGAGAAGAGGATCTTCTAATTCTGGGTATGAACCTATACAAGCCTCACGGTCATCCTCAAACTCTATGTATGCATGTAATGCCTCTGAGAAACATAACAAAGGCTTTGTGAATTGAACTATAATCTACACTAACACCTAAGTCACAAACACCTGCAAGGAGTATAACGGGGCAGAAGCAAACAGCAAAGAAAAGGTTTTGAAATCTGACACTATAATGTAAATGAGGTGAAACACAGCATATAGTGTAAACCTAAATAGATATATTGCCAGCTAAAACAACAAGACTAACAAAACCAAGAGCTAAATAGTATGGGTAACAAATAGAACTTTCATACATTGCTGATAGAGATACACTTTTGAAAATAGTTTAAAAATTTAATATAAATTTAAACATACTCTTAACATATGACCCAGAAATTCTATTTCTAAATATTTACCCACATAAAATGTAAGCCTTTTATTTGCTTCCAAAACTATTTTAGGGAATATCATTAGGAAATGATCTAATCCTAACCAATTCTAGTTTTCTTTAGTTCATTTGTTTGGTCATTTATAAAAATGAAATGTATAAAATAAATACAGGATGGATTTTGTATCCTGTTCAAGAGCTTTATTCAAAATCACCAAAATCTGTAAATAAGCCAGTGTTCCTTAACTAGGTGTGTTAGTTTTCTTTGTATTGCTATAAAGGTATACCTGGGTCTGGGTATTTTATAAAGAAGAGAAGTTTACTTGGCTCGTAGTTCTGCAGGCTGTGCAAGAAGCATGGTGCCAGTAACTGCTTCTGGTTAGCACCTCAGGAAGCTTTCAATTTTGGTAGAAGGGGAAGGGGAACTGGCCATATGGCAACAGGACCAAGAGAGAGGAGGGGGTGGTGCTACACTGTTAAACAACCAGATCTCATGTGAAGGAGTAGAACAAGAACTCACAGGGAAGGCACCAACCCATTCACAAGGGATCCACCAACATGACCCAAACATGTCCCACTAGGCCCCACCTCCTACACTGGGAATCACATTTCAATACGAGATTTGGAGGGGACAAATGTCCAAAACGTATCACTAGGGGATGGAGAAATAAGTGGTGATATATCCAAAAATGGAATATTACTCAGCAAATAAAGGGAACAAACTATTTATGTATAAATGAATGAATCTCAAATGTTTTATGCTATTTGACAGTATCTAGACTCAAAATTTTACATACTATATGAGTCAACATATATGACATTTTGAAAAAAAAATCACTGTAGGGATGGAAAATAGTGTTTACTAAGCATTAAAAGGAAGCAGAAGGCCAGGTGTGGTGGCTCACACCTGTAATCCCTTGACCTTTGGGAGGTCATGGCAGGAGGATCACTTGAGACCAGGAGTTCAAGACCAGCCAGGGCAATAGAGTAAGACCTCATCTCTACAAACAAATTAATAAATTAGCCACTTGTGATGGCTCATGTTTGTAGTCCCAGCTACTCGGGAAGCTGAAGTGGGAAGATCACTTGAGCTCAGGAGGTAGACGTGGTAGTGAGCAGAGATTGCACCACTGCACTCCAGCTTGGGCAACAGAGTGAAATCTTGTCTTAAAAAAAAAAAAAAGAGAGAGAGAGAGAGACAGAGAGTGAGCAGAAGGCTTAAATAGAAAGAGGTATTATGAGAAAAACCCATGACTTGATAGAACTGTTCTCTTTCCTGTTGGTGGTGTTAGTCACATTACCTAATTTTGAAAATTCATACAACTGTATACCAAAAGAGTTAATTTTTTTCATTCAAATTTTGTAAAAACTGGCTGAATATCAGTTAAAACTAGTACTTTGTAATTTTTAAAAACTAACAAAACAGAAATAAGATAAACTGAAATGTTCAAACACTATCTCTAAATGCCAAACTAAATTGACTGTTTGAGATTAAGTTGGTTTGCCTGCCAAGCCTGAGACTCTAATTTACTAGTTGATATAGTAAGGCTATTAAGACAAATGCAAAATGAGGCAAATAAGGTTATTTTGGTGAGTGAGAAGATGATGGCTTTTGCTTACTGACTTTGCATCTTACTGACTTTGCATCAGTACTTTTGAACATATAAATATTGCCATTCTTTTTAATATGAAAAGTACTGAGGTGAAAATCTAAGTAATTTCATTTCTGTCAATGAGGGTTTCTGGAAAATAATGTCAGATTTTCATTTTATTTTACATATTTTATTTTTATAAATGACCAAACAAATGAACTAAAGAAAACTAAAATTGGTTAGGATTGGATCATTTCTTAATATTTCCTAAAATAACTGTGGAAGCAAGTTTAGTGACTGTTATCATACTCTCCTCGGCTGCAGGATGTTTAAGTACCTCCTAGCTGAAAATTTCCACAGATTGAAGAGATCTGACTTGCCCAAGGTCACGACTACTCTCCAGGGAAAGGCCATATCCAGTGAATGATCAATAAAGGAATTTAAAAGCCTAGACCCCTTGCCTCACAGCAAAACAACTGTGAAAGGCTATTGAGCACTAGACCTCAGCTTGGTGTCAGCTGAGCCTTTTGTAGCAATTCCATCAGAGGTAAACTTCTTCCTTTTACTTTCTTTCTGTTTTTTTTTTTTTTAATGTTCCCAGATATGGATCTGAAGGGTAGTCACTAATACATTTTCTAAATGCAAATCTCCACATCAGAGTCTGTTTTCTTAGAAATCTGACCTATAGAGTTGGCTCCAGAAAGGGTGTGAGGAGGCAGACTCTGAAAGGAGATATTGGAGCTGTTTCACCTTCTGACTGGCTGCAGATGAGGAATCCAGCTGTGATGGTATGTGAAGTGTTGGGAGACCTGGCATGCTGCAGTAATGTGATTGTTAAAACTTCACAGGTGGAAGGAAATTCATTGGCAGGTGCAATGTTTCAGGCTGAGAAAATGATTTCAGAAATTATAGAATTGGATGGGGTATATAATGTGCTGGAGAAAAACAATGCAAGACTGAGGTTGATTAATCACTAGTGAAACATTAAGTGTGAAAATTCTGGCAGCAAATAAAGACGTTCTCATCTCCCATAACTGAAAGGTTGAAGAAGGCAAGGATGAAGTTCATATTTTAACCTTTACAGGGAGAAGAGGTTGAGAGCAGGTTGAACTCTCAATCCTGGAAGGCCTTCTATGCCAATATGAGGGCCTTGATTAGGAAGGAGTGAGATCTTGAGATGTGAGATAGGGACATTCATGTTGATGCATTTGAAACTTAAATTACTAGATTCCGCTTAAGTCTTTGACCTTCAGTGGTAGCTCACTCCTTTCTATTAAAGGCTAGCACTCCCTGTGCTTAAAGATGATGGAAATGATTGTTTCTTGCAATAAAATACAAACTCTATCAGAATTTATTGCCGTCTGCTCTTCTGGCCACCAGTATGTCTCAATATAACCTGACCAGGAAAGTCCTGGGTCTTTCGGAAGAGAAAAAGACCAACCTCAAAGGAGCTACAGAACATATATCAGTACAGAACACATATCAGCAACATATATCAGTAGGCTGCAATAGAGTATGCATGGGATTTGATCCTGAGAGTACTGAATCAAGGAGGATTTATAAAAAAAAAAGTTTATTAATATTGGGAAAGTCTTCCATAACATAGAATTTCACACCCTAACAAGGACCCAGGAAATAATGATATCATAAGGGCTCTCAGCAGCATGAAGAAAGTGATAGACCATATTATATGCAAGACAGGTGCCAGAATTCTTATCAAAAGTAGTAAAAGAAGGGATTCAAAAGGTTCAGAGATGCATGCTAGAGGAATATACTGTGTAAGTCACCAGATGACTGTCACACGTGAGATCTCAGAGGACACTGAATTTACCAGTGATCTGGAATACACTGATGAGAAGTGCACCAATATAATTGAAAAACTCAGGGATGGCCATCTTTTGTAAGCCAGGGAAGATGGTGGAAGATGCTCTCATAGAACTGGGTTCACTGGTAACAAGGGAGATCCCAAAATAATAGATGCTAAGTGGCTATGCTTAACCATCAGAAGGAATGTGTGCACGATTGCTGTAATAAGCAGCAAAATCAAAGTGGAAGCCAGGAGACTCTGGCCCGCAGAAAGCTATTCAGTTCCTAGGGGTAGGAAAACAAAGATTGTTTCTCAATTGTAATAATAAAATATATTAAGGATGAGTGACCTGGAGCATGGGGGCAGGTATCTCAATAAAATGTCACAATAGTTTCCGGACCTGAGCGAAATCTCAGATCTGGAAACCAGATTTTGATTGGCCAAAAAAGAAGCTAGGTCTTGATAAGGAAGTATTCTGCAATACTATGGCAAGTGTATATGGCAATGAATTCCTCTGTTTTCTTCCAAAGCAACCTATGACCAGGACAAGCTTCATGGGCCTATCATTTGCCTCTGTACTCAGAAGGGTTCTGTCCTTGGTTTAATGCTCTGCTGTTATTATCCTGAAATTCTTATTAATTTTTTCTTTGACTCTGTTTTTTTTTTTTTTAATTACCAAATGTATTTATTTCTCAGAGTTCAAAACATTATGTGAGAAGCTTTCCTGGCCTAGATAGAGATCCAGCTTCTTATGCCTAAAACTCAAATTTGAAGTATTTTATTCATGTCCCTGCAAGGGACATGAAATCATTCACAGAAAACCAAACACTACATGTTCTCACTCATAAGTGGGAGTTGAACAATGAGAACATATGGGCACAGGGAGGGAAAAATCACACAGCGGGGCCTGTCAGGGGCTGGGAGGCAAGGGGAGGGGTAGCGTTAGAAGAAATACCTAATGTAGATGATTGGTTGATGGGTGCAGCAAACCACCATGGCACATGTATACCTATGTAACAAACCTGCACGTTCTGCCCATGTATCCCAGAACTTAAATATAATAAAAAAGAAAAAGAAAAAAATAAGAATTCATAAAAGGTAGAGGTTGAAAAAAAAATTCAAAGTACTGTAGGTTGAAGTAGTAGATTATGGTTGTAACCATCCTCACTGCCACTGCTGTAGCTCTTGCCATCAGGATGGAAGGCAACACTGTTGATAGGTCCAAAGTGCCCCTTGACTCTTCTGAACTCTTCTTCAAAGGCCAAATGGAGGAACCTGGACTCAAACTTGCCAATCCTAGTGAAGGTTGTGGTTACATCCATGGCTTCCTGACCACCACCCAGCACAATATGGTCACAGTTGGGGGAGAGGGTAGCTGAGCTGATGGGGCTTTCTGTTCAGAAAGTCTTCTGATGTTGAAGAGTCATAGAGTCAAAAAGCTTGGCTGTGCTGTCTTTGGATGCAGTGACAAACACGATCATGTCCCTGGATAACTGGATGTCATTAATCTGCTAGGAGTGCTCCTTAATATTCACCAACACCTCTCCAGGCTTGGCACTATACTGGTTGAGCTTTCCACTCTCATGGCCTGCAATGATGCACTCCCCACAGGAGCCCCAAATGGCACTAGTGATTTTAGAGTCACTGCAAGGGATCTTCAGGTAGCACTCATTGCTGTCAATCTGGCTCAGATCCTGCAGGTCAAAGAAGCTCACAAAGCACTGATAGCTTTTCTGCTTCTCCATGGAGAACGTGATGATATTGCCCCCAAAGTCAAAACTGCAGATCCACACAGTTGAATTGGTCTTGAGTAGGGCCAGCTGTTTCCCTGTTTCACAGGCCCAAAGATGGTTGTCAGCTGAATGGGTGAGGACATGCTTGGTGTCCCAGTCAGCGTCCACATACCACACAGCTCTGGTATGGCCCATGTAGATGCCCAGCCTCTCACCATTCACAGAGTATCATGCATTAATGATAGGTTCCTTGGCCACGGTGAAGAGGAGGTCTCCTTCACAGTTATACTTCACCTGCCTAATGACCTGCTCATGGCCCTACAGTAGGACCAGCTTCATCCCAGCAGTGATGCAAGGAAAGCTGCAACTGATTCTGTGTTTTATATGTCTGATTTAACAAAGACTATGTATGCAAGCAGAGGAGATTGAGTAGGCACCATCTGTGTGCTCTCCCATTCTTGTCATTCCATTTGCACATAGCATTGCTCCATGAGCGCGGAAGTCTAGTGGATCAAGGAAGCACGGGAATTCATTGAGACTCAGAGTGAGTACAAGTGTGTTGCACTTATGACTAGGTAATGTGGTCTCGAAGGCTACATTTTCCAGTTGAATCAAAACTTGCTTTAAACACAGAAGGAAGGCAGTTACATTCTAAGAAAAACAATGTCCAGGGAGCCCTTTTATCTCCCGCCTTACTCTTGTTACTTGCCTGCATTCGTCAACCACTTATGCTAAAAATGATGATGCAGAAGAAAAGAGAGCAATCTGTGTTCCTTTCCTTTAGACATTCCTGACTCATAGTAACCTGAAGGTAGAAAATGTTGGTAGAACGTGTGCATATCAACAAGTAAAATTAAAATGGTTGGGTTTTATGAAGCATCTCCATTTCTGAAAAGAATGAGGTATATATACAATGATGAGTTAGAAAATATGAATTATGTCATTTTGGCAATTCCTCATATGAATTAAATGTTCTCATATTTGCCTTTAAAACTAGCATTGCACAATATTAAGGTGAACAGCAAAATATATGGTAATAATATAAAGTTTTTTTTTTTAACTTTAGGGTAATAAATAGCAAATAAAAAATGCCATGACAAATCTCAGGGTAAAGGGTACCTTTCACCATGATGAAGGAAGGATAATACTTGCTAAGGCTCCTCAGATAATAGACGCAGCATATTCCTCATTTGGGAATACTTCTTCAACCCATATTCTAAGTAATGTAAAAGGCTTCCAGCTTTAAGTAGGACCCAGAGCAGAAAAGAAGTCTGCATCAGGTCTAACCTGTGGAACATACAGCTGGAAAGCACACAGTTATGAGTTCATGGGAAGTTCCCATAGAATAATCACAACATAGACCCATAGCATTCAGGATTATCAATAATGAAGAATAATAAACATTTTTGAAAAATAGCTCCTTGTGAGCTATTGAACCTATTAAAAAATGGAGACACCAGTTAGCCAGAATTGTCCATTAAAAGTTGTATTCTATCAGACACATCAAGTCACAGTACAATGGAAATAATAGATTAGCCATGACTAGAGGCAATCAAAGGGTTATGCAGACGTAAGTAGGATGAGCAAGGGGTCAAGACCCTCATGTTTTCTGACTCTCTTGAACCAGCTTTTCCCTCAGTTCATAGCTATGGCCAAATGGGGGATCCTTTATAACCAGCTGATGGAGGAGAGAATAGTCAAAATTGGTTTAAGGATAAAATTTGGTTCAGACCAATCCTAATGGGAAGAACTGTAAGTGGTTATCTCGGTAATCCACTTTGTACGGAAAGAAAAGTAGTTTGAAATAGAATTGTTATCAACCCTAAGGGAGTATCAAACAACCTAATTGCTTAGTCAGGTGCTTAGAAGAAGAAACATTGATAAATCAGAGCTAAAAAGGTCAGAGGCAAAGCCATGTGGAGAAATCTGTAGGCAGGGGTATAAAGAACTTTGCAGCAGTCAGCCAGTTGATGCCAGTAGCCTTTTTCATTGGCCATGAATGGAGAAAGTAGCACAGTGACAGATAAAGGCTAACAGCCTGGGGTACACTCAACAAAGTTAGTCAAGCTACTACTGCTAAAAAATGTTCAACTTGCAAACAACAAAGACTTAAGCTCAGTTCTACCCATGGCACCATCTTTTGAGGGGTCCAACAAGAAGTCTGGTGGCCAGTTGCTTACATTGGACTATTCCAGCCTGGAAGAGACAGTGATTCATCTTTACTAGAATTTACACACACATGTTCAAGGTAAAGTTTTGCCTAATGTGCTCTTAGGGCCTCAGTCAGCATCACTATCCCATGGGTTTACAGAGTATTTGACCCACTGCACAGGATCCTATACAGTATTGCATAAAAAGCAGTCTATAGAAAAGACCATGTGGTGGTAGCCACATAACCACTGACTCCATCACATACAGCACCAACCAGAAGCTGCTGGCCTGATAAAACAATGAGACATTCTACAGAAGATACAACTGCAGCACCATCTTGGAGATGAGATCCTGAAAGGACGGAATACCATGAACTAGAACAAAATAATACCCTAAACCAGTGACCCATAATATGCCTTCATGTCCTTGTAAAGCAGAATAAACAAGTCCAGAAACAAAAACATAGACACAGAAATGGCTCCACTCACCAACACATCTAGTAATCTACTTATTTTTGCTTAAACATCCCATGGACTCTGAATTATGTGGTTTGTTTATAGGTCCAGATCCTAATGCCAAGAGACCACCAGACAAAATGAAAGAGTCACCATTCTGGCGGGGATAATAGACTGACCATCAGGAGTAGGCAGGCCAAATAAGTGGGGGTAAAGAAGAATATGTTTGGCAACTAGATGAGAGCCCCTGTTGTGATGCTAGCCCAATTTTGTAACAAAAAACAGAAAATACAACAGCCCTGGTCTGAGTAGATCATGGTGACTAGTGGCTCAAATCTAATAGATATAAAACTCTGGGCCATTCTTATAGTTAAGGCACCAAAGTCAGCACAGCTTACAGAAAGGATCAGGGGAATCTCTAATGGGTGATACAGGAGGGAGACAAAGAATATCATTTGCAGCCTCAGAAAAAACTGCAATGAAGTGAGAATAGAAAGTCTGTGATTTATCTCACCATTCTCTCCTATGATGTACTTTTCCAGGAAAAGTGGCACACAAAAATCCTGACAGAGCTCTCTAAGAACTCATGTGATACATGTAGAACCGCACAGGGCAAGCAATGGATGGTAGTGGATGCCCTGGTGAGCCATGCAGGTTACCTGCTGCACCCCAGCCCTGAAACACTCATTTTCCCAGCTATTCGGGAGTGTTGGCAACTCACAGCTCTCACCTGAGTTCCTCTCAGGTCATCATCCTCAGATGAAGTCAAACCTTATTTGAGTCAAAAATTACTTCATTAAGCAAATTTTTTATAACAATGAAACATCAACAGCCTGTTAGACTGAGCAAGAGCAAAGTATACTAGAGTTAATAAACAGGTTCCCATGTTTGCTTTGTCTTGTTTTCCAGACTTATCAGGATGATGGGGCCCATAATGACAGCTAGGGTCTTGTAGTATTAACCTCCTTGTGGTTTACTTTTTTCCCTGATATGCTATGGATTAGCCATGACCAAGATTCTGGTATATGTTTCCTCTCTCCTCTCACAACTCTTGCTGTCTCTTTATTTGATAGAATTTCTCCTGTCTACTACCAGTCCTTTTCCTCTCCTGGAATCCAGAGGCATGTCATTCAACCCCAACTCAGTAACTCAATATCTAGTAATCTTGGAGAAATTTCCTGGACACAAAGTATATGCTTAGAGTGCCAACTTTGCCTTCCTGGATTCCTCATAGTTATGCTCTAACTTCCTACTGGTATGTACTACACACACACCTAGGTTATATAGTAAAGCGTGTTTCTCCAAGGATGCAAGCCTGTACATTATGTTACTATACTGAATACTCTAGGCAATTATAACACAAGGGTAAGCATTTGTATATCTAAACATATCTAAGCATAGAAAAGCTACATTAAAAATATGGCGTGAAAGATACAAAATGATACACCTGTATAGGGCACCTACCATGACTGGAGCTTGCAGGACTGGAAGTAACTGGGTGAGTCAGTGACCGATGAGTGATGTGAGGGCCTAGGACATTACTGTACACTACTATAGACTTTACAAATATGATACAGTTAGGCTACAATACATTTATAGAAATTGTTTTCTTTCTTCAATAATAAACAAATCAGCTTACTGTAGGGTTTTTACTTTATAATTTTTTAAACTTTCTATTTTATAATAACACTTAGCTTAAAACACAAATACCTTGTATGTGAAAAAATATTTTCTTTCTTTATATCTTTATTTTATAAGCTTTTTTCTATTTTTAAATTTTTAAATTTTACTTTCTAAACTTTTTCATTAAAAACTACAATACAAACACCCACATTATCCTATTCCTACACAGGGCCAGGATCATCAATATCACTGTCTTCCACCTCCACATCTTGTCTCGCTGAAAAGTCTTCAGGATTAATAACACATATGGAGCTGTCATCTCCTGTGATAACAATGCCTTTTTCTGGAATACCTCCTGAAGGACCTGCCTGAGGATTTTTACAATTAACTATTTTTTTAATGAGTAGAAGGAGTACACTCTAATATAACAATAAAAACAATAAAATATAGTATAGTAAATATACAAACTAGTGACATAGTCATTTATTGTCATTATGAAGTATTATGTACTGTACGAAATTGTGTGCACTATCCTTATTTATTTATATATTTATTAAGACAGAGTCTTGCTCTGTCGCCAAGGCTGGGGTGAAGTGTCATGATCTTTGCTCACTGCAACCTTCACCTCCTGGGTTCAAGCAATTCTCCTGCCTCAGCCTACCAAGTAGCTGGGATTACAGGCGTGCACCATTACGCCTGGCTAATTTTTTGTATTTTTAGTAGAGATGGGGTTTCACCATTTTGGCCAGGCTGATTTTGAACTCCTGACCTCAAGTGATCCACCTGCCCCAGCCTCCCAGAGTGCTAGGATTACAGGCATGAGCCACCACGCCCAGCCATTCTATCCTTTTATACAACTGGTTTGTTTACACTACTGTCACCACAAACATATGAGTAATGTATAGCACTACAATCTTAGGATGGCTATGACATTACTAGGCAGTAGGAATTTCCAGCTCCATTATAATGTACGAGACCATCAAAGTATAAGGAGTCCACTGTTGACTAAAATGCTGTTATGTAGTACATGATTGTATGTACATGTGTGTGTGTGTGTGTGTGTGTGTGTGTATAATATATATACAACATCAGGTGGTAATGGATTACATGGAAAAAATCTAATCAGTAAAGAAGGATAGGGAGTAATAGAAGCAAAAAGAGTAGGTTAGAATTTTCAATCGATAGAAATATCAGGAGAAGCCTCCTTAAGACAGTTATATTTACCCCCAAAGAAGAAGCAGCTGAGGATAGAAGACATGATAAAATACATTACCAAGAGAGGAGAGAGTAAATGCAAAATCCCTTGTGCCTGGAACGTTTGAGAACTACCGAGAAATAAATCATTGATTATTACTATTATTATTCAAACTTTTTCAAACATCCTATGACATTATTTTTTGTCCCCATCTTGCAAATAATGAAATGGAAACTTAATAAAGTTACCCAATAAGTTACAATAAGGTTTCCTTCCAAGGAGCCACACTGCTTGCCATGAACCAGAGTTTCTAAAGGTGGTGCATATTTTGGGCTAAATAACGTTTTGTTAAAGGGGCGGTGGGACATATCCTGTGCATCACAGATCCCTGCTACTAGATGCCAGCGACATCCCCCACAACACTCTCATGATAACCAAAAATTTCTCCAGACATTGTTAGATGTCCACTGTTGAAGTGGAAGGCAGTGAAATCATGTCCATTTGAGAACCACTGTTACAAAGTAATCCAGATGACAGGCAAAGTAGTCATTCTAAATGACTACAAGTGAAGTTAGGTCTTATTGATAAGAAATGACAAATTAGTTGCAGCACAGTGATGATATGTATGCCTGTTAATGGTCATTTTATGTATAATTGGTTGACTCCACTATAAGGCAATGTGAATCAGCCTTAAAGATAGACCCAAACACCAAATTTATTAGAGTAGGCTTATGCTAAGCATTACTCAACAATATGCATATAAAATTAAAAGCAAGCCATGGAAATTCTGAGCAATTTTACTTAGTTTTAGCTTGAAAATATGTTTCCATGTATTTTATTAGCCTAATTCATTTTATTAAAGAGCATAAAATATATTTTATATTCTAAATTTTAGGACAAAGGTATCATTAGATTTTATTGATTTTCCAAATAAGTTCATTTATGTAAAATTAACTCATAATGAGTATACACTAGCTTCACAATATCTTGAACTCTTCAACTACAATTTATATACCCTGCAACTAATACAGTTAGTATGCTTTCAAATGCTTTCTATGCCATTTATTGAAGGTGTGGCTTGGTAATATATTAAGCATGTCTTACGTACCTTAGTAAAAAATGCATAATTGTGGATTAAGGAGGCTCAATTCTCATCATTTAAGCTAACATATGCAAGATTTTCCTGCTTTTTAAAGGCATATTTCCATTTTACCACTGGGGCTATCTATGGCTAAATGATAAATGGATACTATCATGGAATAGTTTAAGCAATGCAGTGGATAAAGCGGCTCTGAGTGCATTCAGGCATGTGTTGAGAGAAGGTGGTTTGGAGGCTCTTTGACTGGCCTTAACCTTTCAAAAGGAGTTTCTTCCCTGACCTTCTAAGCAGAGCCTACTACCGCTGGGCCAGTAGTATTTACGGCTTTGCTTTCCACCAGGCATTAAGAGCCCTCCTGCCAGATGAAGACATATGAGCATGTTAGAGGAGGAATTGTGAACTGGAGCAGTTGTTTAAAACATCATTTGAGCTCATTAAAAATTAGAATATAGTTACAATTCTAATGCTGTTTAATCAAGCACCAAATCATAAACTCTTTCTAAAAAACATATGCCTCCGAAAATATTTATAGAAAAATACTTACTCTAAACCTACCATATTCCTATGTACAGAAAAACAATGAAGCATGTCATTTGTGACTTTAAAATTGTTTTTCAAAGTTCAACATGATTGAGACATACTTCTTAAACTGATTTAAACTGCAAAGTTTATGAAGTCAAAATCCTATGTGGCAATTATCTTTCTTATATTTTCCAAAATTGGGGTTGACATCTTAATGAAATATATGGATATAAGGTTTCTTTTTCCCTTTAAAGGATGCATATCCTTTAATTTGAATCCATCTAGTAATGTTACCATTTAGTTATTTCCCCCAAATAGTAAAATCCTAATATTTGAATTAACACAACATATTCTTCTCATCTTTTTTACCAAGAAAATTTTTAATCCTAAGTGCTGCTCTTTTTCTTTGTTTGTATTTTACTAGCATTTTCTAGAGAAGAAGAATGGAGATAAATGGAATTATGTATCGTTAGTGAGGGACTTCACTTATTGAAGATCATTTCCTTAATATGCCAAAAGCTGACATTTTAAGTAAAACAATTTGCCTATTTTTATTACAGATTTTTGGATTAATAAAATACAAGGAGAAATTCTATGCAAGTGGTGAAAAGAAAATAGAATTTTGAACAAGGGGAACATTTTTGTTGCTATATAGTTTTATGAGGTACTATACATTCCAATGACTCACATAAGTCCAGGAATTCAAGCATGGCATAGTAAGTTCAGATAAGATCCACAAGTGAATAACTAATTTTTTAAGCAAGTGCAGCTTATATTACTATTGCAATAAACATAGTTATTACCAGCAGGGCAAAGCAATTTAGCAGCCTTTTTATTAAACTCTCTTCCCATGTTCTTACCTTTTAAAACACATGTAAACAAATGAGAGATATTTTCATAACAGACTGCACACATACTATTTTTCTTTCTTTTTATTTTTCTTTTTTTTTTTAACAGTCCACAGCCTTGTGTTTATTCTGAAAGAAAGAGTTCAAATCTGAGGTGCTTTTGGCAATTAATGAGACTCTTTCTTGATAAAGGTGCTTAGCAGTTTCATTTAAGATGCTAAATTGCAAATTATTCAAGACTAAAGAATGCGTTAAGTCAGAGCTTTTGTTTTTGTGCATGTATTTTTCTTTTTTGCCAGTATTGCAAAATTAATGTAAACAGAGTTAATCAAGACTTTAAGACAGAGAAACACACTTTAACTTTCTGTCATGGTATTGTTCCAATGAATATAAAAGAGTATGTGTGTATGGTGTGTGTGTGTGTGTGTGTGTGTGTGTGTGTGTGTGTGTATTTGAGAAAGATAGAGAAACAGAGAAAGTTAAGTTTCCCAAAATGCTCTGTAAAGTATTGGTGTAGGATAAAGACATTCAAATAAAATAACACTGCAATTGCAAATATATATACACCCCACACTGGAACACTCAAATATATAAGATAAATATTATAAATATTATTAGATCTAAAGGGAGAGACAGATTACAATACAGTAATAGTAGGGGACTTCAATACTCCACATTCAACAATGAACAGATTATCTAGACAGAAGACCAACAATGAAACATCAAAGATAACCTATACTGTAGACCAAAAGGACCTTAAAGACATTTACAGACCATTTCATTCAACAATTGTAGGGTACACATTCTTTTCAACTACACATGGAACATTCTCCAGAATAGATCATACATTAGGCCACAGATCAAGTCTTAAAAAAATTTAAGAAGATGGAGATTATATCAAGTATCAAAGGTATGGATCTGGAAATCAACAACAGTGTCATATACTTTACACATACATGGAAATTAAACAATGCACTCAAAAAATAACCAATGGGTCAATTTTATTATTTTAAAAATTTATTGAGACAAATTAGAATAGAAACTCATCGTATTAAAACCAATGAGCCACAACAAAAGCAGTTATAGGAGGGAAGTTCATAGCAATAAATGCCTATGTCATAAAAGAAGAAAGATTTCTAAAAACACAACCTCATGATGTGTCTTAAAGAACTGGAAAAAGAGAAACAAGCTAAACCTGAAATTTGTACAAGGAAGGAAATTATAAGGCTCAGAGCAGAAATAAATTAAATGGACCTCCAAATTTCAAAAGACCCCAAAAATGAAGAATTAGATTTTTCTGAAAAGATAAAGAAAATGGATAAACCTTTAGCTGGACTAACTAAGAAAAAAGAGAGTGAAGACTCAAATCTCAAGTAAGTAAAATCAGAAACAACAAGGGAGATGTTACAACTGATACCACACAAGTACAGAGGATTATAAAAGACTATTATAACTAGCGATATGCCAAAAAAATAATAACAGAACAAATGGATGAATTCCTGAACACACACAACCTACCAAGATTAAATTACAAGGATATAGAAAATCTGAACGGACTAATAATGAGAAAACTGAATCAATATTAAAATGTCTTCCATCAAGGTAAAGCCCAGAACCTGATGGCTTTACTGCTGAATTCTATCAAACATTTAAAGAAGAACTATTACTAATTATTTTTTCAAATTATTCTAGGAAATTAAAGAGAATACAATACTTCCAAACTAATTTTTAGAGTCCCACATTATCCTGATTCCAAAACCAGACAAAAATACAACAGCAAAACTATAGGCTAATACCTTCAATGAGCAAAGATGCAAAAATTCTCAATGAGATATAAGCTAACTGAATTCAATAGCACATTGAAAAGATCATTCACGATGATCAAATGGGATTCATTCAAGGGATGCAAGGATGGTTCAAGAAATGCAAATTAATATATGTGATACCCTGCATTAACAGAAAAAAAGACAAAGGCCACATGATAATTTCAATAGATAGAGAAAAGGCATTTGATAAAACTGAATATCTTTTATGGTGAAAAACTCTCAAAATATTAGATACAGAAATTATGTACCTCAACATGATAAACGCCATGTATCACAAACCCACAGTTACCATTATACTAAATGAGAAAAAGTAAAAGCTTTTTCTATAAGATCAGGAAAAAGACAAGGATGCCTACTTTTACCACTTCTAATCAAGAGAGTACTGGAAGTTCTAGCCAGAGCAATTAGGTAAGAGGAAGAAATGAAAGGCATCTAAACTGGGAAGAAGGAACTCAAATTACCCTTTTGCAGATGCAAAACTCCACCAAAAAACTGTTAGAACAAATAAATGAATTCAGTAAATTTGCAGGATACAAAAATCAACATATAAAATTTTATATCATTTCTGTATGCTCATAGTGAACTATCTGAAAAAGAAATCAAGATAACACTTCAATTTACAATAACTACAAAAAAAATTCTTTAGGAATAAACCTAAAGAAATTGAAGAGGACACACAAAAAAATGGAAAGATGTTTTGTGTTGATGGGTTGGAAGAATTAATATTGTTAAAATAGCCATATCACCCAAAGCTACCTATAGATTTATTGCAATCCCTCTCAAAATACCAACAAAATTCTTTATATAAATAGAAAAAAAACTATCCTAAAATTTACATGAAACAACAAAGGACTCCAAATAGCCAAAGCAATCTCCAGTAAAAAGCCGGAGGCATCGGCATCACACTACCTGACTTCAAAATATACTACACTACAAAGCTATAGTAACCAAAACAGCATGGTACTGGCACAAAAATGCATAAACTAATGGAATGGAATTGAGAGCCAAGAAATAAATTCTCACACCTACATCCAACAGATTTTCAATAAAGGTGCTAAGAGAACACACTCTGGGGGAAAGATGGTCTCTTCAATAAGGGGTGCTGGAAAATCAAATATTCACATGCAGAAGAATGAGACCCAATCCCTACTCTCACCATATATAAAAATCAACTCAAAATGGATGAAAATTTAAATGTAAAACCCCAAATTATGGAATTACTACGGGAAAATGCTTCACAATGTTGAACCAGAGAAGGATCTTTTAAGACCTCAAAAGCACAGGCAACAGTAAAAATAGACTAATAGAATTACATCAAACTTAAAAGCTTTTGCACAGCAAGGGAAACAACACAGTGATGAGACAACCTACAGAATGGGAGAAATTATTTACAAACTATGTATCTGACATGGAATTAATGTTTAGAATATGGAAGAAACTTAGCAGCAAAAAAACACATAACCTGATTTTAAAATTGGTTTAAAAAAACCCTTAAAAGGCATTTCTCAGATAAAGAAATACAAATGACAAACAGGTATTAATATATTAAAATGCTCACCATTACTAATCATCAGGAAAATGCAAATCAAGACCGCAATGATATACTACCTCAATCTAGTTAGAATGCCCATTAGAAAAAAAAAATGATAGAAAAAAACTGTTGGCAAAAATATAGAGAAAAAGGAACACACACACACTGTTGATGAAACTGTGAAGCAGTATAGCCATTATGGAAACCAGTATCAAAGTTCCTCAAAAAATTAAGAATAGAACTACCATATAATCTGGCAATCCCATATTAGGTATATATTCAAAGGAAATGAAATCAGTATGTTGAAGAGTTATCTTCATTTCCGTGTTTATTGTAGCACTGCATACAATATCCAAGATATGGAATCGACGTAAGTGTTCAACGACGGGTGAGTACATAAAGAAATTCAGTATATATACACTATGGAATACTATTTAGCCATAAAAATAAAACTTTGTGATTTGTGACAACATGGGTGAACATGGAGGACATCAGGTAACGTGAAATAAGCTAAACAAGGAAATACAAAGACCACATAATCTCACTCATATATGGAATCTAAAAAAAGTTTATATCATAGAAGTAAAGATTTGAACAGTAGTTACCAGAGACTGGGGAGAGAAGGGAGAATGGGAGAATGGGGAGATGTTGGTCAATGTATACAAAGTTAAAATTAGATGGAAGGAATAATTTCTGGTGTTCTATTGTAGAGTAGGGCGACTAACGTTAACAGTAAAGTATTGCACACTACAAAATAACTAGAAGACAGGTTTTTGAATGTTCTCACCACAAATAAATGATAAATGCATGAGGTAATGAATACACTAATCACCCCGACTCGATTATTGTGTAACATACACATGTACGGAAACATCAGATTGTACCTATAAATATGTATAATTACAATGTGTCATTTAAAAATTAAAAAAAATTAAAAAGAAGTCTTTCACTAAAGATATTTTTTAGTTACCGATCCCTCCTTATTATACAAATCACTAAGAAAAGAAACAAACATCTTTGAGTGTATTGGCACACTGGCACAAACATTAGTTATCTAAATATGTTTGAGTATTTGGGGAAAAAAGGGAATAGCACTGGCATTCCAAGAAGTTAATTTGCTACATGCATTAGGGCATAAGCACTATTTCTGGGAGGAGAGGAGAGATGATTAGCCCTTAAAATCTGGCATAAATGTAAGCTGTCAAATTACCAAATGCATCCAGACAAAGACTACCTTCCAAAAGATGGACAAAGGAATGAACTAAAGTAATGAGGTATGACTGACATTTCATACTGGGATTCATCATGTTGTCACTTTAACAATCAAAAGTTGACTCTCTTGAGTATACGTTGATAATTGTTCAATTGCTGGTCGATTAGCTTCTACAATTTATCTTAGAATAAACAAGAGGAGATGTGGCAGTATTCTGTCCAGCACCACCTTTAGCATATTTACAACCCTAACTGACCTTATTAAACATAGGCGAACCATCTCTAATTGCAGGCTTTTAGCTTGGAAGTTGAATGGTCAGAAATAATGGTGCTTGACCCATCAATTGACTACATAATTTGAACTTATCCATAAATACAATAAAAGCAACATCTTTCACAGTTTAACCTATTCACCTACTTCTATAACATTGTCACAGTTATTCATGAAAAAGAAAAAAAAACCACCTAGAATAGTTTCAAGGTGATTCAAATATTAACTAGGAGTCTGAACAAAAGTTCCTCAATTAAGGACACTGTCACCTTTAAATAAGCCTGTCTACAATATTTTGAGTACTGCTAATATACTCTAATAAATGAGCATGATATAAAAAATACTGTCTAAGGAAAAAAGTACAATATTTAAAGAGACTGAATCATCTTTCTCTTTATTGCATTATAACCTTGTATATGAATTCAACTAAACCTTGAAGTATAATTTATTTTTGTCCAAATATAAAGCACTCAGAAATGTTTTTCCTTTGTTAGGTTAATATCCTCAAAGTTGATATCCTTTCAGATAGTATAGGGCTTTGCTCCTGATTTGCCAATGAAGGTAGGCAATCAGTGCAATTACAGTTCAGTGACACTTTTGTGGTATGGAGAGATGTAGCTATTATTTTATTTAATACCTGGAAAAATTAATTATCTATTTCACTAAAAAGGTTTCCAAATCATTTCCAAATGCAGACACTATTTTTCTGTAAGCCTCACCTTTTCATTTCTGACTCTATTTCGGTGCATCTACCATGAGAATAAAAAAAAGCTGTTAAAGATAAAAAGATCCTCAAATACGCACTGAACTTCTATCATGTGCCTTGCACTATACTTTAGCTCCTTCTGAAAATAAAGAAAAATATGAGATAATTATGTGAAATATTCAAGGCTCAAGAGGCAAAATCAGTTATAAAGAAATATTTTGATATTTTAAAAACATTTAAAATATTCTAATAAACTCTCTAACACATGCATTTTACTTTTATTCTTAATTTGGTGAATGTCTTTATAAACACAAATTAGTATGTAAATACATCCCAAATTGCAATAACTTATTCACAGTGATTCATGAAAAAAAGGAAATAATTTTTATTATACCTAGTTTTCTTAGTTTTATTGTGTACCAAATGACTCCACAATGTAGTGGCTTGAAACAACCCTTTAAATTGTATCCATAGATTCTGTAGGTCAGGAACTCAGGGCATAACGGGAGTGTTTTATCTATGCTCCCTGGTAGCAGGGGTTTCAGCCAGAAAGAGTCTAACATTGTGAGTAACTTGATGGCTGAGGCTAGAAAGATCTGAAGTTCATTCACTTATATGTCTGGCACCTGGGCTGGGATAACAGGAACACCAAGACTGCTGTTCAGAAGACCTGCATGTAGTACTTTTATATGGCTTGGCTTCTTCACAGCCTGGTGTCCTAAGAGTAGTAAGTCTTCTGACATAGCAGTTCAGGGCTCCAATTGTGAATATTACAGGAATCAACGCAGAAGGCGCATCACCTGTTTTGATCCAGCCACAAAAGTCACACATCACTTTTACTACACTCTAGTGTGTGAAACAGTCACAAGCACACCTGAATTAAAGGGAATGGGACACAGACCTTACCTATCTGTAGATGTGTTAAAGTATTTGGGAAGCATGGTTTAAGACTGCCACACACCTGTGCTCCCAGAAATGATTATTCATAGTGCCCTCTTGCAGTCACAATAAATTATATGGTCACCCTATGTATGACTAAAACACTTCTAGAAAACTGATCATTTGATAATTAATTTTTTAAAATATATGCTCTCAGAGGTGTTTATGGCATATTTGTTTTTAATAAGAGGTTTATTATTCTCAAGAAATGGTACTGCAAATTAATGTCTGTATTTACATCCATATTGCTATCTATCTATCCATCTAACTCTCTATCCATCATCTATCATCTATCGATTTAGTATTCAGTATTTTCCTTGAATTGATTAATTCAGTTAGTAAAAGTTTTTTATTATTATTATTATGCTTTAAGTTCTGAGATACATGTGCAGAACGTGCAGGTTTTTTACATAGGTATATACGTGCCATGGTGGTTTGCTGCACCCATCAACCCGTCATCAACATCAGGTATTTCTCCTAATGCTATCCCTCCCCTTGCCCCCCACCCTGCAACAGGCCCCATTGTGTGATGTTCCCCTCCTTGTGCCCATATGTTCTCATTGTTCATCTCCCAATTATGAGTGAAAACATGCAGTATTTGGTTTTCTGTTCCCATGTTAGTTTGCTGAGAATGATGGTTTCCAGCTTCATCCATGTCCCTGCAAAGGACATGAATTCATTCTTTATTATGACTGCATAGTATTCTATAGTGTATATGAGGCACATTTTCTTTATCCAGTCTATCATTGATGGGCATTTGGGTTGGTTCCAAGCCTTTGCTACTGCAAGTAGTGCTGCAAAAAACATATGTGTGCATGTGTCTTTATAGCAGAATAACTTAAAATCTTTTGGGTATATACCCAGTAATGGGATGTCTGGGTCAAATGGTATTACTAGTTCTAGATCCTTGAGGAATAGCCACACTGTCTTCCACAATGGTTGAACTAATTTGCACTCCCATCAACAGTGTAGAAGCATTCCTACTTCTCCACATCCTCTCCAGCATCTGTTGTTTCCTGCCTTTTTAATAATTGTTATTCTAACTGGTGTGAGATGGTATCTCATTGTGTTTTTGATTTGCTTTTCTCTAATGACTAGTAATGATGAGATTTTTTAATGTTTGCTGCATAAATGTCTTCTTTTGAAAAGTGTCTCTTCATATCCTTTGCCCACTTTTTGATGGGGTTGGTTTTTTCTTGTAAATTTGTTTAAGTTTTTTCATAGATTCTGGATATTAGCCCTTTGTCAGATGGATAGATTGCAAAATTTTTCTCCAATTCTGTAGGTTGCCTGTTCACTCTGATGATAGTTTCTTTTGCTGTGCAGAAGCTCTTTAGTTTAATTAGATCCCATTTGTCAATTTTGGCTTTTGTTGCCATTGCTTTTGGTGTTTTAGTCATGAAATCTTTGCTCATGCCTATGTCCTGAATGGTATTGCCTAGGTTTTCTTCTAGGGTTTTTATGGTTTTAGGTCTTATGTTTAAGTCTTTAATCCATCTTGAATTAATTTTTGTATTAGGTGTAAGGAAGGGGTCCAGTTTCAGCTTTCTGCATATGGCCAGCCAGTTTTCCCAACACCATTTATTAAATAGGGAATCCTTTCCCCATTGCTTGTTTTTGTTAGGTTTGTCAAAGATCAGATGGTTGTAGATGTGTGGTGTTATTTCTGAGGCCTCTGTTCTTTTCCACTGGTCTATATATCTGTTTTGGTACCAGTACCATGCTGTTTTGGTTACTGTAGCCTTGTAGTATAGTTTGAAGTCAGGTAGCATGATGCCTCTAATTTTGCTCTTTTTGCTTAGGATTGTCTTGGCTCTATGGGCTCTTTTGTGGTTCCATATGAAAGTAAAAGTTGTTAAACATTTCCTTCATATACACAGACAAGAAATATACCAAATTTTCAACAACTAAACCATCCAGACAATCTGGACACTTAGTACAAAACACAAATCACCTATGCAGTTATTCAACTCAAACTTGCTAAGAGCATCAGCTATGCGCTCCAATCAAAGCATTGAGCTATCATGTAGAAAAAAAGAATTTTCTGTTGTATTAAGTGGTATTATAACTCACACACATAGTTTTTATGAGCCTTTTATTTTTATTGTTCACAAGGGTCATCAATTAGTAAATGCTGCTTGTGTTCCTCAGAATGTGGTAATTTCTAACCAGGACTTCCATAATTCTTGCAAGGTGGCACACTACATATGACTCAAAGGAAACTTATTCTCAGCTTGGCAGTCACACACAATTAACCTGAATATAACTTATACAGGTTTAACTCCTGTTTTATTTCTGATTGATAGGATTCACAATTGTTATGCTAACAAAATGCACAAGAAATTAAACATTTGAAATGATACCTGAAAATGTTTGCCAACCATATATATGTATAATGTCTGTAATAAGGAAAATGGCAGACATTTGTTTAATAAGTACAATTTCAACTAGCCATCGGTATTCATTTTCTACTAAAACACCCACCCTCACCTCAATGTTTGTTCACTCACAGTAATATCTGTAACTATATCTATTCTCTCTCACCAGTTTAATACTTTTACATTTCATTTATTATTACCTCCCATTATATCCTAGTATTTCACTTTGCTTATTTAATTATAATTGGATAAATAGAAAATAAATAGCATGGCATCTTCAGTCATATAAAAACATAAAACAATAAAACACACAAACTGTCTCTTGAATATTCCAAATTCCATGTGTGCTTGTTATTTGCTCACTATATAAGTTTGCACATTTTTATCTTGGTTCAAATTTTTCCCTCTATATGGAAGTGTCCTTTGGTGTTCCTTGGTTTTCTAGAGGGGAACATTAATCATTACAAATTAATAAGCTAGAATTATAATTTTAATAAGTCACAAGTTACTGTTGTTGCCTTCAGTCAAAGCTGTAGTTTGGGATCATTTTGTGTGATCAGAGGATTAGATCCTGGGCTCTGAGGTAATACCGCCAACTAAGTAACATCTTGTCAAAAGCAATGGCTTCCTTTGTGTTGTCATCTCTATGTATCAATACTCAAACTGCTACAACAAATCAGAAGCATGTGTTTTGGGAATATATAGCCAATCTTTGGAAATAATTTTTTACTTAGACACTTCCTCATGTGCTTTACTCATCATCCACATATTCTTTTTAGTAACTCCTCAGTTACTTATTACACACAGAATAAAATCCAGTCTCTGCCATTATAAGCCTAAAAAGCCATGTGTGTGTTGTTATAGTTTATCTTGCTTGTTAATATTTTTAAATAGTTTTACCATTTGTCTCCATGAATTGACTACAATCTCCACAAAAACTAGGACTTTTCAGAGTTGTTTATTGTCTTATCCCTAGTTCTAAATTAGTACCTGTTTTGTGGAAAGAAATACGTATTATTTACATTAATTAATCAACAATGTGTAGGCCAACTCAAAAGAAGATCAAGGCTCTATTACCTTTAGGGACTGCTCATCTGTCAGAAGCAAAAACATATTAATTTGTTTGTTTTTTGAGTGTATAATGGAAAAAGTTGATTATGTATGGCAAATAAAGCTTATGGCTGGCTGAAAAGACACTGGGCCAGATTTTCAAAGGAATTAAGTAGAAGAATATGTGTGCTCAGTCAAGTTAAAAATATGGCTAGCATTATCGTTATAAAATCAATCTTGTGCTAATGTTCCCAAGAATCAAACAGTCGCTATTTAAGGGCACTTCTTGCAGATATTTGATAATAAATTGAGCTTTGATGACAGTATTTGCGAAAAATTTATTTAGGCATTTAATGTTATGATAACATGAAAAAAGGTGATATCACACATTAAGAAGACAGAGCTAAGCTTAGAGCTAACACACACACAAAATTTAGCTGGTTCTGATGCATGCATGAGATTGAAGTGAGAAAAACGGAAAAAAAAATAAAATAAGAGGCCAGGCGTGGTGGCTTACACCTGTAATCCCAGCACTTTGGGAGACCGAGGCGGGCAGATCTCGAGGTCAGGAGATCGAGACCATCCTGACTAACACGGAGAAACCCCGTCTCCACTAAAAATACAAAAACTTAGCCAGGTGTGATGGTGCGTGCCTGTAGTCCCAGGTACTGGGAAGGCTGAGGCAGGAGAATAGCTTGAACCTGCGAGGCGGAGGTTGCAGTGAGCTGAAATGGTGCCACTAAACACCAGACTGGGTGACAGAGTAAGACTGTGTCTCAAAAGCAAAAAGGAAAAGACAAACACGAAGTCCAGCTCAAGAGCCCAAGAGACTATCTCTTAGAGTGGTTATGTTCACAGAATGCGAAAACCAGTTCAAGAAAGAGCCAACTTTATATAGAAGATAATTAATTTAGCTTAGAATTATTGATTTTAGGGGGAATATTCAGGTGGCAATATTCCATTGGGAACTGAAAATATTTGACTGCTCTTGGGTGTTGGACTAAAGATACACATAGCTGTTATAGTAAAATTTCAAAAGATGTGCTCCCCTACCCTTCCCTATAAGATGCCTGTTCCCTGGTTATTTAATGAAACAGTGATCTAGGTATTGTAGTAAAGAGTTTGAAGATAGAATGAAGGTTGCTAATCAGTTTCATCTTGAGATAGGAAGAATATTCTGGATTACCCCAGTAGACCTAGCATACTTACATGAGCTACTAAAAGCAGAAGTCAGAAGAGTTAGAGAAATTTAACTGAAGAGAGAGGCAGAGGAGAGTTGAAGCACAAGGGGAGGTCAGAAAGGTTTGAGACATTAGAATGACTCAATCTACTGTTGCTGACTTTGAGTATGAAGGAAGAAGGTCATATTGCAAGGAATGAGAAAGGCCTCTAAAAGATGAAAGTGACCCTACCCAACAGCTAGCAAGGAAATGAGAACGTCAGTCCCACAATTGCATGGAACTGAATTCTGACAACAAACTAAATGTGCTTAGAAGCTGGTTCATCCCAGAGCTTCCAAGAAAAAAACAACCATGCTGACACATTGATTTTGTGAAGTCAAGAGCAAAGAACAAGCTGATCCACATTATGCTTAGATTCCTGACCTACAGAACTCTGAGACAATAAAACTGTGTTGTTTTAATCCCCTAAATTTGTAGTAATTTATTATGGCAGCAATAGGAAATTAATAAGACTGTTAACACAGAAGTAATTCAATGAAGATCACTGAAGTGATAATGTAACTGAAGCACATAGAAAAGAGAGAAGAATTTATCGCTTAAAATTAAGCTTTGCTGGATGCAATGGCTCATGCCTGTATTCCCAGCTGCTTGGGAGGCTGAGGTGGGGAGAATCACCCGAGCCCAGGAGTTTCAAGCTGCAGTGAGTCACATTCGTGCCACTGCACTTCAGCTTAGGTAAGAGAGATCCTGTCTCTAAAATAATAATCATAATAATAAGCTTTGGAATAAAGTGAGAAGATGATGGAATAGAGTGGGGCCAGTAAAGTCAAACCAAGCAAGATGGAGGCTAGGAAATGCATGGGCAATCAGTGAACAAAAGGGCATTTGACAATTATAGGAACTCTTCAGGGTCATCAAATAGAGTTAAAACTGCAGTGAATGATCAATAAGTTCAATTCTACAGAAAAGTCAAATAAATAAGTTTGAAGAAAAGATCACTATTTGAGGAAATCATTGGAGGTGGAAATCATATTTCAGGAATAAGAAGGGGGTGGCGAGAAAATGGTTCTGACAAGTATAGAATGCTTTGGAGTTTAGATGTGAATTTTATAAAATAGTGAGTTTGAAAGAGCAAAGACTTAAGTGATAACTGAAATAAACATAATTTTAGTACAAAAGTGACCATTCTTAAAGAAATGTCAATTTTAATTATTAAATGTTTACATTATGCTTTTATATATATATTTTTTATTATACTTTAAGTTCTAGGGTACATGTGCACAACATGCAGGTTTGTTACATATGTATACATGTGCCATGTTGGTGTGCTGCACCCATTAACTCATCATTTACATCAGGCATATCTCCTAATGCTGTCCCTCCCCCCTCCCTCAACCCCACAACAGGCCCCGGGATGTGATGTTCCCCTTCTTATGTCCATGTGTTCTCATTGTTCAGTTCACACCTATGAGTAAGAACATGTGGTGTTTGGTTTTTTGTCCTTGTACATTACGTGAAAGTGAAACCTGTTGATTCTCAAGTGGTCACACATGTACAGGAGGAGGTATAGTAGAAGGAACAAATACTGGGGCTAACCTGGACTTTTCATCCTGAGCAAGTTCCTTAAGGTCCCTACGTTTCAGCTTTCTCAGCAAATATATAACACTAATGATATGTGCTTCATAAGCTTGTCATGACAATTACATGAGAAAAGATGTGCAAGTCACTTAGCACAGATTCAACAATCTAAGCCAACTGCAAAAGTTTCAAACTGAATACCGCTTATATAGTAAGGGAAGGCTTAATATCTGTCCCAGAGGGAGTTTGAGAATAGGGAATATTAAAGGGGTCTACAACTGGATAGAAAGAAAATGTTTGGTCTGGATAGCTCCCCTACTCTTCTAATATTACCGAATAAATAAATGGGTATACTCCTCCTGAAGCACAGTGTCATAACCACCAGCTAGGCTGATCCATCTTTACATTCATTCTTTTTCTCTCCTTCTTTTTGGTTATGTGAGCAAGCTTTCTCTTCATAAAGGGTGGTCTTGAGCAACTGCGTAGTTGTGATATATACAATTTCAATGGGCTTCGTTTGCATCAAAATCTAAGTAAATGGCCTTCCCTGGAGTTGTGTCGGGCAGCAGTGCTGCTATATCTTGCGGAATTGCCTTCACACCTCACATTACAACACTGCCTCTTACATTATGGCGTACTTCAAATTAGTTAAAATTCAGTCCTAGGCACTGGAATTAACCTGGAGAGACTCTGGTTTCGTGATAAGATTTAAGAAAGAGCTTTTTCATTAGTTTGTAATTTATACAATTTAAATCTCCTTGAATTAGGTTTTTTTTTAAAAAAAAACACAAAACACTACACTCAGGGAAAGCCTCTTTTAGAAACCATCATTGTGGAGCCCACAGATGTACAAATATGAGCAATGAAACTTATGTCATCATATGATGAGCTCTACATTGTGAATATATCAAGGACTGTATTTCAAAATGTTAAGTAATTATGAAAATATCTATTTCCTGAAAGATGTTAGCTTTTTGTCATATACCATCAAAAAACCTCCATTAACATTGTGATAACTCTGTAACACATTTAAAATTAAATAGTGATTATATATTTCAAGTATTTTCTTAAAAAGATTATTTATTTGATTTCAGATATTCTAGGTTTAATTGTCTACTCAGGTTTTCATTCTGTAGGATATCATTTAGGGTTTACTATTAAAATATCACTCTTTGATTAAGAAAGAATTTCCAGTAAGAGGAAGTTTATGCTGTTGTGTTTTGTTTTTAGGTTATCTTTTATTGAATATATCTATACTAAATTAGATTATCCAAAATATGTGCATTATATTACACCATTTTAAGCTACAATTAACCCTATATGAAAGAAACTGCTTTTGCAAAAATTATAACAGTGAGAAAAATCTGACATAGAAGATTACGACAGTGAAATAAATCTGACCTAACTGATTCCATCCTGCTTTTAACTCCAAGCTTCCCTTGTTCATTTCTCAGCAGTGGCCAATGTAATTATAGGAGGAATTTAGTTTATTGTTTAACTTTGAAACAAAGATGATAATAGCTTCTTCCTGAAACAAAAACCCTTCTACCCTGGAGACCACACTGCCTTTGTAAAACTAATAAATTAGCCACAAGATTAGAAATTATGGCTCAGGAGTCATGTAGCCAGAGGTCACAACATTCACAATCTCCCCAATTGCTCCTATAGATAAAATTCCTGTTGTAAAATATAAGATGGGTGTTTGAAGTGTTTTTCAGACCCTGCATTCTGATGGACCAGCTGGCACCACGCAGACTGGTAAACTGGGTCGTCTGGTGTTTGGTCCTTACCCAGGAACTGACTCAGGACAAGAAGGCAAGCTCTGACACTATGATTTCATCCCCAACCCAACCAATCAGCACTTCCCATTCCCTAGTCCCCTGCCTGCCAAACTGTCCTTATAAAAACGTTAGCCTCCTAATTTTCAGGGAGAGTGATTTGAGTATAAAACTCAGGTCTTCTGTTTAGCCAGCTATGTGTTTATTAAACTCTTTCACAATTGCAAGAACACTGTCTCAGTAAATTGGCTTTATCTGTGCAATGGATAAGAACCCATTAAAACATGAATTTTATGTAAGCAATTATGAATGTCAATTGCCTATTTTAGCAACTATGATTGTTTGTATGCCATTGAACCTTCTGGTATTCTGCTGTTTCTAGAATTTTAACATGTCATGTTACAAATTTTTTTGGGGGGGGTATGAATATGTTAGTTCAGTATTGCTTTACCTTACTGTTTAAGGCATCAAAATCCAGAGTGAAACCTTGTAGATTCTCCATAGTTTCTACAATGACATGAACTGATTAATTAAAGTCTCTGTATTTCATTTTTTTATCTATATATGTAATTATTGTACTGCATTGATATAAGGAGGAAATAATTCAATATATTTTAAAGTAACTGTCATGTAATAAAACTGCAATAAGCATTAGGTGTTTAATAACAGTAATATTTACTTTTATTAAAAAATTGACAAAAATCTAATACAAACTCAGCTCAGCTCTAGTCCTAAAAAAGCAATGCACTAAGTTCATTATAAAAATTTAAAAAAGAGAAAAATAAGAACAAAAACAACATTTTATTCTGTGTAACTAGGTGCATATGCTAGACTGACCTGACATACATGTGCCACTTCCTCATAGCAAACACACAGGAGTGTTGGGTAAAACATAAAATTAAAAGTATTTACATGTATAACTGCCATTGAAGAAAGCAAGCTCATTTTTAGGTGCTATGAAAAAATAAACAATTTAAAGCCAATGTTATGAATGGAATTTCCATCATGAAATCCACTTTGTGAAGCCAAACAGCATCAAAGGACTGCTCTCTATATGAAAACAAGACAAAAATAATTATGTACTTGGACAAAAGCATTGCAAAAAATACTGTCATCTTCACAGGACTCTAAGAGTAAAAGAATAACTCATGAGATGATAAACATAAGAAAGTATCAGTTATGAATGTGAGAATGCAGCAACAACTCTAAATAAAGGCTAAACATAAAATTTGTTCTAGAAACAGCAAAACCAATAGGGCATGAGAAGAGGCAATTCAAATTTATGAAAATTATCTCACAATCCCAAAACATAGTATTCTTTCAGAAAACAAATCGTTCTTAAAATGCCCTGACAACTTAAAATTTAACAACAGAAAAGTATCAGACCATCATAAGGAAGAGCCAACAGATGCATTTTAAAAAATTAGCATGATAATCATATGTATAAACATTTTAAAAGACAGTTTAAAATAAGTATGCTTATAATGCTTAAGTAATAAAATCTCATTTATAAAAATAATGCCAGATCACACAGTATGAAACAGAAAGAAAAGACAGATTAGAAAGAACCCAATTATAGCTTTTGGAAATTATAGATGTACACAGACACATGTTTACTGTCATTAAAATTTTGAAGAAAAACGCATGATAGGTTGTAAAATAGATTAGATAAGCAAAAAGAGCATTACTGAATTATTTTCTCTAGCATCTGTTAGGATAATAAAATTTTATAGGATCTTTTGTCTCCCTTTCCTAAGTCCAATCCTGCAAAGAAAAAAAAAAAGGAAAAGGAAAGAAAAACTAGAGGAAATTTGAGGAGTCCTTTTTTAACATAAAAACTATAAGAAACACTTAAATTAATAGAAAGCAGATGGGTTGTGCTAATGTGGAGAGAATATAATAGTGTAAAGGATAATTTAGTATCAATAAAAATATAATGCAAAATTAAAAATACAATAGATGAAGATAGTCTATTTGCTAAAAAGGGAACAATTTTAAGAAGTTATAATAATTATAAATACGTATGCAACTAACATTACAGCCTTGAATTATTTAAAAATACTTATATATAGAAACAGACAAACCAATAATTTTAAATGAAAAATTTACATTAATCTGGAAACCTAACATATTAAGAAAAAAATTAGTAAACAAAATAGAAATAATAAAATCAATAAGTAATAAAGAAATAGAAAGCAAATACCATGAGCACTAATATACCTATGCATACATGTACTTTATGGTGTTTACACATATGTTATGAACTATATATGTTTATACATATGTTATGAACTATTTATGTATATTAAATATATACATATATAAACACACACATTCACAAAAGTCTTGAAGAATAAAGGCAATCAAAGGAGCCAAAATAATTTTAATAAATCAGTATTATGCAGAATGTTATAAAAACAAAACAAATGATAAAAACAAAACTGAAGAAAGTAAAAAGTCCTTGAAATTTAAAAGCTATACATTAACCTATTTGTACTAAAATAATGAAAGAAATAAGAAATACTTTAAACTAAGTCACAGTAAAATGACTAACACACTAAATTTGTGAGTCAGAGTTAAAGAAATGCATGGAGAAAACTTCATACTTTCTAATAGATTTATCAGAAAATAAAGAATGAAACACATGAACTTACTGTTCAATTTAAGAATCTAGAAAAAGGCTGGACACTGTGACTCACACCTGTCATCCTAGCAATTTAAAAGGCCAAGGCGGGTGGATCACTTGAGGTCAGGAGTTTGATATGAGCCTGACCAACATGAGGAAACCGTGTCTCTACTAAAAATACAAAATTAACTGGGCGTGGTGGCACATGCCTGTAATCCCAGCTACTTCGGAGGCTGAGGCAAGAGAATTGTTTGAACCTGGCAGGCGGAGTTTGCAGTGAGCTGAGATAGCTCCACTGCACTCCAGTCTGGGAAACAAAAGCAAAACTGTGTATCAAAATAAATAAAAAATAACAACAACAACAAAGAATCTAGAAGGAGAGCAACAAAAACAGAAAATAAAAGAAAGAAGAAAAGGGAAAAGGAGAAAGAGGAAGAGGGCAGAGGTAGAGAAAGAAATAAAAACTTCTAGCCAGATACACATAAAACTTCAGACTTGTACCTCAGTTCCTTCTACCCAGTACATCATGCCCTGCTTTCATAAAAAACAGAATTACAAGACATATTCAAAAACAAAGAAGAGACAGAGCAAGCATCTGACTCAGACTCAGGTATGACAATTATTTTGAAATTATCAAACCATGAAAAGAAAAATATTAGATAACATTCAATAGTGTGATGTTTATTTTTTCCCAAAATTCATAAGCTGAAATTTTTACCTCCAAGGTCATAGTATTCAGAGATGGGGACTTTGGTAGGTAATTAGATTGTGAGGTTTGAGTCCTCAAAAAGTGGAATCAGTGCCCTTAACAAAGAGGCCCAAGAGAGACCCTTTGCCCCTTCTACTATGTGAGGCTAGAGTGAGAAGATGGCTGTGAGAAAGCAGGACCTCATCAGTCAGTCTGTCTATAGTTTGATCTTGGACTCCCCAACCTCCAGAACTATGAGAAATACATTTCTACTCTTTATAAGCCTCTCAGTCTATGATATGTTGTTATAGCAGCCCAAATGGTCTAAGAAAGAATAAATGAAGGTAAGATAAAATCTTTTATTTTTCTTATTCTTAGTTGATAAAAAAAATAAAATTGATCTGTGTCTATTCTTTCACCAGTATCACACTATCTTCAATATTGCTACTGAATTGTAAGACGTGAAGAAGGTAGTATCAGTCCTCTGAATTTGTTCTCCTTTAATACTATGCTGGCTATTTAGGGTCTCTTTCTTTTCCATATATGCTTTAGAATCAGTTTATCAACGTGCACAAAATACTAAGTCAATTACTTTCTTATATTCCAGCAATGAATTGGAATTTGGAATTAAAAGCACAATACCATTTACATTAGCTTCAATAAAATAAAATAATTAGGTATAAATCTAGCAAATATATACAAGATCTATCTGAGAAAAACTACAAAACTCTGATGTAAGAAATCAAAGATCAAAGTAAATGGAGAAATAGATACATAAATAGGAAAATTTGATATTGTAAACATGACAGTTCTTCACACTTGATCTATAGATTTAACACAATCCCAATGAAAACCCAAGCAGGTTATTTTGTGTACATCGAAAACCTGATTCTAAAGCATATGTAAAAAACCAAAAGACTCTAAGTAGCCAGCAAAATATTAAAGAAGAGATAGTGTGATACGGATTTAACAGTAGACACATGGATCAACAGAACAGATTAGGGAGCCCAGGAAAAGACTCCCACAAATTAGTCACTAATCTTTTACAAAAGAGCAAAGACAATTCAATGGAGAAAGGATAGTTGCTATGACTGAACTATGTCCAACCCAAATGTGTATGTTGAAGCCCTAACTGCCCATGTGACTCTATTGGTAATAAGACCTTTAAGGAGGCAATTAAAGTTATGTAAGGTCATAAGGGTAGAGCTCTGGTAGGATGAGATTCATTTTCTTATAAGAAAAGACATCAGGGAGTTTGCATGCTCTCTCTTTCTCTCTCTCTGCCTCTCAGCATGTGCAGAGAAGAGGTCATGTGAACACATGGCAAGGGCTGGTCACTTACAGGAAAAGAGGCCTGACCTGAAACCAACCATGCTGGCATCCTGAACTTGGAATTCCAGCCCTAGAACTACGAGGAAAACAAACATCTCTGGTTTAAGCCACCCAGTCTGTGGTATTTTGTTATGGAAGCCCTAGCTGTCTAAGACAATAGTCTTCAGTTAATCAGTGAATAATGCTGGGAAATCTGAGAATTCATAAACACACACACACACACACACGATTCTAAACACAAACCTTACAAATTTCACAGAAATTAATTCCAAAGGTATTATAGACCTAATGTCAAATGGAAACCTATAAAATTCCTATAAGATAACATAGGAGAAAACATAGATGACTTTGAGTTGTTGAAGATGTTTCACACATAACACAAAAGCACAATCTATGAAAAGTTGGATCTCATTAAATTAAAAACCTCCGGTTCTACAAGACACTATTAAGAGAATAAAAAGAACTCCTAGGCAGAAAGAAAACCTTTGCAGAACAAATATTTGATAAAAGACTGGTATCTAAAACATACAAATAATTTTTAAAAATCAACAATAATAAACAATCCAATTAAAAAATGGGAAAAAGATCTGCACAGACATCCCACGAAAAATATACACTAATAGCAAATAAGCATATGAAAAGACATTCAACATCATATGACATTAAGGAATTGCAAATTGAACTAATGATGACCACTATCTACCCATTAAAATAGCTAAAATCTAAAACACTGGCAACAGCAAACACTGGCGAGTAGGTGAAGCAGCAGCTCTTATTTATTGCTGTTGACAATGCACAATAATACTGCTACACAGAAACACGTTTTGACAGTTTCTTATAAAACTGAACATACTCTTTTCATATGATCTCACAGTCATTCTCCTGCTATTTAAGTGAGTTCAAAACTTTATGTCCACACAAAGACTTGAAAATGATTGTTTACAGCAGCTTTATTCATAATTGCCAAAACTCAGAAGAAGCCCAGATATCCTTCAATAGGTGAACAGATAAACGGTGGTTAAACCACATAATGGAATATTGTCAGTGATAAAAAGAAATGTGCTATGTGTATTGCTACAAGAAAGAAGCCAATCTAAAAATGCTACCTACTGTATGATGGCAAATATGTATGGCATTCAGGAACAGGCACTACAGAGACGTGAAAAGATCAGTGGCTATCAGGGGTTCTGGGTGGGGAGAGCAAGAGGCATGAGTAGGTGATTTCTAGGGCAATGCTACTCTACTGCATGAGACAGTAATAATGAATAAATGTCATTATACAGTTGTCAAAACCTATAGAATGTGTAACATAAAAGTGAACCCTCATGTAAACTATGAACTTTAGCTAATAACAAGGTATGTATATTTAGTCATTAACTGTAACAAACATACCACACTAATGAAAAAATATTAATAATATAAGAAACTTTGTGTGTTGGGGGAGAGAAGTGAGGTTATATGAGAACTATTTATATTTTTTTGTTAAATTCTTCTGTAAACTTTAAATATATTGTCTATTAATTAAAATAATTAATTTGAACTGAAGAATGGCTTATACAAAATGAAGATTATATTGTACCATTAATTTAGGAATAAAATGAACTTTATTCTCTGCATGTGATATTAAAAAAGGACAATGATATCCTCCATGAATAGGTTAAACAGGTGATGAGGTATAGATTGAAACGGACTTAGTAGATAGTAAAATAGGTGAGAAAGTTACTCAGTACTCAGAATGAAGCACAAATATATGAAGAGATGTAAGAGCTGAAGGGTGGAATATTAAAGATCATTCTATGCTTAGTTACATTCACATATGGAGAGTATCAGTAATATAGAAGTGAGATATTGTTTCCAAGATAATGGTAGGCATTTACTAATATGGAGGCTCTGATTACTGATAGTGGAAGATCATACTAAAAATGAGAGAGAGAAAGAAAGATAAAACAGAGGAGCTACACTGAAACAAACTGAAAGCATGATCACATTAGCAAGAATAGATGCCAAAGATAGTTGAATAATTTTTAAAAGATTGAGAGATAATAAATTATAGTCAGCCTAAACATTCTATAACTAAAATGATCACTTAAGGTTCCAGGATGAATTAATGATATTTTAAAAGATACAAGAAAATGGCCAGGCGCGGTGGCTCACACCTGCAATCCCAGCACTTTGGGAGGCCGAGGCGGCAGGTGGATCACGAGGTCAGGAGCTGGAGACCATCCTGGCTAACACGGTGAAACCCCGTCTCTACTAAAAATACAAAAAAATTAGCCGGGCGTGGTGGCCGGCACCTGTAGTCCCAGCCACTCAGGAGGGTGAGGTAGGAGAATGGCGTGAACCCGGGATGGGGAGGTTGCAGTGAGCCGAGATCGCACCACTGCACTCCAGCCTGGGCGACAGAACGAGACTCCGTCTCAAAAAATAAAATAAATAAATAAATTAAATTAAATTAAATTAAATAGATACAAGGAATGAATTAACTACTCAGAATCTTCTGCTGCTAGAATTAAATAGTATGTTTCAGTAAAAAGAAATTAAACTAGTAAAACTAAATAAGATTAACTATGACTTCATTTGAGGGAACGAGTTGTTAAAAAATGAGAAACCTAAACTTCCAAAAATATTGACATGAAAAACTAGACTGATGATATCAGAATTCAAAGATATTGATTACACTTAGACTTTGTCATGTCAAGGAAACATATTAAAAATGTAACTAGAGTTACTAAAAAGTAAAAATAAAATTAAAATTTTAGCCAATACACATATAACAGGAAAAAACAAAGAGCATAACTGATCAAATAGAAATCAAAAGAAAAGAAAAAAGACACAAAGAAAAGGCATTTTAAAAATCACAGAATAAGAGACCAGGAATAAGTCTAAATATGCCCATAAACATAATAAGTGTGGTAGATTACATTATTGCTCAAAATATTTTCTTCCTCTTTATGCTGACATCAGCCTTGGCCATATTATTTGATAAATAACACAAAGGATTAAATTGTCAAGTCAAACTCAAATAAGTCAGACATCATACCCAATATCAAGTTCTACTAGTAATTTCAAAGATACACACATAAAGAAGCTCAGGTAAAGCAGAGAGAGGTCAAGGACATGCTTAGCAGCTCCCTAGGTGCTTCCTTCCCATATTAGACATGGATTCTTGGTCAAGAATACACAAGTCTCTAAATGAGGTACGTAAGTTATTACTCCAGACATCAGGGAGTATTTTGTTTATGAAACATCTCCAATTTATCACTAGCTGGTTATCATTATTCTCCTCATAAATCTATAGATTCTGGTTTTATTTTCTATAAGCCATCCTTAGCCAAGGACATCCCATTATGACCTTTCCCTAGATAAGGACTCCATTCCTAGCAAATATTATCCATGTATTTACCCAGAGGTCTAGTTATGATGTTGTCAAGGAGGTATGACTGGGAACCTCCACTTGGTAAACAGAGTAATTAATCACAGACTAGACATTTTAGCACCTTCCTCCATACTTATGCTGTTTTTTGTGAGATTATATTTTCCTATTTCACTGAATTCAGAACTGTCCATGTGCCTTGCTTTGGCCAGTAAAATGGGGGTGAAAGTGAAGCATGTCTGAGCAAAGGTTAAAGATCCAGCTTGTGATATGCTTTTTTTCCACTCTGCTAAGAATATAGCAATGTCCCAGGTAAAGGTTACTCTACCTTCCTTGGTCTCAAGTGAAAAAGATATGATAGACACTTACAGTGTGCAAGAATTTAACTCTGCTCTAAGTCACTGAGCAGGTTGTTTGTCACTGCATCTGATTAGAAAGAGTGAACCAGAGAAAAATCTTAGCATGCTGGAGCCTATAGAGGAAGACTAAGAGAAAGCCCTCATGGTCACAAAACTCCAAAAATATTATTTTATCTCATGTAATGTTAATTTTTTTTCTGAATTCTGCTATAATGCATCTTGGTTATACTCAGAATGTTAGCAAACTAGTATATTGATAGTATCATAAAGATAATAGTATAGCCTGAAAATGATTTGTTGGGCAAGAAATATTGATTATAAAGCCACTATTATTTTAATAAGAGGATTAATTCCAAATATTTAAGCTCTTGCATGTGAATCTATAAAAATCTATAGAAACAAATCAATATATATTAAAACTGATATAATTTCCATAAACACAAAAAGTTAGCTCTTGAACGTTCATCTAATTTATTTTTTTCTTTATATAACCTTATTTTTAAAATTTGATGGTATAATTTGTATTTCTATTTCATTTATAATAGAAGTTTTAAGATATTTTAGAAATAACTATGTTTTAGATGTATTCATTTTAAATATATATATTTAAAACATATAGATTAAATATATATACATTTAGATTTATAAATATACATTTTAAAATATATACATTTTTATATTAACATAGTAATATTATATATATTTATATATATTTATATACACACTTATTTCAAGTTTTACTTTAGACAGATTTTAAAATATATACATTTGTTATATTAATATAGTAATATGATATATAGTTAAATATATTATATTTATATACACATTTATTTCAAGTTTTATTTTAGATACAGGGGGTATGTGTGCAGGTTTGTTACATGGTTATATTGCACCCAGGTAGCGAGTATAGTCCCCAGTACATAGTTTTTTGATCCATTCCCCCCTGCATTCCTCTCCTCTCTAGTAGTTCACAGTGTCCATTGTTCTCATGTTTATGTCCATGTCCATGGGTGCTCAATGTATAGCTCCCACTTAAAAGTCAGAAGATGTAGTATTTGATTTTCTGTTCCTGCATTAATTCGCTTAGGATTAAGGCCTCCAGTTGCATCCCTGTTGCTGAAAAGGTTATGATTTCATTCTTTTTTTTTTTGTCTGCATAGTATTCTATGGTATAAATGTACACATTTTCTTTACCCAGTCCTCCATCGATGGGCACCTAGGTTGATTCCATGTCTTTGCTATGGTGAATAGTGTGGGGATAAACATATGAGTGTATGTGTCTTTTTAGTACAAACATCTATTTCCCTTTGGGTATATACACAGTGATGGGATTGCTGGATTGAATCAGAACTCTGAATGGTAGTTCTTTGAGAAATCTCCAAGTACTTTCCACAGTCCTGAACTAAATTACATTCCCACCAATAGTGTATAGGTGTTCCCTTTTCTTTGCAGCTTTGCCAGTATCTGTTGCTTTTTGATGTTTTAATAATAGTCATTCTGACTGGTGTGAAATGTTGTCTTGTGGTTTTGATTTGCATTTCTCCAATGATTAGTGAAGATAAAGATTTTTTCAATGATGTTTGCCTTTTTTTTTCTCTTTTTTAAAAATTATACTTTAAGTTCTGGGATACATGTGCAGAACGTGCAGTTTTGTTACAAAGGTATACGCGTGCCATGGTGGTTTGCTGCATCCATCAAACTGTCAGCTACATTAAGTATTTCTCCTAATGTTATCTCTCCCCTAACCCCCTACCCCCCGACTATGTCTTCTTTTGAGAAGTGTCTGTTCATGTCCTTTATCCATTTTTTAATGGGGTTGTTTTCTGTTTGTTCATTCATTTAAGTTTCTTATAGATTCTGAATGTTACGTATTTCTTTGTCAGATGCATAGCTTGCAAATATTTTCTCCCATTCTCTAGCTTTTCTGTTTACTTTGATGGTTTCATTTGCTATGTAGAAGCTCTTTAATTAGCTCTTACTTGTCAATTTTTGCTTTTGGAGACTTAACAAATTTTTTTTTTTTTTTTCGCCCAAGTCCATGTTGACAGTGGTGTTTCCTAGGCTTTCTTCTAGGACATTTATAGTTTGAGGTCTTATATTTAAATCTTTAATCCATCTCGAATTAACACTTCTATATGGTGAAAGGTGAAGGCTCAATTTCATTCTTCTGCATATGGCTAGCCAGCTATCCCAGCACCATTTATTGAATAGGGAACTGTGCCCCTTTGCTTGTTTTTGTTAGCCTTATCAAAGATCAGACGTTTACAAGTGTGAAGATTTATTTCTGAGTTTCTTATTCTGTTTCATTAGTCTATGAGTCTGTTTTTGCACTAGTACCATGCTGCTTTCGTTACTATTGCCTTATAATAAAGTTTGAAGTTGGGTATTGTGATGCCTCCAGCTTTCTTCTTTTTGCTTAGAATTGCTTTGACTATTTGAGCTCTAAGTCCCATATGAAACTTAGAATAGCTTTTTTTCTAATTCTGTCAAGAATGACATTGGTAGTTTGATAAAAGTAGTGTTGCATCTGTAAATTGCTTTGGGCAGTATGGCTACTTTAATAATATTGATTCTTCCAATACATGAGCCATGCTACGCTTTTCTACTTATTTGAGTCAACTCTGATTCTTTCAGCAGTGATTTTTAGTTCTCCTTGTAGAGATCTTTCACCCCCTTGGGTGACTGTATTCCTAGGTATCTCATTTTCTTTGTTGCTATTGTCAATGGGATTGTATTTTTGACTTGCCTCTCATCCTGGGCATTATTGGTATACAGAAATGCTACTGATTTTTGTACATTAATTTGTATCTGAAACCTTAGTAAAATTGTTTATCAGCTCTAGGAGTCTGTTGGTAGATAATTTAGGGTTTTCTAGGTATAGAATCATGTCATCAGTGAACAGAGATAGTTTGATTTTTTCTTTTCTCTTTGGATGCTTTTTATTTCTTTCTTTTGCCTGACTGCCCTGGCTAGGACTTCCAGTACTATGTTGAATAAGAGTGGTGAAAGTGGGTATCCTTGTCTTGTTCCAGTTCTCAAAGGGAACTTTGGCCTGTTTAGTATGATGTTGGCTATGGGTTTGTCATAGATGGCTCATTAGTTTGAGGTATATTCCTTTGATGCCTTGTTTTTTGAAGGTTTTAACTATGAAGAAATGTTGGATTTTATTGGAAGCTTTTTCTGCATCTATTGAGATGATCATATGGTTTTATTTTTAATTCTGTTTAAGGGATTAATCACAATTATTGATTTGTGTGTTGAACCAGCCTTCCATCCCACAAATAAAGGCTAGTTAATCATGGTGTATTAACTTTTTGATGTGCTGCTGTATTCAATGTGCTAGTATTTTGTTGAGGATTTTTGTGTCTATGTTCATCAGGGATATTGACATGAAGTTTTCTTTTTTGTGCTGTGTCTCTGCCAGATTTTGGTATGAGGTTGATGCTAGCCTCATAGAATGAGTTAAGGAGGAGCGCTTCCTCCTCATCTTTTTTGGAATATGTTCAGTAGGATTGGGTACCAGTTCTTATTTGTACATCTGATAAAATTCAGCTGTGATCCATCTGGTCCAGGGATTTTTTTTTTTTTTTGGTTGGTAGGTGTTTTATTACTGAATCAACTTCAGAGCTCAAGATTGGTCTATTCGGGGTTTCAACCTCTTATTGAGTCAATATGGGGAGATTGTGTGTTTCCAGGAATTTATCCATTTCCTCTATATTTTCTAATTTGTGTGCACAGAGTTGTTCATAGTATTTTCTGAGGATCTTGTATTTATGTGGGATCAATTGTAATATTATGTTTATAATTTGATTTACTTATTTTTCTCTTTTTTTTATTAATCTAGCTAGCAGTCTATCAATTTTGTTTATTTTTGCAAAGAACAAACTATTGGTTTCATTGATTTTTTTATGGATTCCTGCATCTCAATTTCATTGAGTTCTTCTGAAATTCTCGTTATTTATTTTCTTCTGCTAGTATTGGGATTGTTTTGTTCTTTTTATTCTAATTCTTTTAAGTGCAAAGTTAGATTTTTTATTTGAGATCTTTCTAACTTCTCGATGAAGGCATTTATGCTATAAACTTTGCTCTTAATACCGCTTTAGCTACATCTCAGATCTGGGTAAGTCATGTCTGCATTTTCAATAATTTCATTTTTTAAACTTCTACCTTAATTCTGATGTTTACTCATGAGTTATTCAGGAGCAGGTTGTTTGATTTCCATAAATGTGTGCAGTTTTGAGAATTCTTCTTGAAACTGATTTCTATTTTAATTGCACTGTGGTCCAAGAGTATGCTTGGCATGATTTTAGTTTTTCTCAATCTATTGATACTTGCTTTTTGACCAATCAATATGTTCTATGTGCCAATGAGAAGGATGTATATTCTGTGATTATTGGGTGGTCTGCAGATGTCTATTAGGTCCAACTGATCAAGTGTTGAGTTTAAGTCTAGAATTTCTTTTAAACCTATTTCTTTGCTTTGGAGACATATGGGCACCAACAGTGAACAACTGTTCTTTCATACTAAGCTCTTTGGTTTTCCATGGGAAATGTTCAGATGTATCTATTCAAGTTGAAAGGAGATCTTTTTGATTTCTTAGATGAAATCTTGACTCTACATGACCACTCTCATGGAAAGGATAGGCCTTGACATGCATTTATATTACAGATATAATCTGTTTGTTTCCAAAATATAACCATCTTCTTTAAGGCAAGTTTATCCCACCATCCCAAGAATACATCTAAGTGTAGAAAATAATTGCAAAAATGGAAATGGAGTTTTTCCTCTTAAAATTAAACTCGACTTAACTTAGTCATAAAAAAACCCAAAATACTATTGTCTAAGAATAAATGCTTATTTTTTCATACATAATTATATGAAAAAAAGAGTTGGTGTCTATTCTTCATAATTATCAATGAGAGGCCTATATTATTTTTCTTATTTGTCTGCTTTCTTTAAATGATGGCATCTACTTTATAGTCCAGACTAGCTTCTCCAGCTGCAGCTGTCACATCTGCATTATAATCAGAAAGAAGAAAAGACAGAAGAAGGATATTTCTCCTTCTTTTAAGTATATTTCCTGGAAGTTAAATGCACCTTTTCTTCTGCTCAGACACCATTGATCAGAACAAATAGAAAATCTGGTTGCAAGGGGGGCTAGAAATACAGATTCTTCACTGTGTCACCACACATACAGCTATGCTTAGGGAGATCAATTGCTGAAGATAAAGGAAAGAATATGTGAAGAGAAAACACTGTCTCCCTTAGGAGGCTCATTTGATTTTGAGAATTTGGACCAGTTCCTTGTCCAAATAACCTCACCAGAAAAAAAACTTACTAAAATTATTTTGAACATTAAAAGAGACTCTTGTAAATTTACAGCACTTTTTTGATGCTGGTAAGTCCTACATGGCTGTAATTTTACAACTAATTTGTAATGAGTATGCTTTATGGACATCTCAGTGTCTATTGGTATATTCAATAGTAAGCAAGTTAAGAAAATGTCTTCTTTATTTACCATGTATTCAATAATAACGAATACATTTTCAACATTAGTCACAAAAATTACTGCTGTAACTTAATGATGAATTATCACAACACATTCCTTACTTTGGCTAACATTTACCAAACTTTTTTCTCAAACTTGTGCAGTTTAGGATATTATTAGTTCTGGTGACAAACATAGAATGATGAAGGGATTCAAACCACACAAAAATGTCAGCAATAACTAAAATATTATCATTACTACAGTGCCACAATATCTCCTGGTGCCTATGAAAGTATCCCAGGTTGCCTGGGACAATAAACTTGTTCGTCTTTCATGGTGTCAGAATTCAGTAAAAATCTTTCTTTTCCCAAAAAAATTATCAGGTTTTAATAAACACATTTTGACATGTCTGGCTTCATAGTATACTATGTCTCATCTCTCATTTTTTAGCTTGTCAGATATTGTCACAACAGAAAATATACAGTACTCAATTTTAGCAGCAATAGGCTTCACGTATTTATCAAAAATAGTGCACACCCATGAAGACTTGGCAGGCCACCAAAGTGGCCTGGAAACCCTTCTGAGAACCACTACCACCAAAAACATGCAATCTCATCTGTTCTTGTGGCTAAATTTGAAAGTAGTAATACTCTATAGACATATTTTTGGTTTTTCAATATGAATGTATTTTTTATTATTCTTATTTTTTAACTTAGTTACCATCTCTCTTATTATATAAGCAGTAAGCCTGTTAGTATGTTTATACATATTTTAATGTGATTTTATAAGACATGTAGCATACCTGGTGTTATATTACATATTACATGCATGAAGCAGACACTAATAGAACTCTGATTAAGCCTTTGCATGCTGCCATTTTTATGTCCACCTGAGGGCTTCTGAATCCTATTATCTGCATTTCTACTTCTCAGGTTTTTTTTGTTTTTTGTTTTTCCTGAAGCTATGGAAGGCTAATCTATCCCAGCATACAGCAGGCCAGAAGTCCTGCATCCCCTGGAAACAGTCTTTAACTGGTGACTGATGGTAGTGTCTCAGCTCCCTTGCTCTTTTGTTGGGATAATTTTGAGGCACATGTGTTATACCATCCTCCAGTGTTTCCCTGTAAGAATGAACTCCAGTCACCCATGTTGATTGCTGGCTTAGTCACTCACACAATATTGGCTGCCACCATTTCCCTGTGTCATTTTCTTCCTTTTCCCAGAAACTCTGAAAAAGAAAAATGCTGTTTGCATTTGTAATTTTTACTCGAATATTTTCTCCTCAGTTTGGGGAAACCACATTAAGCCAATATGATAAATGTCTCCCTGAATTTTCCTTTGCATATATAATTTCATTTTCTTTGTCTTAATATAATATCTCACATTCTCTTGTTTGAATTGTTACAGTAACTTCTCACCTGATCTCGACTGATTCACAGTCACTGGTTTTCTTCCTAAATCCCAAGGTTGGACTTGACTCAAACCTATTCAAAAATTTTCATTGCCTACTCTATAATGGCCCAATATGCAAAAGCTTCCAAAATTTCGCCTGGATATTTGCTTTCAACCTTGCTTTTCACTTTATCACCCAACTCTACTCTAGTGAGAGCAGAGAGGTTGCTGCCTGTAAACATAGCGTCCCATGCTCTCTCAAGCTTCAGTACTTCTACATAAGCTGGTTTCTCTGCCTAAAACTGTGTTGTTCAATATAGAAACCATTAAATTTAAATTAAATAAGTTTTAGCATTCTGTTTTAAAGTTTCAAGTTTTTGGTAGCCACAAGTGGTTCATGGCTATTATATCAGACACAACAGATATATAACATTTCTCTCATAGCAGAAAGTTCTATCAGACACCACTGGTCTGGAGCAACTTTGCTTTTATATTTAATGTTTAAAATACTTCTTTTTTTTCCCTTCTCATTGTGTCTCAAAAGCTAACATTTTTGCGAGAAATTCTCCCAATAAAGTCACGTGACTTTACTGATTTATTTATCTTTGCTTCATTCAATCACATGGCAGATATCATGTATTTTACTTAAGAATATTTGTGCATATAAACCTGTTCCCACTTAGGCAGATACCTTAAAGACAGGATTAGTGCATTCTCATCTTTGTATTTCTGGAGACACTTAACACAGTGCTTTACTTATCAACAACTACTTGTTTAATTATTGTGAACCAATCAAATCAACCTAAACTCTCCAGAAATTATTTATATAGGTTTCTTTTGAACTACTTCTTTCCAAATTCTATATTTTTGCCATCACTATTTAGAATCTAGTCTTGTCTGTTAAGTTTTGAAAGCCTATCTAATTTTTTTTTCCAGTGGAAAATAACTTTTATTCAGACCCCATCAGCTGCAAAATCTGTTCCTGGCATTAAGCTCCTTCTTGCTTTGCAATCTGGTCTTTTTTAGTGGTTCTTCTCCTCCATGGTCTGGAAGTGGTCACGGCCAAACCTGGAAACAGTGTTGATGAACTTAAGGTCAGTCTTCTCCAGAGCAGGACGCTTGGTCTGCACCATCAAAGGCTTGCGGAGGTGAGCACTCACTTCTTGATTCCCACCACACAGCCTTTCAGCATGACAAAGTCATTGTTCATTTCATTATAGTGGACAAAGCCACCCAGAGGGTTGATGCTCTTGTCGGACAGGTCACCATCAGTGGAGGCATTGTTCTTGATCCATTTTTCATCCTTCGTAAGGTAGCCATGGCCAATGTTACAGATTTTCTTGTTATTCTCAGTGCAGTGATGGTAGCCTTTCTGCCCAGCACATGCCACAGAGAAGGCCACACAGGCAGGATGCCACATCCTGATATAAGGAGCCTTACACAGCCTTTGGTGGGTCTTGTGGGTCAGCTTCTTGGTGTGCCAATGACTGGTGACCCCTTTTGTAGCCTTTGCACTTGGTCACCTCAATGGCATCAATTACCCTGTCCTACCCAAATACTTGGTTCACAGGGACCTGGTGCTCTAGCATTTCCCAGGCTCAGTCCAGTTTCTCAGCCACAGTGCCTCAGTTCACCTGGATCTCCATCGGCGTGCCTTCTTCTGGCACAGAGGAAGCAGGCACATCTAAGTATGGGCAATGATAGAGATGACTTGGCAGTACATTTTCATGCTGTTGAATTCCTTCTCCAGCTGCTTGTTGCCATCCTCATTCTGCCATTTCTTGTAGTACTTGGTAAAGGCCATCTTTATAGATTATGCCGGTTCTTATGGAAACACCTTTGCATTCATTGCTGATGTGCTCAGCAAAGACAGTCTTGAAGGTCTGGAGGCCTTGAGCGATTTCCATATAGCCACAATGCCCACAACTACCATGGGCGGTGTCTCCACAACTGTCACAGCCTCTACCACTTCCTTGTTCACCTTGGATCCTGGGCTGTCAGCTTCTCACATGATGTAGGCCATACCAGCCTTGTATCCCAGGAAGGCTGTGAGGTGGAATGGCTTGGAAGGTTCATCCTTAGGGAAGCTCTTCACCTTCCCATGAAGCCTGCTGCTGCGCTTCCAAGGCAGGAAGCCTAGGGACCCAAGCCAGGGAACAGTGAACTTCCAGTTAGACAGCACACTGTCACGTCCCGCTGGTCATAACTGTAAATCTTAATTGTATCATCTGTCTCGATTCATTTTGTCGGTTGTAGATATAACTGACAAAATACAAATACATAGTTTATTTTATTTCTCAGAGCACTAATTTTTTATTGCTCTCCTGGCATCTAAGTACACTGATGTAAGCTTCCCGTTGCTCTTTGGGGTTATAAAATCCTAGAGAATAGATGCTATATCTATCTAATTAAATTTGCCTATATTCTTGCATAGAATTTTGCTTATTGATTGCTTCATTTTGATGTTTGTTGCCACTTGCAGTACCTATTTGCAAAGAAAACCCATACATGCAAGTGGTTCGCTCTTCAATATTGGAAATATATTCTGGTTGAACTTCTCTTCCATTTATTTAGCTAAACATTAATAGAAGTTTTGAGTAGAGTTGGCCAAAAATAACCCTAGATTCTTTCACTGGAGATTTAAATCTCCCTTGATGTGATTCACAGACATTCTGTATGTATTGCTTCTTAACCTGTTGTGCATGTAAATAACAGTCCTATTATCTTTCTCAAATTTTATGATTTTCTATGTATGGATTATAAGGAGGACTTACTAAGCTGATGTTTATTTTTGCAGAGACCGTATGGACTCTAAATTATCACCAAATTATCTTAAAAGTTCTGTCAAACTATCAAAGAATATAGTTTAAACAAACCCAAGATAATCTTTTATAAATATGTTTATTAATTCAGGCCAAATATTTTTAATACATTTTTACTTTGAGGTATCAACCGTTTCATTTTCTTTTGAATAAAGATACCTAAAAACCATAGTCAAATATATGATGAGCTTTTATTTCTAAAGTGTTTGCTGAACTATGACACTCAAGAGTACACCAAATTTTCTTAATTACAGTGAATAAACAAAGTTTGAACACAAATAATTTCCAACTACTGATACCCATTGTTACATTTCTCAAATTCAAAACAAAAGTATTTCAGGAATTAAAGTTCAATAAATAATATCTAATCATTAGTTACTGAATGTTTAACATCATATGATTCCATACATTTTGTTATTCATGTCTACTAACTTTAGATTTTTAAAGTTTAAAATAGAAAATGTAATCTTACTTTAAGCTTTAATTAAGGACAGAATATTCAGAAGTGTCTAACACCTGCTTTATAATAAGTACCGTATTATTTCAAATGCCAGATGGACCAATTAAAATATTCTTTCAGATGATGCAAAATCTTATGATGTAGGTTGTTTTTTTAATCCAAATTTAAATATGCACTATAAGAATGTAAAATTATCTAAGTACATGTTAACGAAATAACTTCATTTTTATCATGAAGGGAATGCAAAGGACTAAGTCTTTTTTTTTGCACTCCTCCATGATGACCTCCCCATTCTTATCTTTCAATTTCACTAATGCTTTACTACCTGAGTTCTTGTTTCCCCATGATTACTGCTGCTAGAAACAGCTAATATTTTACATGGAAAATGAACACCCTAAAACAAAGAGAGAATTACAGGCTTTCAATTTACAATTAACCAGAAATTAAAACTGATGAAAGATAAAATGTATAGAGAAATATAGACAAAAATTTGTATATACTTTATAAAACCTATAACTTCAGCCAGCTCATATGTTTATACCAACTATTTAGTTACCATTTATTTCATTCATGTAGTAGAAACCCCATTAGTAGGTCCTATCTGGATCATCCATCTAGTACATGTTTTCCACACACTGAAGGTGTAAGTTTGGTGGAATTTCCTCAAAAGCATTATTCACAGTCCCTAACACCTTTTTTACACCCATTATTTGTAAATAGCTGATTATGCATAAAGTGATGGGTTCCCCTATATCTGGTCACTGATTCAGAAAATAATTTCACAATTTTATTATCATCAGGCAAAGATAAAAGTTTTATCCTCTGTTTTGGTGATTTGTTTATATCTAGTTGATAGCTTCCTTTCCATTTTCTTGTTATACACCTTTCTTCTCCAATAACCTCTAAAATCCTCTGGGGTTGAGGCCTGGTGTCATCCATCTTTGTATCTCTGATGCCTGGCACCATGCCTAGAACACTAAATGTTTCCAAGCATTTGGCTGTGGGCTGTGGCATATGTGGCTTTTAATTTCATCAGTATGTAAGGCTCCATCTTTTCATACCAATAAATACATTTACCAGCATCACAGGGGGCAACCTCGGTATGGAGCAACCAGAGCTACTGCTTAAGCCCATGGCTTGGGGAAATTCACACTACTATTTAGCAGTGACCCAGAAAGACCAAATATTGGTTGATTCATGTTTAAAAAAAGCCTTCTGACTTCTGTATACAACAGAAGCAGCCTGTCAGATGAGCTGTTATCATGTTAACACAGCACTGTGTAGCCCCTGTGTTCTGTTTCTTCTTTCCACATAAAACTTTTCATTGAGGTTCTTTAAACACCCAGTTTGCCTTTATTTGGTTTGAATACATCTATTCATCTATGTATTCAAAACAACCTGAGATCACAACCTGAGGGCTATAAATATCATGTTTTTAGACTCACAGGTATCTAATTTCATCTTGAAAGCATCCCATATGTTTTAAAGTCTCTGAAGTCAGGAGAGCTTGGGAGACTACAGTTGAACAATTGTTCATAGCCTTCCTGACATTAGGAACACAATGGTCAAATCTTATATCTAATAGTCTAAAGCTACAGCCAAATAGGATGCTCAATGACACATTTAGTTACAGAAGCTAGTAATCTCCCAACGAGACAGGAGAAAAGGAGATCACTTTTTAAGTGAGATCTTAATCAGGAAGTTAGCTTTCCCCACAAAAGATTCAGGACAGATTGGAGAATGCACAGTGCAGTTTACAGAGCATAACACTGAGTTCTAATAAGAGAGAAAAGAAGAAACTCCATTTTCTCCTAAATATAGAGACAAGTCATTCTGAATAATAGTAAGTCAATCAGACAGCAAGAATTTTTCTATCAACTGGAAATAAGAAAGGGCTACGTGCCAAAACACAGATAAAATTTCAGGACTCAGAATGAACACTAAGAAACCTTATGAACAAAAATAAAATTTGCATAAAACAAGTATGTGTGTGTGTGTGTGTGTGTGTGTGTGTGTGTGAAAGAGAGAGAGAGAGGGAGAATGCCAGAATATCACTTGGTATATACTTGTTCCCACAGAAATAGAAGAGCAATATGAACCAGGTGAGAATAAAGACTACTTATTTAAAAACATTTCAAGAGTTAATTAGTGTGGAGGCATAGAAGTTTATATATCACTTATCATTAAGAGTTTAGGCCAGGTGTGGTGGCTCACGCCTGTAATCCCAGCACTTTGGGAGAACGAGGCAGGCGGATCACGAGGTCAGAAGATTGACACCATCCTGGCTGACACAGTGAAACCCGGTCTCTACTAAAAATACAAAAAATTAGCTGTACGTGGTGGCCCATGCCTGTAGTCCCAGCTACTTGGGAGGCTGAGGCAGGAGAATCACTTGAACCTGGGAGGTGGAGGTTGCAATTGCAGTTAGCCGAGATTGCCCCACTGCACTCCAGCCTGGGTGACAGAGCAAGACTCTGTCTCAAAGAAAAAAAGAAAGAAAAAAAAAAAGAGTTTATACACACACACACACACACACACACACACACACACACACAATTTGTTTTCTTTTATGAAAATTAGTTTTGTCATTATCAACCTAAATTCCCATCAATGGTAGACTGCATAAAGAACTTGTGGTACTTAAACAGCAAGCAATACTACTCAGCCATGAAAAAGAATGAGATCATGCTCTTTGCAGCAGTATGGCTGGAGTTCAGAGGCCATTATCCTAAGCAAACTAATGCAGTAACAGAAAACCAAATACTACATGTTCTCACTTATAAGTGGGAGCTAAACAGTGAATACCCATGGACACAAAGAAGGGAACAGCAGACACCATGGCCTACCTGAGGATGAAGGGAAGGAGGAGGATGAAGGGAAGGAGGAGGATGAGGATAGAAAAACTACCCATTGGGTACCATGATTATTACCCGGGTGATGAAACAATCTGTACACCAAGCCCCCATGACATGCAATTTGCCTGTATAACAAACCTGCACATGTACACCTGAGTCCAAAATAATAGTTAAAAAAATTTTTTTTAAATGTGTTGCTCTTGACTTACAACCTTCGACTAAAGAAGCCCTTCAATAATTTTTATAGAAAATGTTTCATACTGAATGGACTTTCTCTGACTAATGCAGGTGGGAAAAGTGGGCAAATCTGGATGCAACACTCTTGAGAATCTTCTTTTACTAGAACATAATTATTGGGAGTACTCTACATTATACCATATCCTGTGGAGTAGGAAGACTTAAAAACATGTAGCACCTTATTTCTATAGGTGGCAGTGTGAGGCAGATACACTTAAGAGTGAAGTTTAGATGCATGCTCTTCTTCATTCATCAGTGACCTGGTTTATTTCAGCAAATCTGTTAAGCCTCAAAAAGTTTTGTTAGACTATAACCTGATAAGCAAATGGAATTTAAATTTCTATTGAAGATGATGTTTCTCGATATTGTATGTACTAGAATATGTGATCTGTGAGGCTCTTTCCAGGTCTAAATTTTCATAGTATAAGCACATTATATTTATATGTATGTATGTGTGTGTGTGTGTGTGTATATATATGTGTGTGTGTATATATATGTGTGTGTGTATATATGTGTGTGTGTGTGTGTGTGCGCGCGTGTGTGTGTGTACATAGTAGTTTCAAAATAACCCCCCGAGACAGAAGCTCCAGCAATAATGGCAATTCTCTTAGTGACCTTGAAAGAGGCCACTCTAAGGACTTGTACTGACAATGACAACGCCAAGAATCATCAGCATAACTTTTAAAATCAGTTTTATTTATTGAAGCTAAAATCAATGCCTCAAAAAACACCTTATTTTTTCAAATTCACATGAGGGAATTTAGAAACTATTCCTCCTGCTGAAATTAGTCCATGTAAAAGAAAAAAAAAACCCTAAACTTTCTGGTACAGAATTATTTTCCATAAGATTAGGATTTATATTGATAGAAATCCAAGGAAATTTCTTCCTTCTGTGTTATTCTTGCATCTTAGAGGCCCATTCAGTAAACCATACTTCTTTTAAATTTATCAACCCTACTGTCTGATAGCCTAAAGTTTTCACTTTTTATGTATTTTAATGTATTTATTAGCAGGCATATATTTAGCATCAACTATGGGCAAGGCTGTGTTCTAATGAAAATAATAGCTATATAGACATTTGATACATAGCACTTTCCTAAAGGCACTTAAAACTTGTTTATTATGTTAAATTATATAAAACAAAGTAATAATATATGCAATGTATATATCATCAATGTATTAATGCATACACATATATGATACTACAACCACAAAAATCTGTGTTTTAAGCACCAAATAAATAGAATAATCATGAATGCAACATAGTATGTCAGATTTTTTTCACCATGAAGTTACGTGGTTAGGAAAAGCTTTATTATCAATGTGGGAATTCAATTGTGTTATATTAGTCCGTTCTCACACTGCTATAAAGATCCTACCTGAGACTGGGTAATTTATCAGCAAAGGAGTTTTAATTGACTCACAGTTCTGCTTGATCCCAGAGGCCTCAGGAAACTTACAATTATGGCAGAAGGGGAAGCAGACACGTCTTACACGACAGCAGGACAGAGACAGAATGAGAGCAAGAGCAGGGAAAACTGCCTTATAAAACCATCAGCTCTCATGAGAACTCACTCACTGTCAAGAGAACAGCATGGGGGAAACTGCCTCCATGATCCAGTCACCTCCCACCTCGTTCCTCCCTGGACACGTGGACATTTTTGGGATTATAATTTGAGATGAGATTTGGGTGAGGACACAGAGCCAAACCATATCATGTGTAAAAAGTCAATAAACTTCAAATAAATTTAGAACTTTAGTAGACCTAAAAAATAGCATAATAAATAGGCTAACATATAGTGTGTCTAAGACACTCTGAAGTGACAAGAATAGACCAGACTTGTGGGAAAGGGAAGAACTGAAAGATCCACTTGGTGAGGTAAGTTAAACTCAGATGCTTAAGTTTTTTGTTTCCAGATAAGGAATCTTTGACTGTATTATTTTACAGAAAATTAGAAGTCATGGTAGGCTTTTCCCAAAATAAATTATTTTGAATACAATTTTATGAGGTTTAGTCATAGATGAATTCATATCAGAGTATTAGAGAGAAAGAAACTGGAGATAAAACACTTGCTCAGGGGCTTTTTCAAAGCCTGTGCCTGATGCGATTTAGAGCCTGACCTATATATTATTGGAACAGGAGGGAATGAACACTTTCAAAAGATGGCTTTTTGAAGAACTGGCAGGTCTTGATAAAGGATTTGTTGTGATGGGGCATAAAACATAGAATAATTCAGGTTTAATCCTGGGTAATTGAAAGGTGCTTGTATCATTAATAGAGAAAAGGATATTTGTTTTGAGAAGTAAGGATATCTCCATTATACAAGTTGAATTTGGGGTAATAGTGGATCATCCAAATGGATATGATTATTGAAATATGAAGACATAAAACTTGAGATACATATGGATAACGATGCCTGAACAAACAGGAAGGAAATTTGCTAATGAGAGATCATTTGTGATGATCAAGATTGCAGGCTTCATGGAAGAGTAAAAAACAAAGCAGATTTGGGGCAATAAGAAGAGAGAGGGAGGTATGTAGATCACGTGTATTTAAGAAACTTAACAATAAAGAGAAGAAATAATAAAAAATATGGGTAAGCCAAGATAAGTTTTCTTTTTTTTCCACAAAATTCTCTATATGTAGCCAAGTTGTTATTCATGAGTGAAGACAAAATTCATTCTCATATATGCGATGCCTTAGAATATCTGTCACACAGATACTTTTCTGAATATATCACTTGAAATTTCAGAACAAATAAAGAGTACCTGAAATCCAGGTTTTAAGAATACAGAAGTACCAGGAAAAAAAAACACTCATAAGTACTGAAACTTTTTAAACCTACAGAAATATGTGTAAGAAAATATATATGTGTGTATATATGTATGTGTGTATATATATTAATATATTTTACATATATATATTTGTGGGTATGTTGTATCAATACCTCCAGGGCTTT